>NC_000010.11:127547785-127859266 GCF_000001405.40 Homo sapiens | reverse complement strand
CAAAGTGCTAGGATTACAGGTGTGAGCCACCACACCTGGCCGCCATTACTTTTAATGGCAAAAACTGTAATTGCTTTTGTACCAACCTCTAAAAACCATTGAATTGTACATATTACGTATGTTTGTGAATTACATCTCAATAAAACCATTCCTAAGAGTCTGCTATATTCTCTTCCTGTATGTTTTTAATTGCTAAATAAAAATTGTATATATTTATGGTGTGGAGCATGATGTTTTGATATATATTGTGGAATGGCTAAATTAAGCTAATTAACATATGCATTACCTTACATGCTGGTTATTTTTATGGTGAGAACATTTAAAATGTACTCTCTCAGCAGTTTTTAAGAATATAATACATTGTTATTAACTACAGTCACCATGTAGCACAGTGGAGCTCCTGAACTTAGCTTCCGGTCTAACTGAAATTTGTTTTGTTGTTGTTGTGTTGTCCAGGCTGAAGTGCAGTGGTGCAATCTTGACTTACTGCAGCCTCAACCTCCTGGGCTAAAGTGATCCTCCTACCTCATCCTCCTGAGTAGCTGAGACTACAGGCGTGTGCCACCATACCCAGAGAATTTTTCTATTTTTTGTAGAGATGAGGTTTCACCATGTTGCCCAGGCCAGTCTTCAGCTCCTGGGCTCAGATGATCTGCCCACCTCAGCCTCCCAAAGTGCTGGGATTACAGATGTAATTTTGCATTTTTACCATCTCCTCTTATTTATTTGTATTTGTATTTTTAACCATCTCCTCTTATTTATTTTATTTTTTTACATAAAAGAAGTCTGGCCAGGTGCAGTGGCTCATGCCTGTAATCCCAGCACTTTGGGAGGCTGAAGTGGGTCGATCACCCAAGGTCAGGAGTTTGAGACCAGCCTGGCCAACATGGCGAAACCCCGCCTCTACTAAAAATACAAAAATTGGCCAAGCGTGGTGGTGCACGCCTGTAGTCCCAGCTCCTTGGGAGGCTGAGGCAGGAGAATCACTTGAACCCAGGAGCAGAGGTTGCAGTGAGCCAAGATCATGCCATTGCACTCCAGCCTGGTCAGTAGAGTGAGACTCCATTTCAAAAAAAAAAGAGAGAGGGAGAAAAAGGAAATCAAGATTACCGAATACGTGGAAGTCGAGTTCCTACCCCTTCTTGGTTCCATCCCCTTCCACCCTTGCCAAGGCCTTCACTATCCTGGATTTTGACCTTGAAGTCTGTGGTTAGAATGCTGTTCCATACGCCACTAAGTGTCTTTCTTGTGTTTCTCATTTAACCACCATATGAGCCCTGTAAGGCTGTACTGCTGCTATGTCCATTGGACAGATGAGCAAACCAAGGTCCAGGAAAATAAAAAATTGAGCCACCCAAGGTCTAAAAGCCAGACTGACTCCAGCCAACTGTGGCTGGATGCTGTTGTCTCACCTTTGTGTTATGAAGCCCTTTTTTCATCCTCTGTCTAGTTTTCCAACAAGGTTCTGTGGCTAAACCTCACAAATAATCGCATTAATCTGAGAATACTGTGCCAAAAAGAACATTGTGAATAACATTAATGGTGAATGTATTACACACAGAAATCTAAAAACACCTCTGGTGTTTTCTCAGAAACATTTTTACAGTTCTAAAGTAATTTTATAAATCTTGTTTAAAAGGTAAAGAATTACTATTCTGAAGAGCTTGAGCAGAAATCTAGATTTCTTAAGAACTCAACTAATTCTCACCTCCTTCATCTGCAAATGGCACAAGTTTTCCAACAAGTCTTGAAAATTTTACCTCTTTTGTCGACAAAGGATGAAAACCAGAGGTATGAAGAGGCTTTGCATTTCAGAAAGTCCATCATGGTAGAAAAAGAACCTTCGTTGAGGGAGAAACATTTGCCTCAGAAACAGGGATGAGTAAACAGATAGATTACTCTAGAAGCCCATCCATGGGGAGTCTCAGACTACTCCCACCCTGGGCACTACTCCTTTAAAAAGCACCTGCAGGGCCTCTGGGGTGAGCCACTGGCCCACCAGCATCTGCAAGGCACCATGGGAGACACAAAGGTGAATGAGAGATGGCCTTTGCCTTCAGTGCCATGTTACCTATGAACAGATGTTGACTTGCTTCTTTTTGGAAGCCTGCCCATAACAGTGAGAATTAGTAGGTTTTAGAGAACTCTTGTAGACAGGGCCTTGCTCTGTCACTCAGGCTGAAATGCAGTGGCACCATGTCAGCTCACTGCAGCCTCAACCTCTTGGGCTCAAGTCATCCTCCTGCCTCAGCCCCTCAAGTGGCTGGGTCTACAGGCGCGCACCACCATGCCTGGCTAACTTTTGTATTTTTTGTAGAGATGGGGTTTTGCTGTGTTGCCCCGGCTGGTCTCGAACTCCTGAGTTCAGGCAATCTGCCCGCCTCAGCCTCCCAAAGTGCTGGGATTACAGGCATGAGCCACCATGCCCGGCCTACCCTTGTATATTTGTCCAGGAAGAGACTCTTGAGTTAGCTGGTGTGTCCCAGGGCCTGTGTTCCACAGATGAGCCTGAGGCCGGGGAACGCCTGCCCCACTCAGGGGAACCTGGGGAGTGCTGTGCTGGTGTGGGCTGAATGACATCCCCTAGAAGGGAATGGTGAAGCCCCAATCCCTGGCACCTGTCAATGTGACCCTATTTGGAAACAGGGTCATTGCAGATATAATTAGTCGAGTTAAGATGGGATCATATTGGAGTAGGGTGGACCCCCAATTCAATGTGATGGTGTCTGCATAAGAGGAAGGAGATTTGGACATGAAGACGCATATAGAGGAGAGTGCTGAGTGAAGACAGACATTGGGAGGAAGAGGTGTGTGAAGACGAGGCAGAGTGCAGCGATGCCCCTCCAGCCAAGCAGCACCGGGGCTTGGCCCGAGGGGGAAGGAAGACTTCACCCCCAGAGGCTTCGGAGGGAGCATGGCCCTGCGGATGCCTTGGATTGGGACTTCTGGTCTTCGTGACTGTGACAAAGTAAACTTTTGTTGCTTGGAGCCTCCCAGGTTGTGACCTTTGCTAAGGCAGCCCAAGCAGACAAACACACTGACGCTTCCTGAAATTCTGGAGGCCGCTCCCCTGGGGGGCAGCGTTGCTTCCTTCTGTCAAATGTGGGGCCTGGACCTGGGCTTGCTGGGCCCCCTCCTGTTCTAGGCCACTACTCCTGCTCCAGAATCCCAGATCCTCCCTGCCTGTCCCGGCTGATTCATGATCCCAGCCTGGCTTCACCACAGGGCCTCTCAAAGAGCCCCGAGACCTGCTCCTGGGTTTCTGGAGCGCGGCCATCACAGATCCCTGCTGTGTCTGTCTGACAGGCTCCATCAGCAATAGGATACAAAAGTGAATCCTCAGCCTCCCCAACTTACCATGGGGCTAAATCCAGGGGGCCAGACAAGTGCCCAGGTCTGTGGGCCCTGGTCTGCTATTTCCAGGTCCCCAAGAGGCTAGTAGAAGGTGCTTGTTCCCTGGCCCCGAGGGAACCCTTGACCTCAGCCAGCTCCAGCCCCTGCAGGAGCCATCTCCATGCCTCTAGACCCCCAGTAGACACCCTCCTTCCAGGATCTGACTCCGGTTGTTAGCCTGGGCCCCCAGGATGAGGACAGTGTAAGGAGCCAGGAGGTTGGGACCAGACTGGCCTCCTAGCCTAGCTGAAGAGATGGGTCCTGGCCTTATGAGCTCCCATATGACTGGAAGCTTCCCCAACCCTGGAACCACAGACAGTTCCTGGGCTCTGGTCCTCTCAGCCCAGTGGTGCAGGGGCGGCCCATCCTGAGAGTTCCTGCGGGGAAGAGGGGCCTGTGGGGACAAGGGGATGCTACAGTGAGTGACTTTGAGGACAAGGACACACACAAGCACAGCCCTTTCGGCCACCCCATGGGCCCTGGGTTGCCAGGAGCCTTACCAAGCCCCAGCTTGCCTGGTCCCCACCTCCATGAGGCCACGAGCCAGCCTGGCCGCCCTGGAGCTAGTGCTGGAGCCCATCACGGGATCTGCTATCCCACCATGCAGCAAGAAGAGGAACTGAGAGCCAAGACACTTTTAGAGCCATTTGACCGAGTGTCTGCCTGTTGAATCTAATGATGTAATTTGCATATCTTTATTTTCATTTTCTAGGGGTTGGGAGCTGTGATCAGCACAGGCTGCTTGGCCAGGAGGAATGACTGCAGGGTGGGCAGACACAGGTTGGTACTCAGTGGAGACCTGAGTGAATGAATGAATCAGAGCTGGGGAGGACGGGGGGCATGGGAGGGAACTGCCGTTGTCAGAGAAAGCCCAACACAGACCTTCCTTTCCCTGGGATCATCCCTGGGGTCACCAAACCTCCCCCGTACACCTGAGGAGAGACCACCTGAGTCACAGCCCGCAGAGCTCCGGCCAAAGAGCTGGGATGGATGGGCTGGAGCCAGTGGACTTGGCTCAGGGTCTAATTTCCTAGTCGTGACCACTATCCCCTCCTCTACGCTGAGCCTCAGTTTCCCAATCTGTAAACCGAAGGGGATGCTCTAGACCAGGGATCCACAAATCATTAACCTCTGGGCCAAATCTAGCCAACTGCCTCTTTTTGCAAATGATGTTTTGTTGGAATGTGGCCATGCCCATTCACTTGCTGCTGTCTGCAGCTGCCTTTGCGTCACAATGACAGGGCTGTGTAGGTGTGGCTGGGAGCTTATGGCCCACAAAGCCATGCGTATGCACCACCTGGCCCTTTACAGCAAGGCTGGCCAGCCCGACCTTCCACGAGCGTTTCTCAGCGGAAGCAGTGTCACCTCTGAGTGGGTATTTAAGAAATTGCTTCTGGTGAGTGTAGGTCAAGCTCATTGCAAGACAAGTTCCATGCTATAAAAGCTACTTTTCTTTAAGTTCTTATACTTCCACTTTATATTAAAGTTAAGACATTATGTTTATCTTTTGCGATTTGGAGCATAGATAGGTGATCATCTGTATGGGTTTCATTACAGGGCATTAGAGAGCGTCTGTTAGAAGAGCAGGGCATTGATTTTGATGCAATGAGGCAGTTTCTTTAGAGGGCCCACGAGGCCCTAGATTCCGCATCAGCTTTAAGTGGCAAAGCCACACAGCTATTTCAAGAGCACAGCACTAGAGGGCAGCATAAGCCCATGAGTGCAACGCCAGAGCTCTGCGCCCTGGGCACCGCCGCTTCCCGAAGGCTGCAGGACTGGGGAAGGCTTGTGCCACCAGGACCTGAGCACTCAGCAGGAGTGTCAGGCCTCTGGGCCTGGGTCAGAGCTGATGGAGAGACCGTTCCAGCATGTGAGACGCTGGAGGGAACTGAAACCCACCTGCTGCACATGCATACTTCCCCGGTGGTTTTGGAAATGCTCTTGTTGTCAAAGATGTCCCTTCACACGGGGCTCTGCCTTCCCCACTGCCCTCCTGCACAGGCACAGCACATGTGTGCACACTAAGACTTCCAGGAATCTGTCCATCTAGCTGAACTGATTTTTCCCCCCAATTTATTCGACATTAGGATCTTTCGTGCGAGCCCGCGTGTGTGTCTAAACTTAGCCACATCAGGAAGCTGACACTGGTAAGTGATGACTTAACATTGTGGGAGATGTCCTTCTACACACCTGTGGGTTCCATGGATTCAGCCAACTTCGGATTAAAAAACAGTTTTATGTTTCTTTGTTTTTTTTTGTTTTTTGTTTTTTTTGACGGGTTTTGTTCTGTCACCCAGGCTGGAGTGCAGTGGTGTGATCACGGCTTACTGCATCCTAGACCTCTGGGTCATGCAATCCTCCTGACTCAGCCTCCCGTGTAGCTGAGGTCACTGGTGCCCGACCCCACATCCAGCGTTTTTTTTTTTTTTTTGTAGAGATGGGGTCTTACTTTGTCTCCCAGGCTAGTCTCCAACTCCTAGGGTCTAGTGACCCAGCCTCCCAAAATGCTGGGATTATAGGCGTAAGCCACTGCACCCTGCCAGGATAAAAAATACTTTAAAAAACAATAAAAATCACAATACAACAATGAAAAATAATACCAATTCTAAAAAGACAGTATAACAACCATTTACTTGGCATTTGCATTGTATTAGATATATATAAGTAATCTAGAGATGATTTAAAGTACACAAGAGGATTGTGTAAGTTCTATGCAAATACGACACTATTTTATATCAGGGACTTGAGCATCTGCAGATTTTGTTACCATGGGGGTCTTGGAACCAATCCCCCTCGGATACCAAGGAATGACTGCATATATATATATATTTTAAGTTGGGATTCTTGTTCATTTTCAAACCATCTTTGCTAATATGGCAGTTGGCTTCCCTGGGCAGGAGGGAGCATGCCATGTGCAGACAGCATGCCCCTCCCCTACACAGGAAAGAGGGCCTGTGTGCACGGAACTGCATCCGTCTCTAAGGGGAGAGCGGGGCTCCTGGATCCTAGACACTCTGACACAGCATCCATCACACTTGTGGGCCGGTTTGCTTCTCCTGATCTCTAAGTCTCTCTCAGGCTCCCTCTTGTCCGGGGACACTGTGACAAAAGCAGCTGGAATGTTCAGGATTAACAAGACAGTCTTATTTAAGAAACAGATGCAGAGCACCCTGAAACCCCTGGCAGTGCCCGCGTTGCCATGGCTTTTCCACTCAGCGTGGAAGACCATGAGTCGTGCATCTCCCTGCTGGACCATGGCTTCTGGAGATGGAGGATGGCAGGGCCAGGTGTGATGTTGTCCTCCTGTCCAGCTCCTCCTGCATTGTAGGATGTCTGTCATAACCTGGTCTTAGAAGCCAAGAAGAAATGCAAACCTGTCCCAATAGGCCTCGCTTTGGCAACAGCCAGTGAACAGGTAGATTAACGTCACCACTCAGGCCATTTGGTCACCTGCTCACCAAGGTGCCACCACCACTGACACCAGGCTTATGAGGGTTTCCATCCCCATTTATGATGCTACCAGGAAGCTGATTTTAGCCACAGCCATTTAAAAAAACAAAACCTGTTGTGTCCTTGTAGATCCAAAGTGTTGGAAATCTTCCCTTTTTCCCCCAGCCTCGCCCACCTACCATTTCAATGTAACCTCCCAAATTCTTCCACAGAGCATTGTTGAAGGCTCTGAGAATCTTTCAACCTCCTCCACAAAGCCCTCCAGGGCCCCCGTCACAGCATTCCCTTGGCATTTTATTTGTGGCTCTTGGACACCGTTGTCCCCACCCTTCATGACAGGCCGGGGACTCCTGGCACTGGATCCTTTTTGCGTAAAGTAAGCTGATTGAATTAAGCACGCATCACTGAAATGCTTTGCTTTCCATGGAACCACACTGCCTCTGAATGAGAATCTGCTGCTCTTTAAATGCTCACCGACCCGCCGTCAACGAGCTGTTGTGAGGTTCTACCAGGAATCGGAGGCGTTATGCACAGACCTCCTTTCCAGCCTCTCCTCCCTGCCCCTTGTGGTCAATGCTGCTTTGGATGCTCCCATTTCCTGGGGGCCCGGAGATCCCGCTCACCTAGAGGGGATGGGCCCTGCTGGCTCTTCTCTGTGTCCTGCCTGGCCCTGCCATCCTCCTTCTAGCTGCAGAAGAGGGGAGTCTGGGGACTAGGGCCTGCCTCCTTCCCCTGGGGCACAGCTTCTGCCAGGCACAGCGCCATCCCCCAGGTCACACCAGTTCTTGGATGTCCCCATCAAAGCCTCTTGTTCCTCCTCTGGAAAAACTCTAAGTGGAAATTATAAAAAGTTCTCCAGAAGGTCTAGTCAGAAAAGTCTTGAAAAGACGAGCGGTCCCTAGAACTCCAGGCCAACCCCAATCTCTCTGACCTCCCTCCTCTTGTCCTCTTCCCTAAAACCACAGCCTCTCCCCTCTACTGGCACCTCTTGTCCCCATGAAGCATCCTCTGGGCCCCTCCTCAAGGCAAACACATCAAGGAGTTGCCTGGGGCACCTGCCTTCTTCTCTGCTGTTCCACCCCACTGGGTGGCACCCGATGTGCTCCTGCTTTCAGCTGCCCTTCCCGCAGACGCTGCTCCTGCACAAGGCTCCAGGGGCCTCCCAGTCACAGCCTCTCCCCAGGCAGTGCCAGCTCCACCTCACCTGACCTCTCGGGCCCAGACCCATCCCTCTGCCTTGGCCTCCTCTGGCCCGAGCCGCCCAGCACTTTGCCCAGGTGGCCTTCCTGGCACCCTGCCTCTCCCTCCTTCTCCACGGTTGGACCCGAGCTTCACTGCTAGTCGCAGCCCATGGGGTGCTGCCTGGGGTGGCCGCTCTGGAGGCCCTGGCTGTCCCTCTTGGTCTTTCACTATGGGCCCCCCACCCTGAGACAAGTGACCTCCCACCCAGGGGAGGCTGGTCCCTCCTCCTAGCCAAGTCCCACTGTTGTCTTGTGGCCAGAAAAGGAAAGGAAGTGGCCCCCAAGTCAGCAGTGGGGGTTTATGGACCACATTTGTAATTAACTTGAAAAACAACGCATGAGCTGAACGCCTGGTCTGGTGCTTGTCCTGGGTTTTGAATGTTCTCTTCACCTGTCTCAGAGAGTGACATTTATACAAACTTCTTTCTTCTGTGTCCTTATGAACAGTATCCAAAATGGGACCTTAGGTCTGCCTCATCTGAAGCATTCGCAGGCCAACGAAGCCATCTGCGCGCAGGCCCAGGTGTGTCTTGCAAGGCGGCAGCAGCCCTGCCTCTGGCTGTCAGCTTTGCCCTGGTGGGAGGGATTCATTTCTCTCTCCATCTAGTGAGTTCCCACTCAGTTCATCGCCTTTGAAAAACAAGCTCCCTGGCAGTGGGGCTTTTAGATTGAGATGTAAAAGTTAATTGTTTTATTGAACTTTAAAGAAAAGAACAACCACCACCAGCTAACAGGAAGCGCTTAGGAGTTGCTTGCTAATTTATTCTTATAACGAGTTTTGATTAGATATTGATTGTCACGGGCTCCAGGGGGAACCTCCATTCGGCCCCTCTGGAGGGTGGATGGAGTCAAGACTACATGCACTTCTCATTTTGTAATTAATTCATTTTTTAAAAGAAAGCAATCAGGAAGAATCTCATGAAGCTGGAAATCTCCCCAAACAAAATATTCCCAAAGGCTTTGCCAGGCTTTCTGGTACTGAGTGGGGCAGCTGCTGGTGCTCAGCGCAGGCATTAGGTTAATAGAGTCGTGCTTAATCCTTCTTACACTGGAAACTTGTTTGTATTCTGAGCAAAGGACTTCCTTCCCTAACCTCTAAGGGGAAGGATTCGCCTCGTTCCTTCCCACCTTCTTCCCCTTTGATGGGATTACCGCAGCTTGGGAAGGATTCATTTCACCTAGCCGGCTCTGACGGATGGCCTTTTTGCAGGGCCAATTCAGAAACATCCATGGCCGGAGGGAAAAGCTCACATTTCTTCTTGAACAATTATTCCTCACAGGTTCCATTTCAGTCCTTTTTCAATAGAGATTTTCCATACATTTCCAGCTCTCAGATTCTCTCAGTAAGATGATCGTTCTTTCAAACAGAACTCTAAGAAAGAAGGCAGATTCTTTTTTTTTTTTTTTTGGTGTCCTTCATTTTGTTAAATGTGCATTTTTGATCTATCTGAATTAACACAAGGGGGTTAATTCCGTACCAACTACCAGAAAGGAGCCAATATTGTGGCATGGCAGAAGCTTGTACTGTCAAGTTGCCCGTGGGAATGGGAATGGGAATGGGAAGAGTTGATGTATTTTTCACCATCTTCTGCATAGGGTGTAACCTGAAGGTCCCTGTGCTGGCCCTGGGAAGGGGCGCGAGGGCTTGTCCCTTCAGGGACTTTGCTCCCCCCTCGGTCTCCCCCAGGGCCTTCCTCCTTGCCTGCCAGGGACCCTCCTCATGCCCCTTGTCCGTGCCTCCCCAGCTGCTCTCTATCCCATGGCCCCCTTTTCAATGTATGCCAGGCACTTTATGTTTTGGTTTGTCCAGTCTCTGTCCGCACCCTCTTTCTCTAAAATCTAAGTGCCCTGAGGGCAGGCCCAGAGCTGAATATACCCCCAAACAGCCCCCGGCCCATTGGCAGCCACAAATGTCTGTTGAGCAAGCGAGTGGTGGGTGAGAGCAGATTGCTGGTGCGCTGGCTGTGGACCCTGGAGAGTTCTTTGGCATCTATAAGCCCCGGTCCATTCCCCAGGTAACAGGGGACTGCTTTTTTTATTTTTTATTTATTTATTATTATAATTTTTTTTTTTTGAGACTGAGTCTCTCTCTGTCGCCCAGGCTGGAGTGCGGTGGCGCGATCTCGGCTCCCTGCAAGCTCCGCCTCCCGGGTTCACGCCATTCTCCTGCCTCAGACTCCCGAGTAGCTGGGACTACAGGCGCCCGCCACCGCGCCCGGCTAATTTTTTGTATTTTTAGTAGAGACGGGGTTTCACCATGTTAGCCAGGATGGTCTCGATCTCCTGACCTCGTGATCCGCCCACCTTGGCCTCCCAAAGTGCTGGGATTACAGGCGTGAGCCACCGCGCCCGGCCCAGGGGACTGCTTTTAAGGTGGCTCCAGAGCCCACCACAAGACCCTGCTGATTGAAGGAAGGATGAGGGATCGCTTGCTCCCCTCCTGGTCTGCGTTATGGTGGCGGAGGAGGCTGGCCAAGGGGAGCAGCCGTGAGGGTGGTGCCAGGGAAGGGGTCCCTGAGTGCAGGAGGTGCCAGAGCACAGAGTCCCCTCTGTGAGGATGTCATTCACAGAGGAGGGCCCCAGAGAGCTGGGATCAACAGGAGCGAGGGTGTTTCTCAAGCACACTGTGAAGGCCCAGCCTCAGGAAGTTCTCTTGAGGAGCCTTGTCATGGAGGCCACGTGCGTCTAGATGCAGCTGAAGTCTCATCTCCAGGGGAGACTCCTCCGTGGACCCAGGCACCCAGCACACCCTTGCGGGCCCCACCCTGCAGCACTGTCACTCCATGGCCTGGAGTCCTCCATGCCCTACAATTGCAAGCCTAAGTGCGCAGGTGCTGCTCACTTTCTCTCTCTCTCTCTCTCTCCCCCCCCACTTCCTTCCTCCCTCCCTCCCTCCCTCCCTCTCTCTCTCTGTCCCCCCACTTCTTTCCTCCCTCCCTCCCTCCCCCCTCTCTCTCCCCCCCACTTCCTTCCTCCCTCCCTCCCTCCCTCCCTTGCTCTCTCTCTTTCGTTTGTCTGTCTTTCTTTCTTTCTTTCTTTCTTTCTTTCTTTCTTTCTTTCTTTCTTTCTTTCTTTTTCTTTCTTTCTTTCTTTCTCTTTCTTTCTTTCTTTCTTTCTTTTTCTTTCTCTTTCTTTCTTTTTCTTTCTCTTTCCTTCCTTCTTTTTTCTTTCTTCTTTCTCTCTCTTTCTATTTCTTCCTTCTCTCTCTTTCTATTTCTTCCTTCTTTCTTCTTTTCTTTCTTTCTTTCCTTCTTCTTTCTCTCTCTCTCTTTCTTTCTCTTTTTTTTTTTGATTGACAGAGTCTCACTGTGTCACCCAGGATAGAGTGCAGTGGTGCGATCTCAGCTCACTGCAACCTCTGCCTCCTGGGTTCAAGTGATACTCCTGGTCATTTTCTCTCTGTGTCCCTGGAGTCCAGCAGAAGAGTGGTGCCCAGGAGGGTCCTTCTGATGCTTGTCGACTCAGCACTTGATGGGGCGTTGGGACTCCGCAGCAGCAGCGCAGGGTGCCTGTGTCCCTGTGCACCGTGTCTGCGCTCACGGACAGGAAAGGTGGCCGGAGACAGGGGTTGTGCACCCTTTCAAACACTGCTTTTACTTTTACCCACATCAAAATAGCATGGAGCCATGCAGCAGGCTGTTCATAGGTGGAATGTGTCTGCTCCACAGCACACCAATCACAGACAGTTCTCAGGCCACAGGTAGGCCATCGGGTGTGGCTCGGCTGGGACGGTACACCCCAGTTTCCTGTTCTAGATTTTAAATAAAAATGGTTTTTTTAAAAGATTTTTTTTAAAAAAGTGGTAGATTTTAAATAAAAATGGTTAGAGAAGAGAAAGGCAGACAAAGTACCTATGTTATGTGAACTCTCATTCAACAATTGCTGGATGCATGCTGTCTCCGTACCGGGCACTGTTGGGTTTGAGAAGAGTATCTGGAAACTCAAAAAAGATGCATTTACACAGCAGACACTGCCTTCCGGTCATTAGGAGATGCTCTGCAAAGGAGCAAACATTCTAGGGTAAGTGAAACAAAGCCACAGGGCTGTGTTTCTCAAAGCGAGAGCCTCTAGTAGCCCACGCTTCTTACATATCCCCTCTCTATTACATCCACACAACACATTTCTGTTTCATATAAATATAAAAGACTGTATGTTATACATAACATACAAATATATGTAAAAATGGAATATTAAATTACATATGTGTGTCAATATATCATCATATACATTAGGTAAAACACACAAACACATACATTCCATACCAGGGTCATACCTATGTGCTTAAATACATGCTTTAAGACGTTTACTTGTAAAAATGCTATTGTGTAGGCTGCAGTAATATTAACCCCGCTGAACTTTACTTTTGAGATATGATGATGGACCCCTATATCCCAAAATTAGGAGCCAATAGATCTGTGGTCCAGCGCATAGACCCCCAGTGTAGACTATTTTAGTGTTGGGTGAGCTTGTCTGTTATCCTCGGGAAGCAAAAAGCAAAAGTCCAGCATCACTGGGAGAAGGGAGGTGGGATGGGATAAAGTTGCATATCAGAGAAGGCTTCCTGGAGGAGGTGATATGAAAGACCAGGAGGAACTAGTCAGGCAGTGAAGGAAGGAAAAGGCATCCTGGGTAGAGGGACCAGCAGGGGCAAAGAGCCAAGGAGAGGGTGTTTGCTGGGTTCTGGGGACTCCAGGTGGAGGAGGGTAGTTGGGACTTGGCAAGAAGGAGGAAAACAGCGAGAAAGGAGGGTGCAGAAGTCGAGAGTCTGGATTCCTCTGTCATCTTCCCTGAAGGCAGTAGATGCTGTGAAGGGGTCTGAGCTGGCAGCAGTGGCCATGAGGTGTGCTTTAGATGGGCTATCTGTGGCGGTGTGGCCACTGTCCTGGCAAGGTCACAGCAGCTGTGGCAGCAGAGCTAAGGAAGAAGACCAGGGACTGAGCTTTGGGAGTCTCATGGGAGTGGAGGGAAAATACTTATTTCCCAAAGATTAAGAATATGGAACTGATGGGTTCAGAGAACAGATTGGAGAGAGGAGCAAGACAAGGATGACCTGCAGGTTTCTGACAGGGCAGATAGTGGGGTGGACCCTTCCCTTAGAGTGGGGGCCACTGAGGGAGGACCAGGTCTGGGCCAGTGGGGAAGAGCTCAGTTTGGGACACATGCGTTTGGGTATGTTGGGGACATGGCAGGGAGGCTGCCGAGCAGGCTGTGGTCTGTGCCATCTGGAGCTCCAAGAATGGTCTGGCTGAAGCTTCGGGAGTCACTAGCCTGGGGACTGATGGCAGAGGAAGACGTGGGAGGCCCTGGTGTGCCAGGAAGAGCACGGGGCATGGGAAGGGGCCAGGCTGAGGGTTGAGCCCAGAAACCATGCGACCTTCCCCCAGAGAACGTGCTTTCTCCTGCAAAAGCCCCACTTCAGGTTCTGGGGTGAAGCTGCCACAGCAACCAGTTCCCTGCAACACTGCAGCCCTGAGTGGCTCAGCCTCTCCCCCAAGCCCCTGGGTTTCTCTAGCCCACCCTCCAGCCCCCAAGGAGCCTCCCAGTGCTGGGTCTCTTCTCCTGCCCCCAGTAAACTATGGTGAGAATATTAAGCCTGAAGATCTCCCCAGATCTGTTTCCATACCTGGTGCACTGAGAGCAGAATCAAGGAGTTACAGGTCACGATAGAGATCTCTCCTTGTTTATCCTGTAAACAGAAACCCACAGGGACCCAAATACCCCACTGATCTCTTCCTCTGCCACCCCCTTCATTTAAGCAAATAGATAACAGTGATTCCAAGTCTCCAAGAGAGTGGAGGGGAGTACTGGGGCTTTGCCCTTTTCTAAGATAGCTTTGGGTGTCTGGAACACCCCCACCCATTGGGACTTGATTCCTCTTCTTCCCTGGCACCCTGCTTTGCCAGGCCAGGCTGAGCCCTGCACCCTGGCTGTGAACTAAGGAAACCCACAAACCTGTAATATTCTTCAGAGAACAATAAAGACATTTCTCAGTCCCTGAGCGATTACAGGACTCTATTTGTGCATGAGAAATAATCAAATCCTCCTGCAAACTAATGAATTTGGAGATAAAACTGATGGGGAAAATCGGGAAGGAAATGCTGGTGGCCTAGGAAGTCAGCTGAATTCCCTGGAGGACACTCATAGGGCGGGTAGGGTCTTGGGCTCCAGGCGGTCTCCCCAGGTTGTCCTCTCTCCTCTCCATCCCACAGTGGCCTGGGACTCAAGTTCTCTTTTACCATCAGGAAAGAGAGAGCGGTGAATCCAGCATTTGCCGTATCAGGAGGTCTCTGGGCTGCACTCCCCAGGACATGGCCACACCCTCGGTCTGGCTTCATCATGTCGCCCCAGCCCTAGCCCTGTTGAGATGCACTGGAGACCACCTCACACAGTGCAGTTTGACTTGTGCTTAACTTTTTTTTTTTTTTTCCCACAGTTGAGTCCCCTTGGTGAAAGGCCAGTGTGGTTGGCCAAGCCTTCCCGCTGATGGACCAGGTCATCCACGAAGCTGCCTCAGGACTAAGACAGCTCCCAGCGGAACAGCACCTTGCCAGAGAAGCTCTGGTTGGGGGACTGCACTGCTGGGCATCAGCACCCGCTGCCATTACCCGTGTGTGTGTGTGTGTGTGTGTGCGTGTACCATGCACATGTGTGGCTCACTCGGAGGTGAGAACCCAGCATGGGCATGCTGCTGTGTCTGCACTTGTGAGACAGTATTTTTCCTTCAAAAGTCAGCCAGGGGTAGAAGATTCATCTGCCTATAGACTCACAGTTCTCATTGGTGTCTTGGGCCTGGGAAAATGCTTTACATGTTCAAAGGAGACAGAAATCACCACTCTGCAGAGCTTCAGGCCCTGTGTCCGCCAAAGAGACTTGCAGAGCTACCCATCCTGGCCCCAACGGCAGGAGGGGCATCCTCCCTCCAGACCATCAGCATTCTGCATCATCTAACAGTGCTGGCATAGCAGGCCTCCCTACTTTCCTGCAAAAGAAGCTAACACCTGCCCAGGGTGGCTACCAAGGGAGGATCTGACATTCGAGGTGTGGATGAGGCACCTGCCACAGAGGTGGTGCCCATTCAATGCTGGGTTCTTCCCTTGGAGTTCCTTGGTTATGTTGACAGCCACCCCATCATGGTCTGGCCTGCTCGTACCTTCCCATCTCCCTTCTCATGACTTGTCTTGTAAGATGTCCAGTGCTTATTATAAGGTGGGTGGATAGGATGAACTTCATTTATTAATTTTGTATTACACACATTAACAACAAACAGAAATCAACCAGAAATATTTCATAGTCCTTGGTCAACCATTTGGATGGCTACAGAAGTCCAGTGGAAAAGTCAAGGTCAGTATTTGTTCTGCCTTAAGAGAAGGTAACTGACCTGCCCATGACCACAGGGATAGGAAGGAGCTGAGCCAGGTACAGGCTTTGGTCTGGGTGCTGATGGGTCCTGGGCTCTTCCCAGCACAGAGATTAGAAGGGAGGGACTGTGAGGCCCTTAGCCATGCACACAGTGGACTCTCCTCTCATCTTTGGCCATCTGGACTGGACAGAGAAGCTGTGATGAACTTCAGAGGGAATGTTGTGATCACATCACTCATTTATTACATGAATCATTCATGTATTCACTCCTTCATGTATTCACCACCTGTTGAGTGATGTCTTCTGGGCAACCAGTACTGTGGAAGATGCAAAAGATAGAAGATAAGACCCCTATTCCTAGGGACCTTGCTGGCATTGCACAACTTGTCTTAAAACCTCTGTATGCTCACCTGCTTTCCAACTTCATAGAGAAGAGCACCCCCTTTGAACCTGTAGGATAAACCCTTAAACCGAAAAGCACCCTAAAGAATTAGAACTTTCAAAATTAAATGGACACACACATTCACACACATTTTATTTTGCAACTTGCTTCAGGGTCCTGCAGCAAATCTTAATAATAAAGGCCGCACCTGTGTGATAGAAGCTTTCTAAACCCCACATTTATTTTAATCTTGGGACACCAGTCTGGTTTTCTCCTTCTTCCAAAGCACATTGTATTAGTCTGTTCTCATACTGCTAATGAAGATACACCTGAGACTGTGTAATTTATAAAGGAAAGAGGTGTAATTGACTCACAGTTCCACATGGCTGGGTAGGCCTTAGGAAACTTACAATCATGGCAGAAGGCACCTCTTCACAGGGTGGCAGGAGGGAGAATAAGAGCTGAGCAAAGGGGAAAGCCCCTTATAAAACCATCAGATCTCGTGGGAGCTCACTGACTATCACGAGAACTGTATGGCGGAAACTTCCCCTGTGATTCAGTTATCTCTGCCTGATCCCACCCTTGACAAATGGAGATTATTACGATTCAAGGTGAGATTTGGGTGAGGACACCAACCAAAACCATATCACACATATTAAAAAAAATGGAAAGAGATCATCGATATTTCAGAGTGAGAAGCATTATTCAATCTCTAAGTCTTAGCAGACCAGAATTGAAACAAGAGAACACCAGATATGAAATTCATGCTGCTGAATCTCAGTTTAGGAAGCCTCAGTGTTTCCTAAGGCTGTCCAAATCCCACTCAAACACCAAGCCATTACAGGGTGATATGCTTTGTTGTACCAAGTCTTGTTCTCTGCTCACACCACTGAGTGCATACTGAGCTCCTCAACGGCACCTGCAGTTGCCATCCTCGCCATCCTCTCCTGCTTCAAAGCTGGCCTCCCTATGTCAGGTTACTGAGAGGTAAATTACTACCCAGAGGAAGATTACTGACACTCTTGACAGTTCCCCGACTCCTTAAAGTGGGCTCATTTTTATCTCATAGGAGACACCTCTATGTGAGATGATATTGATAATCGGGCTGAAGGGCTAAAGCTTTGATGTTGGCTGCAAGTACAATCAGCAGATGGAAACAGGTCAGTTTGTGGAATGCCAGAAAGTTGTGGGTCATCTCAGCTTAGTCCAAATTTAATGCCTAACTTTGAATTCTACCTAGAAAAAAAGTAGTTTATGAAGTGAGACTTAATAGGTGGGGAAACACCATTCTAGATTCTCTGTGCTGTTTAGCGCAAAGATGTTACCAGCTCTCCTTGGAGGCTTCCTATGGTCAGCAAGGCCAGGACAGAGTTGCTGAGCATGGATAAGGAAGCCCATGCTGGGAACATCCCCAGACTGTGCACGAGGTTTCAGCCTGCGCGTGGCTCTGTTGCTTAACAGCCCTGGAACCTTGGGCACGTCAGTTCCCAATTCTTCTCTTTCTCCACATATATAATTAAGTTCCAACAATGGTATTTTCTTGTTTGATTAATGCCAACACAAAAATAATGATGATCAATTTTTACTAGGTGCCGGCATTGTTCTAAGCATTTTGCATATAATATCAGTCCTTACAATATAACTGTCTGAAGTTACATGATTACTTCCATTTCCCTGCTGGGTCAACCGAGGCCTGGAGAGGTTACATAACTTGCACAGGGTCACACAGCTAGTAAGTAGTGGAGTGGGGAAGCATCCAGGTGGTTTGGAGGGGTCTGTAAGAGCAGTGATGTGTGAAGGAGTTGCAGGTGAGGTGAAGGGCATTTTTGAATTTGCATCTTATATGTCTATCTGCACCCCTCCGCTTCTCCTCACTGCTCCCTCAGCTGCCCGGATTCAGTGTGTCCTCACTGCATAGACAACTGCGGGCTCTGCTACCTTCCCAAATCACCTCCCCCTTGGGTAGAAAGCCATTGTTCTAAGTCGGCTTCACTGCAGAATCCAGTCCCAACTATGCCTTTGGCAAAAGACACCTGAGCAAATTCTGTCCTTTTTTTCTTCTCTCGTCTGAGGACAGTGGGCTTGAACCTAGCCAACCTACAGGGGTCAGCTTGCCCTCAGATCCAGGTGCACTGCCCTTGTAGGCAGGACTCAAGGCTGTTTGTGACTAGCAGTATGCGTAGGCCACACGAGACCTTTCGAAAGGCAGGGACAGAACATTTTTACTTACAGTGAGCGTTCTGATCAGCTGGAGCTAAGTGTTTTCCTGAAATGTCATTCCAACGTGGTTAGAAGCTGCCTTGAGAAAGCTCCACTCATTCCCAGATGTGCTCGTGGGCTCAGCGAAAGTCAATATTGCTCACTTGGAGACTCAGAAAACCAGCCCAGAAATGAAGAGCCCTTGACGCCGAGGCAGGCCTGCTCTTGACGGCATGCGCCCTGATCCTGGCTATGTAATTGGAAGATACTTCATTTTCTGTGGCTATCAGATGCTTTTGTGAAGCCTCTTCCCCGTCTGCCTCTCAGAACTCTGCTTTTTACTGCACTATATGTGGCGACAAATACTGATGGACAGAGATTGTGGAAGCCTCAGGATTCTTCTTGGCAGAATGTTTAGGAGCCCCCACCTTCCTCCCGCTCATCCTGTGGTTGAGTTGAACATGCCTGACGCTAAAGACCTGGAGCGGGCTGTGCCCTGAGGCTAACTTCCTGATCATTTAAAGGTGCTCACTTGGCAACGCACGTGCTATCAGCCCTCGAAAACTGTCAATACCTGATCTGCGGCAATGCCGTTCTCAGCTCTTAAAAGGCTTATGTAAGGAAATTCCTTCTTCAGCTGAGGCCTCCAGGGAATACAATTTTATTTGTACAATAAGGCTCAGAAAATAAGCTTAACTTGAAGCTGTGCTACCCAGTGGCTCCCACCTTGGCCTTGATGGACAACTGCAGTTACGAGAGAAATAGCTTCAGGATGCAGGACCAAATGGTCCCTCCACCATCCTTACCGACCTGGGCTTTCTGATTTACCTGGCTGCCTGGTGAAAGCCTTCATCACCAGGCCTTAAATCAACCTAACAGGGGGAGCCTGCCGACCCTACCTCATGCATCTTCATTTGTCTTTTGCAAATAGAGGAAGGCAGCAGAGTCGCCACCTTCTTCTTCCATCTTCAGCAAGTGACTTCAGAAACCCCAAAACAAAACTTTGTGATGGAAATTCCTCATGTAGTTTCTGGGCTTGCATTGCTAACAAGAAATATGTTTATCTGTGCTGTCTGGATTGTTGACTCAGGGAAACAAAAATAATTCTTGCCTCTATAATTTTTTGTCATTCCTCATTTCTAATCTTTTGGAAGCGAACTGCTATTCCCATTACAAATTGAGAGACTAGGGGCTGGGCGCAGTGGCTCATGGCTGTAATCCCAGTACTTTGGGAGGCTGAGGCAGGCAGATCATTTGAGCCCAGGAGGTGGAGACCAGCTTGGGCAAAATGACAAAACCCTGTCTCTACAAAAAAAAAAAAAAAAAAAGAAAGAAAAATTAGCAAGATGTGGCACACACCTATGGTCCCAGCTACTCGGAGACTGAGGAGGGAGGATCACTTGAGAACAGGAGATAGGGTTGCAGTGAGCCATGATAGTGCCTCTGCACTCCAGCCGCCTGGGTGACAAAGTGAGACCTAAACAAAACAAAACAGAACCTACCGACAACAACAAAAAAAGAAAGATTAAGGGTATTTTTATTTTTTATTTTTCTTTATTTTTAATTTAATTTAATTTAATTTTAAGTTCTGGGATACATGTGCAGGATGTGCAGGTTTGTTACACAGATAAACGTACGCCACGGTGGTTTGCTGCATCTATCAACCCATCACCAAGGTATTAAGCCCCACATACATTAGCTATTTATCCTGATGCTCTCCCTCCCCTCACCCCTGCCCCATGACAGGCCCCAGTGTGTGTAGTTCCCCTCCATGTGTCCATGTGTTTTCATTGTTCAGCTCCCACTTATGAGTGAGAACATGTGGTGTTTGGTTTTCTGTTTCTGTATTAGCTTGCTGAGGATAATGGCTTCTAGCTCCATTCATGTCCTTGCAAAGGACATGATCTCATTCCTTTTTATGGCTGTATAGTATTCCATGGTATACATGTACCATATTTTCTTTATCCACTTATTTTTAATGGGCTTTGGGTTGATTCCATGTCTTTGCTATTGTGAATAGTGCTACAATAAACATACATGTGAATGCATATTTATTACAGAATTATTTACATTCCTTTGGGTATATACCCAGTAACGGGATTGCTGGGTTAAATGGTATTTCTGTTTCTACATCCTTGAGGAACTGCCACACTGTCTTCCACAATAGTTGAAGACAGTGTACATTCCCATCAACAGTGTAAAAGCGTTCCTATTTCTCCACAGCCTCACCAGCATCTGTTGTTTCTTGACTTTTTAATTATTGCCATTCTGACTGGCATGAGATGGTATCTCATTTTGGTTTTGATTTGCATTTCTCTAATGATCAGTGATGTTGAGGTTTTTTTCTCATACGTTTGGCGGCCACATGAATGCCTTCTTTTGAGAAGTGTCTGTTTATATCCGTTACCCACTTTTTGATGGGGTTGTTCATTTTTTTTTCTTGTAAATTTGTTTACGTTCCTTGTAGATTCTGGATATTAAACCTTTGTCAGATGGATATATTGCAAAAGCTTTCTCCTATTCTGTAGGTTGTTTGTTCACTCTGATGACAATTTCTTTTGCTGTGCAAAAGCTCTTTAGTTTAATGAGATCCCATTTGTCAATTTTTGCTTTTGTTGCAGTTGCTTTTGATGTTTTTGTCACGAAATTTTTTCCTGTGCCCACGCCCTGAATGGTATTGCTTAATCAATATGCAAAAATCACAAGCATTCCTATACACCAACAATAGACCAGCAGAGAGCCAAATCATGAATGAACTCCCATTCACAATTGCTACAAAGAGAATAAAATACTTAGGAATACAGATAACAAGGCATGTGAAGGACCTTTTCAAGGAGAACTACAAACTACTGCTCAAGGGAATAAGAGAGGAAACAAACAAATGGAAAAACAGTCTATGCTTGTGGATAGGAAGAATCAATATTGTGAAAACGGCCATACTGCCCAAAGTAATTTATAGATTCAATGCTATTCCCAGTAAACTACCATTGACATTCTTCACAGAATTAGAAAAAATTACTTTAAAATTCATATGGAACCAAAAATGAGCCTGTATAGCCAAGACAATCCTAAGCAAAAAGAACAAAGCTGGAGGCATCACACTACCCAATTTCAAACTACACTACAAGGCTACAGTAACCAAAACAGCATGGTACTGGTACCAAAACAGACACATAGACCAACAGAACAGAATAGAGATCTCAGAAATAAGACCACACATCTACAACCATCTGATCTTTGACAAACCTGACAAAAACAAGCAATGCGGAAAGGATTCCCTATTTAGTGAATGGTTTTGGGAGAACTGGCTATCCATATGCAGAAAATTGAAACTGGACCCCTTCCTTATAATGTATAGGGATATTTTTAAATCCTTTTAATTTATGGTTAAGGATATCACAGCTAATAAAGCATAATAAAAAGGCATAAAAAGAAAACATTTAGAATCACATGCCTTCCAGAACAAAGATCTTCATTTTACAGAGATGTTTTGTTAATAAAACCACTTAGTTGATAAAAAGTAGGACACAGAGACATCTGTCTTTTAACAGAACAAGACAAGGTTTTTGTCATTATGAAATTAATATGCATACCTCAGAGCTAAGAACTCGGGACTGACTGATGCTTTAAAATAAAACCAAAAAAATGTCCTGCCTACAAATGCTGTTTTCAAAGAAGGGCTGTTGTGATTGGTGGAGAGGAAGAGGGGTGCACTGGGGTTTCACAGGAGACGCCGATGGGGTGCAGTCTGCTTGCTGTGTCCCCAAGAGTGGGCAACCCCAGTGGATTCCTTGATCCCTGTATTTTCCCAAATTGAGACCTAGATGATTCACTCACAGGAGGCTGTCACCTCTAGGGACTCATGTCCAGTTTTCCCTTGGAAGTGAAGTTCCTTCACCCTGCATCTGGACCCCAACCCTCCTGCTCGCCCGCCGGCTGCTGATGGAGACTTCACCTCTTGCTGTCACAGACGCTACACAAAAGATTTCTCTGTGCCCGCTCTGCAGTGCTCCTTCTCCAAAGAAAATGTCTGGTGATGAAGCTGGTTTCTTTTCTTCCAAGTGCAATTTCTGGCAAGTGTCCAAGGATCTATCTGCTGTATAATTTCAGCATGACAACTTAATCAGCATTTCTCCACTGCTGGTTTGTTTTTTATTTATTTATTCTTTTTTTTTTTCCAGCATTTGAAAAGCTTGTTAGCAAAGAGAGAGAAGAAAAATGAGAATGTCTGGAGCCTCCTTTCTGTTACATCTCTTTGAACGGAAAAACAACCATCACCAACCCAAGTCAGCTCACTGAGCTTCTGTCACCGCGACTCCACAGAAATGAGGAAGAATGGAATTTCTCCTCCAAACTTTTCCAAATTAAATAATGAGTTTCTGTAGTTTCAAAAATATGACTCACTTCAATGAAGAAAATTATAAGTCCCTTCCTATTTGCTTTTCTTAGAGCTTTCTGATGTATGTGAGTGAGAAACACCCACCTCCGCCAAACCAATAACAAGGCTGAGTATTTTTCTTTGCACAAAATTTCTTGGTGTCTTTCATTTGTACTAATAATTAGGAGACCACCCTAGTGAGAATCCCCCCATGACAATGGGGAGTAATTGCAGTGAGAAATTAGTCTAAATTAGTGAAAAGACAAATTTTGCCATTTGTCAAATGACACATCAATTGTTCTTTCATCATCATCCGTCTTTTAAAGTTCAAGTCTGTCAACCAGAAGAAAAGGCATTAAACACCAGACAAAAGGAAAATAGACTTCTGATTCCCATTTCCATTCTGCATGTGAGTTCTGAAGGAATCCTGCCATCACACATGGGCCTCGGGGGCATCCTCTAGCGTCCTTAATTAAGGGGTCCGAATGTGTCTCCACAGTCATTCTTGGCATTGCCCAAAATGACTGTAGCTCAGGAGAGAAAATGAAGAGAAAAATGAACATGCATTATCCAGAGATGTGTGTGTGTGTGTGTGTGTGTGTGTGTGTGTGTCCCTACAACAGCTTCACTTACAAAGTAGTTGAAAAAGAGGGGCTGCTTCATCACAAGCAGACAGCTTTCTGCAGGTGTCTATGTAAACTGATTTATACAGACATCTGGTTTATACAGCCCCAGGGAAGCCAACTGGAAATTCCAAGATCTCTTTTTGCAAAAGTTTGGAGGCAGCTTCACAATGTTACAGTGGAGTTTCTAACCCTGGGCACTGCTGAGGTCTTGAGCTAAATCATTCTGTGTTGCAGGGACTGTCCTGGGCATTTTAGGATATTGAGCGGCGTCCCTAGTCCTGCCTACTAGATTCCGGAAGCACCTTCCCTGCCCCCAGCTGTGACAAGCAGAGATGTCTCCAGACATTACC
This sequence comes from Homo sapiens, assembly GCF_000001405.40. Taxonomy (NCBI): domain Eukaryota; kingdom Metazoa; phylum Chordata; class Mammalia; order Primates; family Hominidae; genus Homo; species Homo sapiens. The sequence goes on along the minus strand of NC_000010.11, from coordinate 127,835,888 downwards.
AAATGCTCCCCATGGAGCAAAATCACCCTGAGTGAGATCCACTGGAGTAGAGACCTGTGTGGGGACAGGGTGGTGGCATTTGTGTGTGTGTGTACACACGTGAGCTGTGCGTGTTACTGGTAATGGAAAATTGAGCTTAAGTGGCCAACATATTTAGAGAGTCCTCGGTGGAGCTGACCCCAGCCATGTGGTACTTTTCTAAGGGATGCTGGTTTCATAGTAGAGCAGGTTCTTTGTTTACCTTCTGGAAGAGACGGCAGCCAGTGTCTTTAGGAAAATGAGTCTGATGCGTTGTGGAAAAGCTGTCCTCACCTGGCTTTCAGGGTTTTGCCTTCGGCCCCATCTGCCCAGCTGTTCTCCTGGACCCCCTCTTGGTCCTTAAGGTTCTTTGGGACAATATCCTAAAATGCACAGGACAGTCCCCATAACACAGCATTGTCCAGGTGACAGGGAGTGTGGATTTGAGAAGATGCCTGTGGGCCACTCTCAAGGCCCTGTGTCTGCGCCCGTAGCCATGTCCGCAGGCTGCCTGGCCACTCTCCTGATCACTGAGGGAGAGTGTGCCCGGAACGGGGTCTGTGCCTTGCTCAGGGTCCTTCAGTGGCCTGTTCCCACTCTCCCCATGGCCTCTTTAAAGCTAGAAAAGGCACCATTTGCAGGGAAAGAAAAGCCACACTGAGCAGCTCCCTCTGCCTCCCCTCACTGTGATGCCTTCTTGTTTTGGGGACCAGTTGCAGGGACTCAAGGGGAATCATCAGTTCTAGCCTTAAAGAGCAAACTTTATGGAGTACAGGTTGGGTGGGAGAGGCTGTGAGTAGGCGGGCACAGGGGTGTCTCTGACCTTCTCATTGATCTGCCCACCACCCAGCCACAGAGCACAGACAGCCTGCTCTGCCAGGCATCCAGCCAGGTGCTGGGACTCGATGGATGAAAGAGATGGTGCCTTCTCTCCAGCGGCTTGAGGTTGAGTGTGTGGGTGGGGGTAGACCATCAGCAGCGCTGTGGTCAGACACAGGCCTATGGTGGAGTTGGAGAGGCAGATGGCACTGGCCTCTTTTCTCTCAGGAACCCTCCTGGAGATGGACACATTGGGCAAGCCTGTTCAAGTCTCAAGGCCAGGTTGAAGAACAAGCCAGCAAGGGTTTCAGAGACCACTCAGGCAGCAGGGAATGAATGGCAAAAGGAGGAGGAACTGTGAGCCGGGGGTTCCACCCTATCCCTGGAAGGTGACGTGGAGCCGAGGCCCCAGGTGGGGTCAGCCCACTGTCCTTGACAGGACCAGCTTGGCAGAGCCTGGAGCTTGTGGAATAGAGAAACTGCAGTGGGCTGTATGCTTCCCATGGGGAAGGTCCTGCAGAGCCCTACAACGCTGCTGTGGAGTCCCCGTGGCGGTTGAAGGAATAGCTCGGCTCATGGCCAGAGGGTGTGGAGAGGATGTGAGCATGGGTGAGGACGGATGTGACCAACCTTACATACTTTTGTAAAGATGACTTCCTTACCCCTGCTCCCCAGAGTGGACGTCTGGGTCTTCCTGGCGTCAGAGGCATTGTTCAGGGGTAGAAGGCAGTGGGAACTGGCATCCCAAGCAGCTTCAGCAGGCCCTGTGTCCCTGGGCAGGAGGAAGCTGGAGGGCAGATAGATGCTGGTCCAGGGCTCAGGCACTGGTTGCCAGATTAAGCACATAAAAATGCAGACAGCTCCATTAAATATGAATTTTAGATAAGTAACAAATGGGACATATTAATACTAAAAGTTATTTATTGTTTATCTGAAATTCAAATTTCACTGAGTGTCCTTTATTTTCTCTGGCACTGCTCCCAGACACCCTGGCTCAGCTGAGCCCAGGGGAGGCCTCCCACTGACACCTGCGGGTGGGGACAGGGAGGTGCTGGCGGACGGGGAGGTAGAGCCCATCCCAGCCCCACTCCACCTGCCTGGGACAGTCATCTCACCGCTCAGCTTCTGCCGTTGAACAAGGAAGGCTTTCCCGAGGCCCTTTCTGGAACTATTGATCTATAATTTAATTACCTTTTGCTTTTTACCTGTACCATCTGTTACAATAAAACCCATACAACATGACTGACGTCGAAACCTTCAGTGAAGCTGCCAAGTTTTAAAATCTCATACCATTTTCCCCGAATTGTGTTTTTAAGGACAACAACAGAGAAACAAAATGAAATATGTTTTTTCCCTGTAAAACTACTCAGGAACAATCTGTATCATGAGTTGCCAAGAAGAAAATGAAAATATTCTACAATCCTTTTTTGCAAAGAAAAAACTATCAGCCTTATGTAACATGTGACAATTACTAAGCCCAATAGCCAACCTGAAGTAAACAATAAATGTCAGCCATAATAGTTGCTATTATGATTTTGTAAGATGTTAATGTTTTCTAGAATACAGTTTGGTAAACTCTGGCCTATCCTTTTTCCACTAAAACAATATTACTATTATAAAGAAAAAAATTTTTTGAATTAGTCATTTGTTTGGTCAAGATGGCCTAGTGAAATAAATCAACAAGTTTAGACATGAATGCTTTTAATCCTTAAATTTTCAGTCAAATAAAATGTGGAAGCCATGGCCACCCTTACTTACAGAATGGAACGAGAAGAGAATGTAAATGGACAAGAAGCTGGACTTCCCCTGAGTTGAATAATCCCGAACACCTAGTGCTTCCTCAGAGTCCTCAGGCCCATTCACTGAGGTCAGGAGCAGTCGTGCTGAAAGCAGCAGGCATTTGACTACACTTCTCAGGCTATCTGCATTATACCAAGATGAGCACTAGCATTAGTTTATAGCTTAGGTGTATAACTTCAGAACGAAAAGAGAACTCCCCTCCAAGTCTAATGGGGTCAAACAATGAAGTAAATCACAAATGGCAATTGTTGAGAGATTGTACTGTGCACAATACTGCCCTCGTTTCACAGGTGGAGACCAACCTGCCCTCCTGCCTGCACCTGGGACCCTCTATGTGCCTCCGTGCTCCCCCCTCACTGGCCTCATTGCCTTTGCCTGACCCCCTTCCACACAGCAGATATGTTACCAGTGGAGGGTGTCCAAGTTCTTGGTGTTTTGAACCAAAAAATTGGACAAAACGCACAAACAAAGCAAGGAAAGCATGAAGCAACGAAAGCAGAGATTTATTGAAAACGAAAGCACATTCCACAGGGTGGGGGCGGCCTGAGCAAGGGGCTCAAGAGCCAGGTTACAGAATTTCCTGGGGTTTAAATATCCTCTAGAGGCTTCCCATTGGTTACTTGGTGTATTCTCTATGCAAATAAAGAGGCTGAGGGAGGTTACAGTGATTTACTTGGTGTACACCCTATGTGAGTGAAGGAGATGTTTCCTGTCATAGCTGAAGCAGAATTACAAAGTTCTATACTCAGTTGTAGAAAGTTGGGGTTCTACTGTTTCAGTTCTAGGAAGCCCTTAGGCTCCCTGTCCACAGACCCTATTCTCCTGCTTCAGCTATGGGGGTGTTTCTGGAATGCCGAGCTGGTCAGCCAGTCTTCCTCCCTCCCCACACATAATGCCCTTGTATTTCTCTTACGAGAAGATTTGTTAGTAAGCCCCTGAGCTGGGAATCTGCCTGGGCCCTCTCCCTACCCTCCTGTGTCTCATTTTCCCTCCCTTTCTATGCCCCAGTTGCAGTGCCCTCTGAGCCTCTGCATCCTCCACTCTCTGTTCTACCCCAGGGACTTAGCATATGCTGTTCCCTTGGCCAGGATGCTTTTCCCTTCTTGTAGCTGATAATCTGATAGGGCTGCCATAGCAAAGTATCACAGGCTGGGGGCTGCAACAACAGGAATGTGCCTTTTCACTCTTTTGGAGGCTGGAAGTTTGAGATCAAGGTGTGTGCAGGGCTGGTTTCTTGAGTCTTCCTTCCTTGCCTTGCAGATGGCCACCTTTACTCTGTGTCACCACGTGGTCTCTCCTCTGTGTGAAGCCTGTGTCCTAATTTCTTCTTCTTATAAAGACACCAGTCAGATTGGATTAGGGCCACCCTAATGACCTCATTTAGTTCTAATTCCCTTGTTAAAGGCTCTCTCCAAATTCAGCCACTTTCTGAGGTCTCAAAAGTATGAGTTTTGGAGGGAATGCATTTGAGCCTTTAACGCTGCACTGAAGCCACTCTGCCTCCAGCCCTGTAACCCTGAGCGGGCTCTGGCTTCTGGGAGGCATTCAGAGCACCACGCCTCTCTCCTTCCAAGCATTTGGCAGGTTGGATTTTTGTGAAGTGAGTGGGATTGCATGTCCCCCTTAGACTGTAGTCTTCGTGGGGACAGGTCCCGGATTAGTCTTCCTGTCTGATCCATTCCTCATTTGTCACAATTGCCAGCACATAGTAGGCACTTAATAGGAATCTGTTGATCCAATTTGATAGCGCAACAGGGTGACTATAGTCAATGATAACTTAATTGTACATTTTTAAATAACTAAAAGAATGTAATCGGATTGTTTACAACACAAAGGATAAATGCTTGAGGGGATGGAGACCCTATTCCTCATGATGAGGTCATTTCACATTGCATGCATATATCAAAACATCTCATGAATCCTATAAATATATACACTTAGTATGTACCCACAAAATTTCTTTTAAAATTTATGAAAGAGAATCTGTTGAATGAATGATTTCCTGAAAGTCTCTCCTCCAGCAAAGGGCAGACCAGCATTTCACTCCAGGTTTCCTTTCAGGACATGCAGCCTGCTCCCTGGCATCACCTCACCACTGGGAATGACTGGGTCCATCTTGCTTTCCAGGGCGTAAACCCTGAGCAGGGTGCCAACTTGCCGGGGAGTGCGGCGTGAGCCATGCCAGTGCAGGGACGCTGTTGCTCACCCTTTCATTCATTCAAGCATTTACTAGAGCCACTTTTCTTCCAGGGGTTTTCCCACCAGATCAGCAGTTTTGAGATAGTCAGGGACATAACCATGTCCTTGGGAGGCAGCAACCATGGAGACCTCACCGTCAACACACAATATGCGCTGTAGTCAAGCTCATTCCAGCAAAGCTGCCTCCGGTAAGGACTTTCCCCTGTAGAGGGTACATGCATTTTGATTTTACCTGTCCTCAAACTGACCCTTTTTTATAATAGTGAAAAACACAGCCCTGGGTGGAGATTTAAGATGCTAATGAGACATGCGACGTATGAGCAAGCATGTACAGCTACAGTGCATGTGCACCCAGAGGAGCACCCAGAACATGCTAACTAGCAACACCTCTCCCACCCCCTTATGAATAATCACAGAAGACTCCCATAAGGGATCTTCCCATTAATGGTCAATGTTGTCTCATCTTTACAAACATTCACCCTGCATGCTCTCAGGGTGTTGTCTACTCTGCATTTCGCTTACAAAGTACTCTTTCTCCTGTGCAGTAAATTGCTCTATGCTGCATCTCCTTTGCTGTGTGTCTCTTGTTTAAATTCTTTTCAACTAAGAAGACAAGAACCGAGGTCTCACAACAGTTGCCAACAGTTTTACAAACTTTAAGGAAGCAGAATCATTGAAGCCTTGCCTGACTTCTCACTACAGAAAATGAAAAAAATGAAAAAGGATGTGTACTGAGTTGAATCGTGTCTCCCACTTCGGGAAAAAAAAAAAAAAAGAAAAAGAAAAAAGAAAGATATGCTGAAATCCCAGGTCTTAACACCTTAGAATATGAGCTTACTTAGAAACAAAGTCATTGTGGATGTAACCAATCAAAATGAGGTCTTGCTGGGGTGGAGCGGACCCTACCCCAATATGACTGGTGTCCTCTAAGGAGGCCATGTGAGGATACTTCTTGGAGAGAGGAGTAACAAATTTGTGGATGTAGTTTAAAATCACAGCAAGGATAGTACATTTTTAAAGCATAGACTAGTGGAATTTCAGTCTTCTGCCAGAGGGAGGGATACATGTGGAATCAGGATTCTAGAAATTACCAGTGCTCTACCTTTCTGTGAAGATGCCTCTGACTTGGGAGGCTGAGAGACAGGTGCCTCTTGAGGATTCTGCAGGGCATCTCTGGAAACCCTGGGCTGGCAGGAGTCTCCTTTATTTGTGGCTTTGGGGCCTGGAATGTAAACTGAACTCCCAGCCTAAGAGACTCACTGGGTGACCAAATAGTGAAGACAAAGATACTGATGGGGAAGAGCCGGCCATCTGGGCTCCTGGCATCCTGAGCTCATTGAAAGTCACTGAAAAGACATCAGTGGAAGAAGCTGGAGTCAGAGCCAGGCTTGGCTCTCCCAGGCCTGTGGTTCAAGCTCTTACTAATGTAAAAGTTGATCACACAAATTGGGTCATTCTTGCCATACCCAACTAAAACAGAGTCCAGAGGCCAGGAGGATAAAGCCCTCAGGGCACATGACATTGCTCCGAGGATTGAATTCTCTGCCAGCCTGGCTGCTGAAACTGCTTGCTGCCACCTGAAACCAGTTTTATCTAACAGCTACTGAAACAACCTACTGCAACTTTAAGACTAGTTGTATCCACCACCATCACTCACCAATCGGAGCTTGCCAGCTCCCCAAAACTTTACTAGTGCTAATCTAATGAACTTTCTTGCAGAACAATATATAAAATTTCTCTAAATTCTTTAACCTTCTTTTTGTTCTTTGGACATAACAAAGACCACCTGGTCTGTATGCCCTGAATTGCAATTCTTGCCTCCTGAAGAAAAGTTTTTAAATTTAGAGATTCTGTCTCTATCTTTTATTCAACACTGAGGAATATAGGGAGAGCCCAGTCCCTGAAGCCGGTGTGTTCTGGTCTCGCTGAAGGGGGATGGTGGGTAAATGCATTTTAAAAGGCCTTGACCAAGAGTGATGTGAGGTCCTGGCCCAGCATTCTTTCCTGGGCCTTTGTAATTCTACTTTCAGAGGATGTCTGCAAAGACCCTTACCATCACCTCCCATGAGAGGCTCCTGAGAGCAGCCCTTGGAGGAGACACAATGGGGATTTCCATTATTCCCATTTTACAGACAAGAAAACAGAGGCATTAGGAGGCCACCTAACTCAGCTCAAAGTTGACCTCCTCAAGGAAGTCCAGCTTGACCATTCTTAATTAGAATAGGTGTCCTCATTGCAAGCGGTTTCGAAAGCTGGGTCACTGTAGAATTCACGGCAGAGGCAGTTCACTGGATGAGGCTGCTTTCTGTCAGTGCTGTGAGATGAGCCCTCATGTTGCTGTGCACGGCTGTGCCCCCGCACCTAGCTCAGGTGGGCTGATAGAATTAAGTGTGGCAGGGCGCAGTAGTTCACACCTGTAATCCCAGTGTTTTGAGAGGCCGAGGCAGGCAGATCACCTGAGGTCAGGAGTTCGAGAGCAGCCTAGCCAACATGGTGAAACCCATCTCTACTAAAAATATGAAAATTAACCAGGTATGGTGGCCGGCGCCCGTAATCCCAGCTACTCGGGAGGCTGAGGCAGGAACCCAGGAGACGGAGATTGCAGTGAGCCGAGACTGAACCATTGCACTCCAGCGTGGGTAACAAGAGCGAAACTCCGTCTCAAAAAAATAAAGAACAAAAGAAAGACAAATGAAAGAAAGAGAAAGAAAGAAAGGCAGACAGAAAGAAAGAAGAGAAGACAAGAGAAGAGAAGAGAAAAGAAGAGAAAAGAAAAGAAATTAAGTGAATGAATGAATGATCCATCCCAGATAGGGTCAGACATCAGACTTCTGTGTGGAAGAGTGGAAACAAAGCAGCTGGGAGGCTGGCCTAGCTTGCTTTGAGTCCTGGCTCTACTACTTTTTAAGCGCTGTGGCTTGGACTATGTTACTTCTCTGAGCTTTGGTATCCACCTCTGTAAGGTGAGGGTTCCAACAGCAACCTCTGGGACATTTTGAGGATGAATAAGAGAGAGCAAGGACGCAGTGACCGGGCTGCTTCCCACACTCCAGCAGGGGAGCCCCCACACTGGGCCCTACTCCCTCTGGATTCCTGGGTGCTGTTCTTTCAGGACTTTTCTCTCAAACACCTGGGCACACAAATCAAGTCAAGGTATGTGTGGGTGAGTAAAGCAGGCCTTGGGTCTGTCCAGCAGGTGTGAGGATTTTTTCAGCTGCCACCCAGGCATGACAAGCCAAGGAGGGACTGTAGCCAGCCCTGTCTGGCCCCTGCATCCCAGAGCCTATGCATACATCCTCACTTTGGACAGGCTCCACGGCTGAACCTGGCCAAGCTCTTCAAGAAAGGTGGCCACCAGTGGGGGGCTCAAGCACTTCCTCTAGACCCACAGAGCCTTGGACCTCTCTGACTGGCACCTAGGATGTCAGTCTGTTGTACTGACAAACTCTGGGCAGAGTTTTCAGTGGCCGGCAACAATTGTGATAAAGGCCTGCCACATGCAGACACCCGTCTCTCAGGATAGGGCCTCGGGTCTGGGAGCACCACTCCTTCCATCCCTCCTGAATCTGCAGAAAACTCCCTCCTTCCTCCATGGGGCCAGCAAGCAACAGTCTCCCCTGGTTCCCTCTACCCTCAGCCTCTCTGGGTCTCAGTTTCCTCATCTCAGGCTAGTACTCTCTGGGCCAATGAAACATCCTCTTCCAGGTCACTTGAGGACTTTTGTTCCTGGACTGTGCCTTAAAGGGTCCCTGAGAACACTCAAAATAGTAACAAGGCCAAGGTTTCCTGACACTTACTCTGAACCATGAGCACTAAAGGACACACCCATGCCTGGACACCCACAGCAACCAGAGGGGAGGCAGACCAGGGCTCACCCACCTCTGCTTGGATTGCCAGCCCTGGAAGGGCCTTAGGAATCTTGGGATCAGCACTGTCCCACGGGACTTCCAGCCTTGATGGAAATGTTCTGTTACCTGAACCAGCCAGTATGGGAGTTGCTGGTGACTCGTGGCTATTGAGCCCTTGAAAAGTGGCTAGTTGACCAAAGAATGGAATTTTCACTTTTACTTAATTTTAATTAATTCAAACACAATTTAAATAGCTACCTGTGGCTAGTGACTATCATATTGGACTCTGTAGGCCTTGGGGATCCTAGCTTTTGGTTGTACACCTGCAGAAACTGAGACACGGTGGGGGAAATAAATTCCTTAAGACCTCCCAGGAGTCAATAAGAATTGGGTTTCCTCTGTCTGGCAGCTGTGTTCTTCTCATGACATAGCAAATGGCTGACAAAAGGCAGATATCTGCCTTGCTGAGCCACAAAGACAGGTTCCAAATAAGGGAATGTCTTGGTTGTTTCGGGGGGGGCTTTTAGCTGTGGCTGGAGAACACAGACTCAAGGCCTCTGGACTTTTTGAGAAGCAGAGGCCAGTGGAAGGCTGAGGTCTGGTAGTGTGGAGCCCCCACTGCAGCCTGCTCATGAGGGCCAGGCCTCCCTCTGGGACCTGCAGCACTGTGACAAATACTTCTTTCCGGCTGACTTTGCTCAGACACACGAATGAATACTCAGCATGGGAATCGCCCTCTCTAACATGAAGTGAGAGCCTTGGAAAGCCCTGTAAGCAACATGGCTGCAGGCTCTTGTTCCTTCACATATGCACACAAGCAATGCTTCGAGACGGCACGGTGCTTCGCGGAGCACGCAGCCAGCAGGAGGCTAGGACAGCAGAGGCAAACCTATTTTCTCCAGGCAGTCTGGAAACCAGAGTTGCATGTTAAGTATTATGTGTAAATGAAATAGGAATCAGGGAGAGGAAAATACCAATTTGGGCTGAATTGGCAAAATGTATATAATTTACAGAATTATGCAAAAATGAAAGGCTTCCATTTCCCTTCCATCAAGGCACTTCCTGTGAGAAAAATCAAATCCCTTCACCCTGCTCTGCATGTGTGGTGTTATGTGCTGGGGAAACTGTGTGGGTTTTTCCGCAGAGCTCTGAGCAGTTTTTCCAAGGAAGTCCGTGAACCCTCTAAGGGCCAACCTGAGTGCCACAGAAGTAATGAGCCTCTATTGCCAGGAAGTCGCCTTCCTCCCTGGCTCTTCTCGGGGGCTCGCCCGGCTGGCAGCCCTCTCAGCCTGCTCCCTCCCAGAAGGCCTAACAGTAAAGCACTCTCTTCTGGGCTGGCTCCCGCTAAGGTGCTAGATCAGGATGGAGGAAGATTTGTTTTACCTAGCTTTGAATCAAAACTCCTGCTCACACTCTCCAAAATGGAGAAAATACAAACTTGTGAAAGCCAGAGGCCTCCCTAAGGCCAACAATGAGCACCGTGTGATCACTGCTTCGTTTGTCGTGATGGCACAAACACCAAACTCTGCCAAAATAGCTAAAGAGGTTTATTCTGAGCCATGTGAATGACCATGGCCCAGGAAAACAGAGTCTCAAGAGGCCCTGAGAAGGTGCTCCCGAAGCCGTCAGGTTCTACTTTGGTTTTATACATTTCAGGGAGACAGCAATTGTGGGTAAAATCAATACATGGAAGGTATACATTGGTTTGCCCAGAAAAGATGGGACATCTCAAAATGGGGACTTAAAGGTCATAGGTGGGTTTAGGGATTCTTTATTTTATTTTAAAATATTTATTGTTTATTATGTTTATTTTTGAGACAGGGTCTCACTCTGTCACCTGAGCTAGAGTACAGTGGCATGATCATAGCTCACTGCAGCTTCAATCTCCTGGGCTCAAGCAATCCTCCTGTCTCAGCCCCCCAGTACCTGGGACTACAGGTGTACACCACCACACGTGGCTACTTAAAAAAAAATTTTATAATAGAATAGAAAAGGTCTCACTATGTTGCCCAGGCTGGTCTCAAACTCTTGAGCTCAAGCAATCCTCCCACCTCAGCCTCCCAAATTGCTGGGATTACAGGTTTGAGCCACCACACCCTGCTGGGTTTAGGAATTCTTTAGTTGGCAATTGGTTGAAAGAGCTAAGCTTTGTCTAAAGACTTCAAGTCAGTAGAAGGGAATGTTTGAGTTAAGATAAGCGGGTCTGGTATCTCTCAGGTGATGTCATACCAGAGTCAAGTTGGAAACAGGCCACATTATGAAGGGTCAATAAAAATCTTGGGCTGTGATATGGTTTGGCTTTGTGTCCCCGCCCAAATCTCATCTTGAATTGTAATCCCATAATCCCCATGGTTTGTGGGAGGGACCTGGTAGGAGGTAATTGAATCATGGGGGCAGTTGTCCTCATGCTATTCTCATGATTTCATAGTTTTATAAGAGTTCCCTGCTGGCATTCATTCTCTCTCTCCTGTCGCCCTGTGAAGAGGTGCCTTCCACCATGGTTGTAAATTTCCTAAGGCTTCCACAGCCATGTGGAACTGGGAGTCAATTAAATCTCTTTCCTTTATAAATTACTCAGTCTTGGGTATTTCTTCATAGCAGCATGAGAACAGACTAATACAGGCCAGGTGCAGTGGCTCATGCCTGTAATCCCAGCACTTTGGGAGGCCAAGGTGGGGAGAATCACTTGAGGTCATGGGTTCAAGACCAGCCTGAGCAACATGGCTGTCTCTACAAAAAAATACAAAAATTGGCTGGGCATAGTGGCGTGCACCTGTAGTCCCAGCTACTCAGGAGGTTGAGGCTCGAGAATCCTTGAACCCAGGAGGCAGAGCCTGCAGCGATCGGAGGTCACGCCACTGCACTCCAGCCTGGGCAACAGAGTGAGACTCTATCTCAAAAAAAAAAAATCTTGCTTAAGGAAATTTTATGGTTTGTAAGGTGAGACTTCCTAAGCCCCTTAGAAAGAAATGTGAGCAAGAAAAGGTCAGAGTATGGTCTTCAATCACCACCCCCCATGCCTTCCAGCCCCTCTGCCCCACTCTGTGCCCCAGAATCCCACCTCCCCATGCTGCTTCTCCCTCTGCTTTCTCAGCCTGGTGGAAGATGGTAGGGTGGGCAATGAGAAGACAAGCATCTCTCTCCTCTTCTTGCCCACACTGTTCTGTAAGTGCTGCCTTCCCTCAGTGACAATCACTTCTGTACCAAACACAAACCCAGGCAGGTGGAAACCCTGTTCTGATCCCCTATGCCTCAGCAGGTTCCTCATGTCACAAACACACACAAATGCATTAAGGAACACATGGTGCCTCTCTTGCTTACACAGGGTATCAGAATATGTCATCCCAAAATCTGTCTGTTTGGCATGCACATTATTTTGAGCTGAAGGCAACTGAGAACCAGCAGACACTGGAAAAGCTCCTTACCTCCCCCTAACTGCCTAAAAATGTAGTATGCATTTTCCCTCTTGTGAAAGAAATTTACATTTATAAAGTAAAGCTGTTTCCGTAGCAGGGAGGGAGCTGCTCCTGGAGACAACTCCCATGCCCTGACAGACTCTTAGCTGCGTAACAAGATGACCCCAACTTGCCTTCCCAGAACTGGCTTCTCCTGCTCCCAGAAGCCCCAGACCCCTTTTCTCTTGTTTGGCCTATGATGGTGCATAAGCCTCAGTCACCTGGCCACCTCCTGGAGCTACATTTTTCTTTGTGAACTCTCATGCATACCACATACAGAATTAAAACTGCTTTTACTCTTGTTAATCTGTTTTTCACCAGCCTGATTCTTGAGCCCCAGCCACAGATCCCAGAAGGACAGGGAGGAAAGACTTTCCTCACCTACACTGGCACACCCACAAGCATGTGCTCTCAGGACTAATGTCCTTCAGGTCCCAGAGGATACATCCCCACGTCTCTTTCTTGTGTTCTGACAGCAAAAGGCAACTTCATCCCAAGGCCATCAGGATTCGGGGGCAGTGCCACTGCCAAGGCAGAGGTGGATGTTGCATTACAGAGCGGGGAGGACTTGAGTGGCTGAAGCTCTCAGGCAAGAGAAAAGACAGATCAACAACCTTGTCAGATCCCTCCCCTCATGCTAAGAGATGTAGGAGATTCATGCATAATGAGGCGTCAATCACCTGTAGGGCCCAGTACCCATTTGCTTACTTCTCCTACAGCTGATTCTGGTTCCAGTGGGTCTTGCATGTCAGGCACTGACACGTTTATTACTAGGAGACATGGCCCCAGCTTTTCCAAGCAATGCCATTCTTTTGTACTAAGGTGTAATCCCTTGATGGGTTCTTCCTGCCTGCTGCACAGACAAAACCAATTCACCAAGACCATGGCATTGCAGTAAAGGGTTTAACTGATATAAATCTGGCCACCCCAGGTGGCAGATGGAGTTATTACTCAAATCCATCTCCCTGAAGGCTAAGAGGTAGGGTTTTCAAGTATAGCTTGGTGGGCAGAGGGGACTAGAGAATGGGTGCTGCTGATTGGTTGGGGATGCCATCATAGGGGAGTGGAAAATGGTCCTCATGTGCTGAGTCTGCCTCTGGGTAGGGTCCACAGGACTGAGTCATGAGTCCAGGTGGAGATAGCTGGTCATCAGAAATGTAAAAGTCTGAAAGACATCTCAAAAGTCCAGTCTTAGGTGTTACAACAGTGATGTTATCTGTGGGAGTACTTGGGGAAGTTACAAATCTTGTGACCTCTGGAGAAATGACTGGTTATTGTTTAACTAAGCCTACATCTTAACAGAATTCAGGACCTTCTTGTAATCCTAATCTTGTGGGCTTTCATTAGTTTTACAAAGGCAGCTGAGTTTTGGGAAAGGCTACTATCATTCTTGCTTTAAAGTTAAACTATAAACCAAATTTCTCCCAAGGCCAGCTTGGTCTATACCCAGGAATGATCAAGGACAGCTTGGAGGTTTGAAGCAAAATGGAGTAAACTATGTCAGGTTTCTTTTACTGTCATAATTTTGCAAAAGTGGCTTCAAAGGTCAAAATGGTATTTTCTGCATCTGCCCACCATGGAACGTTGTGATGAAACACATGTCAAATTTGACTTTGCGACTGCTTTAGACACACAATAGAATGCCAAATGGATGACTTCAAAGCACTTAGGTTTAATTTAGTCAAGATAAGAGATGCACTGGATGGTTAAGCAATGACAAGAGGTCCTCAAATAAAGAATACGTCTTGGTCTTTTATGAAAAATCAGTGTTGAATTCGTGATACTGTCAGTTACAATTCTTATAAATTATTGCTTGCTGTTAATAATGTTAGCAAAATCAAACCAAAAAAAAGTCAAGTAGATCATAGTTTCTCTATTTTTACTTTTTAAAGAACTTTAAATATTTTTAAATTTTCAAGAGAAAAAATCCACATGGAAAGGATATCAGGAAAAGTAAAGTTACATTCCAAAAAGCATATCAGAAAATTAGAATCCAAAAGTAAAAATTTTGCATGACTATGAAGGAGAGAATTCTATAAAATAATTCTGAAACCAGTTTCTGTAATTAAAGAGAAAATTGAATAAATTGAATATTCTTGTACTATTATCAGTTTTCTTTATAAAAGTCTAGCATTGAAAAATTTGAAAGAGAAAAGAAAAACTAATACTCTCTATATACACACACACACATTGCTTTAAGAGATAGGTAAATTGCTTAATACGTGAGAATGATTTATGTAATAAACTGAAAATGTTCTGAATCTTTTAAGGAATAATAATTTATCGTGTGAGAACTCATTATAATTTTTGAACATGATATGTTAAATTTATGATTTATTTCTGAATTTAAGTATTGCTTAGAATTTTGTTGGCAATTCCAATTGCTACTGCCTCAGCAGAACTCACTTTCTCCCAACTGAGTTAATAAATGAACTTAAGAACCGAAGAACTACAGTAACTCAAGAAATGTCTAATTTGGCATTATCATCAATACAATATAAACTACGTTAAAAGGCTTGATTTAAAACATAATTTGTAAGTTTGAAGAAATTAAGGCATGGAAAATACTTGTATGGATTAAATGTATAGAAATTTATGGATCGTGTAGGGTTTTTCTACTCATTCAAATATTGTTTGCCTATCAACAGAATACTCCAAGATGTGTAATAATAATGAATTCAGTTGTGTAGGGGCAAGAGAACCTTCTCTGTCCCTTCTGGTGTTTCGATACTTACATCTGAGAAATAAATTTGACAGTAGCCAGATTAGCAGGAGAAACCGCATACAAATTGATTAAATGTGTATGCATGGGAGTCCCACAAGCATGAGCCTCAAAAAGGTCCAGGTGGTTGAAGCTTAAATAGCATTTTGAGCTACAGAAATAAACAGGAGCTTAAAGGCTGCTGGAGAGTGGTGGTGACAAGATATGGGAGGGTGAGGGGAGGAACTGCACTGGGAACTAAGGCTGTCTTATGCAGAAATAAAAGTCCCTTAGGTAGGAGCCTTCAGAAGAAGAGGTGAAAAGTCTGTCTGGGTGTGGTGACCTGGGCATGGAGACCTTTAATCATCTCCAATTCATGTAGATCCCAGGAAGAACACTCACAACTGTCCCGTCCCATTCCTTTTAAGGGAGGAACTTCCCTTAGATAAGAGACCTTCAGGAAAAGCCCCTCCCTGCGCTTCAGGAGAGGTGAGAGAAGGTCAGAGGGGCTGTGACTATGAGGCTGTGGCTCTAGTTTAAAGGACTTGGCATGTCCAAGCGCCATCCACTGGGGTATTGTAGACAACTAAAATTTTACATGTATTTTTCTGTTTTGTCATTATAGAGATATACTTACCAAGGCAGGAGAATAGAACTAATTTTATTTAATAATTTGTTAGCTTGAAATATCACTTGGAAATGTTTACAGTGGTGGTGTGTGGGCCTTCACTGGTGCTTTGGCCCTTGCCTCAGAGTTTGGTCTCAACCTTCTCTCTCCTACTGAGCAGGCTGTCACGTGGCCTGTTAATTCCTTCCTCTCCCAAGCTCTTTCAGGTCCACGGAAGTAATGGCTTCCCACTGTAGCTCATTGCTTGATATTTCAGCATTTTTGGTAGTCTCTTAATTCATATAACCCTCTTCAGCTAAATCTGTTTCAAGTGTTCTGCCTGCTCTATCCAGAATCCTGCAGATGCTCCTGATGTATGACAATGTTGAAGAACACACTTCCTCTTCATACCTTCTGTCCTTCCAGTATGCTTCATTTTCTTCATAGCATTAGTCTGCTCCTGACATAATAGGATCAGCCTGTTTGGGGCTTGTTGTCTGTCTTCTGCCCTAGATTGTGAGCTCCCTGAGGGCAGGGCCTTAATCTCTGCTATAGCCTCAGGGCTGAGTATAGTGCCTTTCCCATAGTAGGTACTCCACAAATATTTATTAAATTAATGAATGAGCTTAGGTGGGAGAAAAGAACGTGTAAGTACGGTCTACAGGAACATCTCAACTCCAAGCATTGGCCCAGGATGTATTTTATATGGTATTCAGTGAAATATGACTCCAAGTGGGAAAATTTTATTTCTAAAGGACCTTGATGTCCACCTACCATTTTGTGGTCGAGAGAGCTGAGATGGAAGACCTATCATACCAGCCTGGTTCATGGGCATGCAATGTCCATGACCTCCCTCTACTTCTTACTTAAAAAACAGGTGGAATATCTAAAGGCCATTTTCCCACCTCAATTATCTTTCTTAGATCAATTACTTCAAAATAGGGGGCAAGAAGTTAAAATCAGTGAGGTTATAAATGGACTGAGTGGAGAATTATAAGCCTAAATTGAGAAAAATAGAATTTGTGGCTCAGGAGTTCTCAGTGTCTCAATTAAGATAAAACTGAGTTGTCTGATGTTAGACTCACTCGGATCCTAAGGTTTTTTTTTCCCCATCCCATAATGAGCTGCCAAGAACTGTGATACACAATCACACAGCAATTATTTGGAACCTCTGGCCCAAGGAACACAGTGTTCATTAGTTGAAGGGATTCCTACAAAAAACTGGAGTGGGTTGTGCAAGGGTCAGGCTGCCTGAAGTGAGAAACGGCCTGATCTCTGTCACTCAAATGGGAGTGGGGTCAATGGCCTCAACCCAGAGAAACTGCTCCTTGGTAAGTCAGGGTGACAGGTACACACTTTACGGTTGTCAGGACCTGCGTGGGAGATGAATGAGTGTCGTCGCAGGGTGTCAGGAGGTAATTAGCAGCCTGTCGACTGTCTGTAAACAAACACTTTTGATGCATGCCATGAAGAGATGAAGCTATTTTGGTGACCAATTTTGCACTCACAGGAAGCAGAATTTAATTGCTTGTCTGATCTACAGAGCCCTACATCATGCCAGCATGATCTGTGGGCAAAACATGGCCCTACCTGCAGAGGTGGCAGCTCTCTGATGTGAGGGTCTTTATTTTGTTGATCACTCATCTACAACAAACCATCCATTTCCACTCATTTTTATGTAAGGGCTATTTTATTTTTGTCTCTAGAGTGAGTCAAGAAAGCCCCAAACATCATTGAAAAGCAGCTACAGATAAACATAACCGAGTTCTCTAAACCTTTATTGAGTGCCTACTGTCTACTGTATCCCTGGCCCTATGTTAGAGCCTGCAAAGACAAAGCTGAATGAAGACAGTGTCTACCCCCAAGGAATGGGGAATGTGGATGTATCAAGCACATAAGATTAAGACATAGTCATGCACGGCATAAAATGGGAGCGTAGAGGGCACCTTAAGCAGCTCAGGCATGAAGGTGAAATTAGGGAAGTTTTCCCGGGGTGACCCCTGAATTAGTCAGTTCTCACACTGCTAAAAGGAACTTCCTGAAAGTGGGTAATTTATAAAGAAAAGAGGTTTAATTGACTTACAGTTCCACATGGCTGGGGAGGCCTCAGGAAAATTACTGTCATGGTGGAAGGGGAGGCAGGCATGTCTTACATGGTGGCAGGTGAGAGAGAGAGTGTTTATAAATCTATCAGATTTCATGAGAACTCACTCACTATCATGAGAACAGCATGGGGGAAACAGCCTCCATGATCCAATCACCTCCCACCAGGTTCTTCCTTTGACTCATGGGGATTATGGGGATTACAATTTGAGATGAGATTTGGGTGCTGACAAAGAGTCAAAACATATCAACCCCTGAGCTGGGTCTTAAGGGGTGAGCAGAATTAGCTGAGAAGCCCTGCTATAGTCCCTTCACATATGACTGTCATTAGCTACCTTAGATAACTGGAGTGAAGATGTCATTTTAGAATTCAGCTTAATGAGCTTTGTTCTAGGTGTGTATACAAACAGAACAGGAATAAGAGGTCATAACTTCTAGTTTTAGCTGTAAATAACAGCAAATGCAAGATAATGCGGGCTTCAAAATTTTAGGGTTTTTTTCTCTCATGTAAAAGAAGTTCAGAGTTAGGTACCCCATGTCTGGAAATGTAGATCTAAGGTACAAGGACCTAAGGTTCCTCTGTTGTTTCACTCCATCATCCTTAGCACATGACAACCATTCTTAAGATCACCTTGAGGTCCAAGATGGCTGTCAAATCTCCAAAAGTCATATCAGTATTCTAGGCAGTAGAAATGAAGAAGTGTAGAAACACTAAGATCCCATTAAGGAGTATGCCAAAAGCTTGACATCTGCTTTCATCTTACGGGTCAGCACTTAGTTGCATGGTTGTATCTAGCAGTCAGAGAAGCTTGGTATATCATCTTTCAGCTGGGCAAATGGAGAATAGTGGATAACGGGTAGAAAATTACCACCTTCAGCCGTATTGGTCAACTCATCGAAGTATAGTTTCCCACTCTGACCCCCCAGCCCATTTTCTACCCTCTCCAAGATTAGGATAGGGACCTTTCTTGACACACCCCAAATGAGAGAGTCAAGTGCTGACTTTACAGTGGCAGAACAATTTTTATTAAATTGATTGACTAATACATAGGTATCACCATCTCTTGAACAGTCAATGACAAAGCAGCAGCACTATCTTAGTCTGATTGCTTGTCACTTTTAGAATTTGTCACTGTGAGGCCTGGTGCCACAAAGATGATATACTGAACCCAACGCATGGAGAAATGCTTGTGGACTGGCTGATGAAGGAATCCTACCATGAAATAGGGTCAATATCAGGAACTGCCAGCTCTCTGAGTTCCCCATCCTCCTCCTCTTGGGGACATTTGAGTGTAGTTTCTTCTGTGATTAGCCTCATCTCTAACAAGAATGTACAAGGTTCTCAGGTTGAGACTAAGATGGTTAAGGACTCAAGACCCCTTGGTCCTCAGAATGGGCGGCCACTCTTCTGTTCATTCTCAGCTTGCTCCTGTGCAGCCCTTGGTCTCAGTGTCAATTTTATCTTATACCTATTCTTATCTCAAAATTCTTAAGGCAGTGAAACAAATAAAAGGCTTAACATTTGTTTTAATGTTAAGAAGATGGTTATATTTGTTTGGGTTTTCTGTTTGGGCTTTTGCAGTTTCATACTGAATTTTATTGTGAGCCTAAATTTACCTATAATTTATTTCTAATCTGGTTTAAGAATAGGGAAGCCATTCACATTTTCCTTGTTTAATTTGTGTCTTTCTAGAAACAAATAGCTTTAAATGTACTGTCAATAATATATTTGCTGTCCCTTATATGAGATAACCACATTGTATTTTTATAGGCCTACCAGGCTTCTGGTGACTCAGAGATATTTAGGAATTCAGGAACTCTAGGTTGGGATTTTTGTGTTCTTTCTTTCCTTTTTTTACTTATATTTTTTATTTTTTAGAGACAGAGTCTCAGGGTCTCACTGTGTGTCACCCACGCTGGAGTGCAGTAGCACGACCAGAGCTCACTGCATCCCTGAATTCCTGGGCTCAAGTCATCCTCTTACCTCGGCCTCCCAAGTAGCTGCAACTACAGGTGCATGCCACCATGCCCAGCTAATTAAAAAAATGTTTTTTTGTAGAGGTGGGGTCTCCTTATGTTGCCCAGGCTGGTCTCGAAATCCTAGCCTCAAGAGATCCTCCCACCTCAGACTCCTGAATCACTAGGATTTCAGGCATGAGCTACTGCACCTGGCCCTAGGTCCAGTTTTAACAGGAATTTTCCCTAAGGCCTAAAGCAACTTGTTAGACAGTCTGTAAAGCACTTTTGGCTTTTGCATAAAATTAAACAAATATGACCATGTTTGATTCTCCTCTTTTTAGAGGGGCATTGTATATTCAATGGCAAAAAGTGTATTTCCCATCTCCAGTATTTTACCCCCGTCCTAACTTAAATGTTCATTTACTGGTATCCTTAACACTAATTAAACAGTCATGTGGTAGACTCTGCAAAAGACACAAAAGGTTAATAAAAGCAAAATGAAAATGGCTTACATTTTTAGTGCCAGGAACTGGGCTTGACAAGTGACAAGTATTTAATAATAGTAATTATTGTCTTATTAATACCATAACCCTTTAAAGTAGATATTACAATTGTCCCCATTTCACAGAAGTGGAAATTGAGGCTGGGAGATGCTAGGAAATTTGCCCAGTGTTATTCTTGGACCTCTTGCACCACAGGTTTTGATTCCAAATAAAGTTTTTGCTGTACCATAGCATGTGAGGATGTATTAAAAAGAAAAATGCAAAATATGGTTTTGCTTTTGCTTGTGGTGACATTCCCCTCACAAAATTGTAATTAAACAAAATGTTATTGACTTCCTGTATGAAAATATACCAAAGCCAATGTTTTACATAATGCTTTTCTCATGTGAGTTTTGGGTTAGTGTCAATATTTTTGTCACCGTGTTAACTTTCGGAAATCCTAATCTCAGGACCTCTTCATTTATGACCTCTATTCAAATTGTGATTTTTAATGGTTCACAGCGACAACTTTTCTGTTTCTTCTTTGTCCACTAGGGGATCATCTAGTTACATGGAACAGAAATTCACTCAAATTAGCTTAATCCAGAAGAGATCACTTTGCTCATAGTGTGACAGTATGGATGTTGCTATAGAAACTGGTGATGGTGGCTATGGTGGTGGTAATGATGGTCGTGATGGGCATGGTTGATGGTGATCGTGGTCATGGTTCTGGTGTCATGGTGATAGTGCTGATGGCTTTGGTGATGATACTGATTGGTGATGGTGATGATGGTGGAAATGGTGATGGTGATGATAGTGCTGAAAGTAGTGCTGGTGTGAAGGTGGTGAAGATCATACTGATGATGGTAAAGATGATGGTGGTTATGACACTGATGGGGGAGGGGATGGTATCTTTGGGATTCCATGGTGGAAAGGAGAATCAGGTCGTACAAGGGGCTAGACCTGGGACATGGGAAGTCAACCAGTGAGGCTACTTTTTTTTGTCTCTCTGGAGGCTCATGGTTTCTCATCTTTGCTTCTTTCTGCTCTGTTGCTGCACTGTCTTGTGTCAAGTGCTGAAAACTAACCACCGTGGCCCTGGGTGCACATCACCATCCAGTTAAGAGCTGGGTATCTTCAAGTTTTCCAGAGTGAACAGATTGGACTGCCCCAGTCCAGCTGATAACTTGCCTGGAGTCTGCTGTGGATATATGGGGAGGAGAAGCCCAGTCCTTGCTATAACCTGAGCACCTAGGACTGAGAGAAGCAGATTCTCCCAAAGTCTGTAGGACAGAGGAGAAGCTGAGGAGGAAATGACCAGCATTTCTCGCACCTGAGTATCTGGAATAGGAGGAGTAAGGGTGAAGATCTGATAAGAGGAGTGACATGAGCAAATTGTTGAAATTTAAGAGGAGACAGGTTTAATGGTAAATACCTTCTCATTTTCAAACCATTCTTTCCAACTCTTGAGAAGTTCCACTAGGGGAGAAATTGTTTTCAACAGTATAGGTTCAACCTTTTCAGTTTATACCTGTTCTGAAATTTTGGGAAGCATTTAATCTTTCAGTTGCTGTTCCTTCCTTCATCCTAACAATTAAATATTTGCTAATAGCATCTATCTTCCAATATGGAGAAAATCTTTCACTTGTAAACAGATTTATGATAAATCAACTTCCACAATTAAATACTAGTCCCCATTCAATTTTTTTTTTTTTTGATGGAGTTTCACTCTTTGTTGCCCAGGCTGGAGTGCAGTGGCATGATCTCGGCTCACTGCAACCTCCGCCTCCTGGGTTCAAGCGATTCTCCTGCCTCAGCCTTCCAAGTAGCTGGGATTACAGGCGCCCGTCACCATGCCCAGCTAATTTTCCTATTTTTAGTGGAGACGGGGTTTCACCATGCCGGCCAGGCTGGTCTTGAACTTCTGACCACAGATGATCCGCCTGCTTCAGCTTCCCAAAGTGCTGGGATTACAGGTGTGAGCCACCACGCCCAGCCCAAATTGTGATTTTTAAATGGTTGTCATGACAATTTTTCCGTTTCTTCTGTACTCACTTCCTCTGTCAAAATAAAACAAGCCAAAATTGAATATAAAAATACAGTAATAGAATATTTTTCTCCAAAACCTTGTTTGAAAAAAGTCATTCAAATGGTAAGTAGAGGATGGTTAAGATCAGATTATAGTAGCTCTGCTTTCTGGGGGTGATAGAAGGCTGGTTTCACCCTTGTGAGGCATGCTAGGGGGCATCAGGAAAGAAAAATCAAAGGCAATGAAACTAGGCAGTCAAGCAGATAGTTCTATCAGCCTGGCATTTCACAGAGGAGAGGGCTCTGAGTTGCCATCAAGGGCTTTCCTCCTTCCTCCCTCTTTTTCCTTCCTTCCTTTCTGGTAATGGTCAGTCCCATGATTCTTCCAGCAGAGGTCATACTTTTCCTTTGAAATGATGCAAGGTATTTTTTACTTGAGAGAACGACACAACTGATTGTTCTGGGCTATAAATTTCCACAATATTTGGAGAGATTCCACAGTGACATGAGACCATTGGAGAGGTGTGGGAGACAGTCACGGAGATATAAGGATGCCAATCAGCTATGCATCCCACACCATGATGAGGATAACAACACCAACACCGCCAAGATCCAGATGCCCAGTGCTGGCCTGTCATGCTGCCATTTGTATTTATTACCCCTCTGATGTGTTAGCTTAATAAATGATAAGGGCAACACTGGACACTAGCCTCTCTTTGAGATCCAGGTATTATTAGCTCTTCCTTATCAAAACCTGACTTGCAACAGACTAAAGGGGTTTCATAAATACCCTGGGACTACTGCTGCATGAATTTGGCAGGATTCTGAGAATGGTCTGAAGTTATCAACGGCTGTCCAGGGGCCTCCGGTTTGCTGGGTTGTGAGTCCACCACTCAGGAGGTTAGAGAAAGCTTCATGGAGGAGTGGGGAGAACTGGGAAGGACTTCAGGAGATGTGTATGTAGAAACTGGACTGGCAGAGTCAGGAAGCAGAAAGATGTTATAACCCCGGAAGAGTCTGAGCAGTTTGCCTGGGGCGTCATGTGGCACATTTCTCTGGATGACAGTCCATTTGGTTTCTCGCCCTAAGTACATCACAAAGAGCTTAGATTTACTGAGTACTTCCTAAATCCACTTCTCCAAGCTAAGTACTTCCCATACATTATCTTCTTTTGATACTATAGTTGGGAAAATCAAGGTTAAGCAGTCTGTGCAAGACGTGCAGCTTCTAAGCCATACAGCTTACAGTCCGACTGTAGTTGCCTATCTAAAGGGCCCAGGTTTTTAACAGCTACTCTAAGCTGCCTCTTGTGATACAACTCAGCTCACAACACACTCACTCAACCTCACTTTGGTGTGTAAGTTTGGCTGAGGAACTTGCATTTAATATGTTTAAAGTATGACACTCAGGACACAGGCAACTCCCCATTGCTACTGAGTTCGTTCCAATCCCTTTACACTCAGTTGAACTACACATGCATGCTAAACCAGTTACCAATGACAACAACTTAAAAGGAGCTGGAGAGAGGCTTCCTGGAGTTTGGTCCTTGGGTAGTTGGCCGAGAAGGATTTGATGTCATGCACCTGAAAACAGAAGATGCCAGGGCCTCTAAGAGAGATACTGGCTATGCTCTGGTGCTCTTCCCTTGATCTTCATTTCTTACAAGCTAGAGTAACTCCTGACAGGATTTATGAGCCCATTGCACTGAGGGCACAGGGGGGTAATGAGGTAGGAATGTTCATTAGCTGCTGCTCTTGGCAGGTAGGGGGTGAGTTTAATGGTGTTAGGCAGAAAGTGACATGGACTGAGCAACAGCATAAAAGAGGGTTCATTTTTCACTAAGACTTCATATAGATTTCCAAGGAGATTTCAAAATATCTCTAACATCACCATAGCCCATGGAACCCTGAACATGGCAGAAGATCCAAGATAAAGTTTGTGCTAGAGAGTGCATGGAGAAGAAGCAAGGTTTACTACATGAAGCAATAAGAAAAGGCATAGTGCCTCAAGACTCATCTGGACAATGTGTAAGCAAAGGCTAAGATGTATGCATGGAGCACAAAGAAGAAAACTCAGCCAGAACTGTGCCCTCAGTCTCTGAGTAGGGTATCACCAGCTCCTCAGTGAGAAGAAACTGAAAATTCAACCTCAGAACTACCACACACACTTCACACCACCTTGCATATAGGAACGCTGAATAAAACACACACAGTTCTCATTAAAAACTGCCTAGAGTCTCATCACTGGCTACAAATCCTTTCGTCATCATTGTGGAATCCTTAAATCCTACAAAGTATTTTTATTTTTATTTATTTATTTTCTATTATTATTATACTTTAAGTTCTAGAGTACATGTGCACAACGTTCACGTTTGTTACATATGTATACATGGGCCATGTTGGTGTGCTGCACCTATTAATTCATCATTTACATTAGGTATATCTCCTAATGCTATCCCTCCCTCCTCCCCCCACCTCACAACAGGCCCCGGTGTGTGATGTTCCCCACCCTGTGTCCAAGTGTTCTCATTGTTCAATTCCCACCTATGAGTGAGAACATGTGGTGTTTGGTTTTCTGTCCTTGCAATAGTTTGCTCAGAATGATGGTTTCCAGCTTCATCCATGTCCCTATAAAGGACATGAACTCATCCTTTTTTATGGCTGCATAGTATTCCATGGTGTATATGTGCCACATTTTCTTAATCCAGTCTATGATTGATGTACATTTGGGTTGGTTCCAAGTCTTTGCTACTGTGAATAGTGCCACAATAAACATACGTGTGCATGTGTCTTGATAGCAGCATGATTTATAATCCTTTGGGTATATACCCAGTAATGGGATGGCTGGGTCAAATGGTATTTCTAGTTCTAGATCCTTGAGGAATCGCCACACTGACTTCCACAATGGTTGAACTAGTTGACAGTCCCACCAAAAGTGTAAAAGTGTTCCTATTTCTCCACATCCTCTCCAGGACCTGTTGTTTCCTGACTTTTTAGTGATCACCATTCTAACTGGTGTGAGCTGGTATCTCATTGTGGTTTTGATTTGCATTTCTCTGATGACCAGTGATGATGAGCATTTTTTCATGTGTCTATTGGCTGCATAAATGTCTTCTTTTGATAAGTGTCTGTTCATATCCTTTGCCCACTTTTTGATGGGATTGTTTGATTTTTTCTTGTAAATTTGTCTAAGTTCTTTGTAGATTCTGGATATTAGCCCTTTGTCAGATGGGTAGATTGTAACAATTTTCTCCCATTCTGTAGGTTGCCTGTTCACTCTGATGGTGGTTTCTTTTGCTGTGCAGAAGCTCTTTAGTTTAATTAGATCCCATTTGTCAGTTTTGGCTTTTGTTGCCATTGCTTTTGGTGTTTTAGACATGAAGTCCTTGCCCATGTCTATTGCCTGAATGGTATTGCCTAGGTTTTCTTCTAGGGTTTTTATGGTTTTAGGTCTAACATTTAAGTCTTTAATCCATCTTGAATTAATTTTTGTATAATGTGTAAGGAAGGGATCCAATTTCAGCTTTCTACATATGGCTAGCCAGTTTTCCCAGCACCATTTATTAAATAGGGAATCCTTTACCCATTGCTTGTTTTTGTCAGGTTTGTCAAAGATCAGATGGTTGTAGATGTGTGGTATTATTTCTGAGGGCTCTGTTCTGTTCCATTGGTCTATATCTCTGTTTCGGTACCAGTACCATGCTGTTTTGGTTACTGTAGCCTTGTAGTATAGTTTGAAGTCAGGTAGTATGATGCCTCTGGCTTTGTTCTTTTTGGTTAGGATTGTCTTGGCAATGTGAGCTCTTTTTTGGTTCCATATGAGCTTTAAAGTAGTTTTTTCCAATTCTGTGAAGAAAGTCATTGGTAGCTTGATGGGGATGGCATTGAATCTGTAAATTACCTTGGGCAGTATGGCCATTTTCATGATATTGATTCTTCCTATCCATGAGCATGGACTGTTCTTCCATTTGTTTGTGTCCTCTTTTATTTCATTGAGCAGTGGTTTGTAGTTCTCCTTGAAGAGGTCCTTCACATCCCTTGTAAGTTGGATTCCTAGGTATTTTATTCTCTTTGAAGCAATTGTGAATGGGAGTTCACTCATGATTTGGCTCTCTGTTTGTCTGTTATTGGTGTATAGGAATGCTTGTGATTTTTGCACATTGATTTTTTATTTTTACATAAGGGATTCTCAAAGACTGTTAAAGTCAAAATTCTGGTACCCAGAGTGGGCAAACCAGGAAAAACCTCTTCTAACATGAGTTGGTCCTGATGGGGCTTATGCATATCTGGGACACCACATATGCTTTATGAACACAATTGAACAATGACTTAAGTCATTTTTTGTTGCTATTACAGAACACCACAGACTGGGTAGTTTGTAATAAACAGAAAAATTTATATGGCTCACAGTTCTGGAGGCTGGGAAGTCCGAGGGCATGGCACCAGTATCTGGTGAGGGCCTCTGTGCTGTTTCATTCCATGGCAGACGGCAGAATGGTGAGAGGGCATGTAAGAGACCAAACAGAAGTGGGCTAGACTTATCCTTTTATCAGGACCCACTCCCAAAAATATACCCACTATTGCAATCATGGCATTAATCTAGTCATTAGTGCAGAGCCCTCATGACCTAATCACCTCTCAAAGGTCTACCTCTCAACGCTGTTGCATTGGGAATTTAGTTCCCAACTCATGACCTTTGGGGGACACATTCTAACCATAGCCATTTGTATTTCTAATCTATATTTTTAGCCTGGAGGACACCTATAAATCAAAGAAAATGAGCAAGGCAAGCCTTAAACATTTTAGGAGGTTTATTTGGCAAAGTCAAGGATATGTGCCCAGGAGACAGATCTGTGTTTTTCTCCAGAGATAATCTTGAGGGCTTCAATATTTAAAGGGGAAAAGGCAGGATATTGGGGAAACACACAATTTTCATATGAGGGAAGGTAGGGAAATAGTTATTTACGCCTTTGTCTGGCTTAGTGAATCTGTATCTTTACATAAGATAACATAGACAATAGGGCAGAGGAAGCAATCAGATATGCATTTGTCTCAGGTGAGCAGAGGGTTGACTTTGAGTCCTGTCCTTTTTCCCACACCTGTAAAGGTAAGCTATCAATTTACATCATCATGGTGAACTTCAACAGAACTGCTTTAGGGTAAAGATCTTGGGGCCCACAAGGAATTTCCTTGTGGGCAAGATGTGAGGGAGGTATGTAGATTTTCATCTGCATAGCCATCTTGTTTAGGAACCAAAATGGGAGGCAGGTTTGCAAGACCCAGTTCCCAGCTTGACTTTTCCCTTTGGCTTAGTGAGTTTGGGGTCCCAAGATTTATTTATTTTTTCGCACAGTGTATGGCTCAATTCACTGTTTGGCTTAGGGAAAGGAGCATAGATGGTTACCCAGCTGTTGCAGGGAGTGAATGAATGAACAGAAACTAAACTTTTATCCCACCCTGGACGATGCTATAGTTTTAAAGTTCATATAGAAACCCAGAGCAAAGTCTGAAATGTGAGTTAGAAGGAATGCCTAGAACGTCAAATAACCTAAATGTGGAGACTCTAAACATCCCCTACACATGGAAACCATCTGGCAAGCCACGCATCAGATTCAAAGTGCCCAGACTCTTGGGAATTATTTGTTTAAATCCCCGTGAAGTTGACAGTCATTCTTCCAGAGCAATTGAGTATCCCCAGTTTGCTTTGAGCAGCTTAAGGAAGCTAAGCTCTTTCTGTTGTTTATCTGCTTGGGATGCCGGGCCACTTTTCAGAGGTGTTTACCCTGGAGTCCCTGACCAAACTTGTGGTTCCCACTAAAAATTCAAAGCAGTCTAAAACCTAGCTATTGTTTTCAAATCATGTGGTCAGCATTCTAATAGGATGATTTTTCATCTCTTCTAGCGTTTTCCACTTTATTGTGATAAACACACTCTACATTTTTGGGCTAAATAATAGTTTGTTGATTTCCTGTTTTCCCATTATCAATTTCTCATATTGTGAGCTCTAAGGAATGTTGAGACCCAGGGAGTTTAAGCAGAAACCCTGCTCCTGTTCAATCACCACTGCCTTTAGGGCTCAGATCCCATGCTTCTGGGGCCCTGCTAAGACATTTGAGAGCCAAGGCCTGAGACAGGGGAAGCCTGGGTTTAAACTTACATTTTATATCATGCTATTAGCAGGAGGTCATGGCTGCTTCTTCCAAAGACTTCTGGTTCCCAAAGCGGGGGTGCATATCATGTTAGAAAACCTTAAAGTAATTATGCTGTGGCCTTACAGACTCATTGCTTAGGTCTCAGGAAAGTCAAGAATTTAACTTTATCTACTTTCTATCCTTCTCTCATCTGTGCAAACCTGAGATTAAAGGACAGGCAGGTTGACAAAGTCCCAGGAAGAGTGAAAACCCCAGGAAATAGAGATTCGGGTGTGTTATGAAAGGTTAAAATCAGCTCTATCCGTTGACTCTTCTACAAATGGACCAAAGCATAAAATGACACATTTTTCAATTATTTGTAATAGCCCAATTACCTACTACTTACTGCATACCTTTTTTTCTCTTTTGTATGTATGTTTCCAGATTTTTCCAGACTGTTTAGTAAATAGCTGCCTTATAGTGTCATTCACTCCATAATTTAACCTCTGAAGCTTTGTTCTCAGAAACAGATATTATTTAGGGTAAAAAAGATATTTTTTTCCTGATCATTTGCTCCTAAGATAACACAGAAGGTTTTCAAAGCAGAGGGCAATTCAATTTGTTACTTCAACAAATATTTATTAATAACCTACTATGTATCAGGAAACAGTCTAGGTGCAGAGAACAATCTCTGTGGCCATCAGCCCTGCATTATAGCATAAGCAAACAAATAACATACTTGAGAAAACACAAGGTGCATTGGGTGGCGGTAAGTGCTCTGGAGAAAACTAAGCAGGGAAGGGGGTCAGGAAAACTGGGGTACTGGTTGAAAAGGTCACATGTGAGCTTCAGTGGTAGTTATTCCCTTTGCATGCCAAAGTTTCTCCCAGTGGGACCTAGGCCACTTGTATTTCACACTGGACCAGACGTGGGTATGGGGTACAAAGTCAATAAGTGCTAGGGCTGGTAGTGACCTTGCAGAAGCTACTTTTGTATTAATTTTACTGGTGGGGAAACTGAACCCTGAGATGTTAACTGCCCTGCTTTTGTCTCAGCTTAGTCATAGGACCAGGACACTGTGCGTCTTACATGGCACTTGTGTCTAATGACCTCTCCCTGAGAACTCACAAAGTCCACCTGTCTCCACTCCATAGTTATGTAGATTGCTTATGGAGCAACCTCTAATCATTGTCAGGAACCAAAATACAAGCAAGCTGGCACAACTGTGCCCATTGTCCCAGACTCAGAAGTGGCTGGAATTTGGCATTAGGACACAAATGATCTTCTCTGAGGATGAGAAGGTGATCTTCCCTGTGAATTCCAGAGGCTGCTGGGCAGCCTAATTTACCTTTCAGAGAAGGTATAGTGTGTTCTCCCTCGCACACTTGTAATATAAACTCCTACTGGCATTGATCTTTGGGTGGGAGGGGATTTACAAGTAGAGTATTCTGCACATGTCTGTTATCTCTATATACCAGCAGAAGTGTCAGCAACCAACATGAGTTATGATGTTGAATGGATTGGCTCTTCTCTTTGTAGTTTTATAATGTGTGTCAAGTATTAAAGCCTTCTTTCCATCTGCTTTGAAAAGAGCAGATGCCGAGTTTGACGTGTATAAGTAATTGGGATTCTTCTGCTGAAAATATTATGTTCTGCAGAGTGGCGAGTCATCAACATTCTATCAGGCAAGCCCATGGAGCCTGGGTGGGCTGCCATGGTATCTTTGAATAAACAAAGAGCTATGTGTTTTCTGTTCAACCATCAGAGAAATTAGGGGTCAAAAGAAGGTACCCCTTCCTTATATGCTGAGCTCATAAGGTGATAGTATTAAACCCTAAATACTGTTAAACTTAACACATCATATTGGTCCAAACCTCTATTAATTCAACACACATCTATATGCCAGCACAGATGGTACAAAGAGGAACAAGATAAAACATGATCCTTACCCTCCATGGGGCTTGCAGTACAGTATAGGGAATCAGACCCATGAATAAATAGCTGTAGTTCTGTTTGATGAGTGTTATAACTGTGATAAGAAACAAACTCCTGTATGGGTACAGGGTAAAGAGATAAGAGCCCAACTTGGGCTTGGGGTCAGGGAACACTTTTTGGAGGGGGTGATATTTAAGCTGGGTCTTAAGGGGTGAGTGGAAACTCATCAGACAGAAGACAAGAAAGCATTCCAGGTAGTGTGGACACTAAGCATAAGGCATGGAGCTCTGCAAGACCAGATGTGGGGTTCAGGAACCCGAAATCAATCCATGTGTCTAAAGTGTGAAGGGCAAATGGGAAAGTTTGGTGCATACGACCATGGGCTGCAGGCCTATCAGGAAGGGCCTTGGATACCCCATTAGTCTTAGGGAAGGTGAAGTCATTACCTGCACAGATCCCCACCCACAAAGGTGAAGATTGTCTCACCTGGCATTGCAGTTAGAAGCATGAACCTAGAGCTCTGCACTGGGCCCATAAAGTCAGCCAGACATGCCTGCAAGTTCCTACAGTCATGATCTCTTCTCATTTTCCCACATCAGAGCAGGTGATTCACAGCTGTTCTGGAATTTGGTGATTTTTAGCTCTCTTTTCCTAAGACTATCTCTGCACATCAGCTTTTCCAAGCACCAGCCAGGCAGCCAGCACACTGTTAATTGCAGTGGTTGTTATGTTATAATAAAGGGACGGGCTCCATCTGAGAATCACATTCAGTTATGCAGCTGGACAAGTCTGCTCGGTGTAGCACCCGGGTCTCCATGTCACCATCGGATGCATCAGTGGCAGACAGAGCTAATTGGGAAGCTGGCAGTCATCTCAGCTTTGTTGGTCTGAGACAGCACTGGGTCACGGCAGTAATTTCACATGAGTGCAAAAGGGCAGCTTGGGGTGGTTTTCATTTTTCTTGTGAAACAATGAAGCTGTTTGAATTTGTCTAGGGGCAGGAGCAGAGGGTGGGCGACGCTCCAGTAAACATGAGAGATAGAACTGGATACGGCATCCATCATGTGTTCTGGGCTGGGGATAGGTAGAGATGAAAATGCATCTTCCCCTTCCCTCTCCTTCTGTCTTCTTCTCCCATGATGGCAACATTGTGTGATGGGGAGGTCAACCCAACCACAGTGGAAAAGCTCCCGTGTCCTTTCTTCAGGGAACCAAACATACACTTAGAATCCCTTAGAGTACACCTGACTGTAAGAAACAAACCTTGTGCCTTTTTTTTTTTTTTTTTTTTTTTTGAGACGGAGTCCCGCTGTTTAGCCCAGGCCGGATTGCAGTGGCGCAATCTCGGCTCACTGCAAGCTCCGCCTCCCAGGTTCACGCCATTCTCCTGCCTCAGCCTCTCGAGTAGCTGGGACTACAGGCGCCCGCCACCGCTCCCGGCTAATTTTTTGTATTTTTAGTAGAGACGGGGTTTCACCGTGTTAGCCAAGATGGTCTCGATCTCCTGACCTTGTGATCCGCCCGCCTCGGCCTCCCAAAGTGCTGGGATTACAGGCGTGAGCCACCGCGCCCAGCCCCTTGTGCCTTTTAAAATGCTTGTTCACATGGTTCCTAGAGCATAGGTTTCATGGCTGTTAACAATAACAACAAAAAGTACATCTGATTAAAAATCTAGGGTTCCGTGAAAAAGCACATGCAGGAGGAACAGACCCACAAACACTGGCTGAAGAACGGAGGGCTGCTTAGCAGAAAGCATGTGTGGATGATGGAGGTGGCATTTTAAAAATGCAGATGGAGAAGACCCAGTGGGAGCAGTAGTGGAAATGTCCCAAATCAATCAATCAACTCCAGGACATTGACCAAGGATAGAATATGGCATTATTGCTTAGGATTAAAATGAAAAGAGAAGACAGTGCTCTTGTCCAGAAGGAGAAGAAACTTTTATAGTGTAATGTTTTCAACAAGTTCAAACAATACTACCCAGATAATGCAGTACAGTGTGGGGCACGGAGTGGGTGGTGTTTGGAACGCAGTTCTGATGTTGCACCAGCCCCTCCAGACAGGACAGTTGGGGAGAAGTAGCTTTCTGTGGTTGCCAGGAGACAAGCCAATGACTGAGCAGAAAGCATGACAGAGGGAGCTGGTCGGGAGTCTGCCTAGAGCCTTTGGAGGGAGCCTCTGAAGGCCCCACCTGGGCCAGGGCTCTGGCGGGTCTATTGGTTTTTGCGTATTTTTCTGGTTTGCTGGAATCTGGAATAAATGGATTCCTGGGTTCTCTTTTCTCCCAGAAAGGCCTGTGAACATTCAGAGCCACAGGGCATCAACCCCTATGACACCATTTCATGGACTGCATTGCCCTCCCTCCCCACCACCCCAGCCCACCTCTGGGTTTGGTCTCCCACATCTCCAAGAAGGAATGCCGCAGGAGTTTCTAGAATAAAAAACCATCTTTTTGACTTTTTAACAAATGCAGTGATCTGAGTGCCCTTTGGAAGCTGAGGCCCTACGGACACCCACTCAAGGTGACCTTGGGGGTGACCTTGGGAAGTACCCTCTTGTTGTTTTCACTCTATTGACAGTCAACAATGAGGGGAGTTGTCTCAGCTGTTGAGAATGTCAGAGAAGGCAGGTGTCGCGGTGCTATTCTTATCTGTGTAAAAATAATATTTACTGTAAATCATTCTAGGTCACTTCATATCTTTCAAACCGTTCAAATCATTCTGGGTCACTTCATATCTTTCAAACACGTTCAAAAAGGAAATCGAGCACTCTGTTCCATTATGAAAGTGTGTTCTGAGTAAGCCACTGTGTGGCTCAAGCTTCTCTTCCTCCCAGGAGCTCTTGGCATTGGGTGAAAGGGGAAATTTACAGAAACTCCAATTCCAGTGTCATTAAAGAAATCTCAGTTATTGCATAGCTTAATACTTCCCATTCCAGAGAAACACTCTGATGAAGAAATGAAACCCTGCTGACCTGCCTCTTTGTCATATCACAGTTCTGCACCCTGAGGGAGTGGGATGGGTTTAGGAAGCTGTTTTGTTTTTTTCACTGGAGGTGAGACAACATATTGGCATTTACCAGGGCTGCAGGCTGTGCCGGAAGCTCAGCTGCTGTTACCATGGCAACAAGATGCTCTTGTCCCTCTCTGTGATGCCACTTTTGCTTCGCTGGAACCATTTTCCGCAAGTGTCTGGAGAGTTATTTTGCAGTGGACATTTTGACCCAACGTAACACTTACAGAATATCTGCCAGAAAGCTCATGCAGAGTTTGCACCTCAGATTCAGAAACGCTTCACCTTGGAAATCTTGCCAAAAAGTAAAAATTTTAAAAGCAATGGTTTGTCCAAAGCCTGTGAGAAGGCTAGGTTGGCAGACAGGCAGGGTCACAAGGTCAAGACATTCTCCACTGGAGAGGCATGAAATGGGTCCAAGCAAACAAGAAGGCATTTGTCATACATCCTAGGTGAAGTCACCTTTAAGAAAAAGCCAGGACCTGACACGAGTCCCAGAGACTCTGCCAGAGGTTGCAGAGACTCCAGCGCAAAAGCAGGAGTGAGAGCCAGCTAGAAAGAAGAAAATAGGAGAAAGTTTTAGGTGAGGAGATGAGTAGTCGTGGTCTGGAAAGGTCACTCAATTATCCATAAGAGGCTGTGGTCTTCAGCACGACATGGCCCTGACTGGAATGTAGGTCCTGCCAAGTATTAATTCTGTAGCTCTGAGAAGGTTTTCTGACTTCTCTGAATGTCAGTCTCCTTATTGGAAAAGAGTGTTCATAATTCTAACTCCCGTAGGTTTATGTGAGACTTAACTATTGTGTGTGAGCACTACATCATTGTGTGTGACACACAGTGGATGCTCAGAGACTTCTTTGCTTTTTCATTCTTTGTTTATAGGGTATTTGTAGGGTGATGTGGGCGCTCAAATGGGCAAGTTTCAACCCCTACTTTTAAGGATCTGAAAGCCTAATGCGGGGCGAACATGTAATTCATCCAATGATGATGCAGTACAAGCCATCTGAAAGTGGGGGAATGGACAAGGCGGCTTCCCTGCAGGAAGAATTGGGCAAGGCTCATCAGGAGGGGCCCCCAAACCATGCCTTACAAGAAGCTCTAGAGTTTACCAGATGGAGAAGTAGCTGAATGGTCACTCCTGGCCAGAAGGGCACCAGTGCAGAGGGGGAACTTCTTGGTGCATCGAGAAGCTTCCATGATTGGGGTGGGCTACCTCATTGGGTGTGATGTGGACTCTCTGGCTCAGGTATTACTCACTCAACACCCTTCAGCACCGATACTTCCAGGACAGTTCCCTGACATTCAGTGGGAGAGGACGCATAAAGGGTGTGCCCAGGGACCTCAGACCACTTTAAAACTGGAGTCCAGCTTGTCAAAGTAACAACAACAACAACATACACAAACTACTTGCTTATTTTTTAAAAAAATAATAGTTTTGTTGAAATATAATTCACATGACATCATAACATCACTTATTTAGTGTGTAGTTCATTGGTTGTCATGTGTTCACAGTGTGAACCATCACCACAGTCAATTTTGGAACATTTTTTTATCACCCCAAAAGGGTCCCCCTGTGTTCATTAGCAGTCACTCACCATCTTCCCCCATCCTCCCAGCCCCAGGAAACCATTGAGCTACTTTCCACAGATTTGCCCATTTGGGACATTTCACATAAATGAAATCACATAAGATGTGGCCTTTTGTGACTGACTTCTTTCCCTTAGCATAATGTTTTCAAGGTTCATCCATATTGCCAACATGCTTCAGCACTTTATTCCTTTTTATGGCCAAATAATATTCCATTGTATGGATAGACCACATTTGTTTCTCCATTCCTTGGCTGATGGACATTTGGGTTGTTTCCACCTTTTGGCTACTGTAATTAGTGCTTCTGTAAACATTCAGGCATAAGTTTTTGTGTGGTTATGTTTTCAATTCACTGGATAATATATATCTAGGAGTAAAATTGTTGGGTCATAGGTTTTTCTAAAATAATCCGAGGAATGTCACACTCATTTCCAAAGAAGCTACCCTATTTTACATCCCACCAGCAGTGTATAAGGGTTCTGATTTCGCTAAATCCTTGCCAACACTTTTTGTTATCTTTCTTTTTGATCATAGCCTTCCTATTGGGTGTGGATTGGTATCTCATTGTAGTTTTGATTTACATGTCCCTGAGAGATAATAACACTGAGTATCTTTTCATGTGTTAATTGATCATTTGTATATCTTTTTTGGAGAAATGTCTATTCAGATCATTTGCCCATTTTTCATTGGATTATTTGCCTTTTTACTAATGAATTGTAAATATTCTTTATATATTCTAGATACAAGTCCTTTATCAGTGTATTAGTCAGGGTTTTCTAGACGGACAGAACTAGTAGGATAGATATATATATATAAAGGGGAGTTTATTAAGTATTAACTCAAAGGTCCCATAATAGGCCATCTGCAAGCTGAGGAAAAAGGAGAGCCAGCCCAAGTCCCAAAACTGAAGAACTTGTAATCCGATGTTTGAGGGCAGGAAGCATCCAGCATGAGCGAAAGATGTAGGCTGGGAGGCTAGGCCAGTCTCACCTCTTCATGTTTTTCTGCCTGCTTTATATTTGCTGGCAGCTGATTAGATGGAGCCCACCCAGATTAAGGGTAGGTCTGCCTTTCCCAGCCCACTGACTTAAATGTAAATCTCCTTTGTCAACACCCTCACAGACACACCCAGGATGGATATTTTGCATCCTTCAATCCAATCAAGTTGACATTCAGTATTAATCATCACAATCAGATATATGGTTTTCAAAAATTTTCTCCCATTGTGGAGGTTGTCTTTTTACCCTTTGGAGGTGTTTTTTGAAGCACAAAGGTCTTTAATTTTGCTGATATCCAATTTATCTATTTGTTGCTTTTCTGCTCACTTATGTTTTGAAACCTAATTATAAATGATTTTGAAATTTTGGATAGTTCCCTCTGTATACTCCTTCTGGTATGCATAGATAAGAACTGACCATAATGTCTGGGAGAAAAAAAAAGTGCTCCAAGAACATTAGTTATAAAAATAATAATTAATAAATAACAATAATTATTATTATATAATATCAGACAAAATATTTAACTTTCAGGACTGTTGTTTACTTATCTAGAAATGAATAAGGAAAGAGAAGGAAATTTCCCATTTTGATTTGCATTTTGTGCCAGACACTGTGTTAGGCACTTAAATAGGTAGATGAGAATCTTCAAGCCTAGTAAGGTTAAGTAAGTTGCCCAAGGTCACACAGTAAATGGTGGAACTGAGATGGACTCGAGCCCAGAAAAGACTGGCTCCAATATCTGTTTTTTTCTGCTACCAGTGTAATACATCATCATAATGGGAAACAAAAATCTTGAGAACAATTTTATTAAAATCCTTACACTCAGAACACTTACAGAGTGTAAGTGCTTTGGTAGAAACTCAGAATAAAATGATCAAAGATATCCCCTGAAAATGTGAGGTCATCAGATTTTGTTTTTGCCATTTGTAAGCTGAGGCTTGACTGGATGCCATTTGATTAATGACACAAAATTCACTCATACATTTGAATTATAAAACTGAGCAGTCTAGAGCAAGATGGGAGGTAAGCCAAGGTGGTATATGTTGGTGGGGGAGGGTGCAGAAAGATTGAGATGAGAATTGCATAATATCGGAGGTGGAAATACCCCTCAAAGTGCACATCTTTTCTGCTACCCCATTTCACAGAAGATCTTGCTGGGGAGGGGTGCCCTTGGAGGAAGCTCCTGCACATAATCCTTCCTTTCTAGCATTGACCTTGGTAATGTTTCTGCAAGAAATGTATTCTGAGAAGCCATTTTAGTAGACCCAGGAATCAAAAATAAATGATTTTGAAGTGCTGGTTTAAATTGTACGTTGACAGGAATTGAATGCTGGAGGACCGTGAGTGTAATTGATTATAAGAGATTGCCTCTTTTTGAGGTGATGCAATCATCAGGATAATTAATTTGACTGCTTGAGGGGACTGGCAGGGAGGGTTTGAAGGTGTGAAGCATTTGCATTGGGTGTGCAGGAGGAGCATTCATATAAGGTGACTGATTCCTTGTCTAGTCCTGGGGCTGTTTCTGTCTTGAGTGATAAGGAAGTATTTAAGGCCCTGACACCACTTGAAATGAACTATTTTACCTGAGAAAAACAGGCAGTCCCTCTACAGTGCCTTGCATTCCAGCGACAGTCCCAGTGTCGTGTCACTGAAGTCATTCAATGTGACTGTGTTCTGCAGAAGTGAAGACCCAAGTGCGGGCCTGGGAGTGCTAGGACAGGTCTTCCCCATCGCCCCTGTATCCACGGTGAAGGTGCACTGGGCTGAGACACTCCACCCCGGGGACCTCGCTGGGCTGGTGACCATGGCAAAAAGCACTTTGCTGGACTATTTCCCTCCCTCTCACTCCGTGCCCCTGGCTCACCAGGGCAGGAGGCAGCAGCAGAATTTGTTTTTGAAGTCTGGTTTCCTGTTGTGCTCAGAAACTTTCCTATGTTTCTGGGGAAGCTGCCAACTCCTCTGGTAGAAATAATCTCTCTCAACCATTTCGAGTGTGATATTGGCCTTCAGGCAAAACCCCCAAGATGAAGTTTCCCAAGGCCACCTTTTTCTTCTAAAAAAAAAAATATAGCACCAGTTTCTCTGCAAAAATCAAATTCAGGTAAAGCAAAACAATAACAACAACACAAATCCAAAAATGGTTGTTTGGAACTACAAGTGCCTGCCCCAAGCCTCCAGCTTCCCAACAGCCACAGCCAGGGTATTACAGGAGGGCCCTGGGCTGTTCCCTGACCTGCTCAAGCACCCTTGCAAAAGGAGGCAGTAGGATGGATGGAGGGTGTGGGATGGATGGAGGGTAGGGGATGGAGGGAGGCTTCTGAATGAAGGGGGGCTGTGGGATGGACGGAGGCTGCGGGATGGTGGGAGGGTGGGGGGTGTATGAAAGGTGAGGGATGAGGGGAGGCTGCGGGATGGAGGGAGGGTGGGGGATGGATGGAAGATGCGGGTTAGATGGAGTGTTTGGGATGGAGGGAGGGTGGGGGATGAATGGAAAGTATGAGATGGAGGGAGGCTGTGGGGTGGATGGAGAGTGAGGGATGGAGGGAGGGTGCAGGATGGAGGGAGACTGTGGGATGGATGGAGGGTGAGGGATGGATGGAGGGTGTGGGATGAATGGAAAGTATGAGATGGAGGGAGGCTGTGGGATGGATGGAGGGTTTGGGGTGGATGGAGGGTGTGGGATGGATGGAGGGTGAGGGATGAATGGAGGGTGGGGGCTGGGGGAGGGTGCAGGATGGATGGAGGGTGAAGGATGGATGGAGGGTGAGGGATGGAGGGAGAGTGTGGGATGGTGGGAGGCTGCCCAATGGAGGGAGGATGCTGGATGGATGGAGTGTTTGGGATGGATGGAGGATGCGGGATGGATGGAAGGTGTGGGCTCTCGCAGGCTGATAGGAGGGAAGCTAATTTGCCTGAGCCTTTCTTCCACAGGACAGAGGGTGCAACAGGGCATGTGGCCTCCCTGGGCACAACTTGCAGTGAGAAACCTCTGTTCCAATCCTGAAAAACATGGTCCCCCTCATCCCTTAGGGGTATCTTTCCTCCTTACGTTTTTCCTAGCTTGGCTTCTAAAGCAGACCCATCTGGTCCCATAATTCGGAGACATGTTTTAATCATTGGTAATTTATCAACCAGCTGACGTACTTCATAGATAAAAGAATTTTACAGACAACCTTGCCTAGATCTCTCTGTTTTCTAAATAAAGATTCAGAGATGTCAACTTTTAGTTCTAGTCACAAAGCTAGTGGATGGTAGAGTCAGAACACAGCCCCATGTCACAAGCCTCTTCCAGGACTTGCTTAACCATGCCATGTGCTCTCCATCTAACACTTTAAACACTGTGTGTGGTGGGACGAGGTTGGAGGGTAGATAGATATATGGTTTTGACCAAGCGGAGTAACTGTCAAAACATGGAAACTTGAGTACCAGATGGGAGAAGACACTTTTAGACTAACTGGTCTACTTGTATCTTCTTCTCTCCCAGACCCACATGCTGAGTGTCTACAGCCTCAGTTATAGTTAAATGGAAATGCACAATGGCCAGGTCTGTATTACTTTTGGGCTGACAAGAGTGTGAGCAATTTTCTCCAGTTATCACCAGCACAAGGAAGGACTTAGCTTATGTTAAGGGGATGGCTTAGCTGGCCTTGTTCACACTTGTGTTTCACCTTCCTCAGCATATCGATTCAGAAGATCACCAAAAAATGACTAAAGCCTCTTTCCCGGTGGCATTCGTGAATTTTTTAAAATCATAAAATGAGCCTGGGTCTTTAAGGCCTTAGAGGAAATGGACGTATTTCCTCTAAGAATTGGCCATTTCTTTGGTCATTTTTATTCTGGTTGGACACATGAGTTGTTTGGGTCTAATTTTCCTGACGTTCTGACATTTTCTAGATCAATAATATAATTATGAGTGTTTTTTACCTTCTGTCATCTTTTCATACTATTGATTTGGTGTGAAATTTTAAGGAAAAGCAAATATCCACCATTACAACGACGTAGGAATTCTCAGGAAGAAGGATGTCTAATATCTTTGACTTATGAAGACACTAGCGAATTTTCTCCACGATAGCAAAGGATTTCTCCTAGTTTCCCAGAACCCCTGAAAATTAAAAGGCTGCGCTAGAAGAGAAAGCCAATAAATGGCCTTGAAAAAAGTAAATCTGGAGTTTTTCAAAGACAAGAGTAACTAAGCTCCACTCTTGGCATAAGTGCCTATGGGCATCAAATTTCAGTTGAAAAGTATCAATAAATAACATGTGCTTTGTAGGTAAATACCAGTTTAGGAGCCTGAGGAGCAACAACTAGTTTGCCCTGGTTGCATGCAAATTGTTAGTCAAAGTCAAGCCCATTGCTCTGAGGGGTCAAACCCTGCCAGCATCACAGAGCTGAACTTCCTCTGAGGCTGTATGCCTGTGTGTATATGTGTTTGTATGCATGCACGCATGTGTAGTTGGTGGGGTGGACAGAGTTTCAAAGTTATTGTTTACCTGGTTGATGAGGAGGATATTCCCCCGCCCCCCCAACCCCACCCCACTCCCCTTGAGGTCTCTCCTTTCTTTCTTCTCACATTTCTTCATCAGGGACCCATGGAGTATCTCTCCAGGACATGCATAAAATAATGACTTCACTCTCTTTGCTGCCAAGCTTGGATCCAAGCCGGAGTGACATGCTAGTAGGACCTGCATGTCACTGCTCATCACCGAGTCTAGAGACACAAAGCACAGTGCTTCATGTGTGAGATACTTAGCAAACACCTGCTGAAAGAAGCCGTGAATTTCATGATGATAGAATGGAGGTCCAGCCTGGCTCTTTTCATTTGATCCAGGATTGCCAAATGAGTGAGGCAGAGCTTGGGTACCAGCTGATGGTGTGCCTTCATCACCCCTTCCCTACCCCCCACTTTACAGAGTAGGAGAACTTTCTTTCTTTCTTTCTTTTCCTTTTTTTTTTGAGATGGAGTCTCACTCTGTCGCCCAGGCTGGAGTGCAGTGGTGCAATCTCAGCTCACTGCAAGCTCTGCCTCCCAGGTTCTCGCCATTCTCCTGCTTCAGCCTCCCGAGTAGCTGGGATTACAGGCACCCGCCACCATGCCCAGCTAATTTTTTGTATTTTTAGTAGAGACGGGGTTTCACCGTGTTAGCCAGGATAGTCTCAATCTCCTGACCTCGGGATCTGCCCGCCTCAGCCTCCCAAAGTGCTGGGATTACAGGCGTGAGCCACCGAGCCCAGCCGAGAACTTTCTTCCTATCTCACATAGTTATATTAATTTTGGCTAATTATTTTCTAATGGTCATGTTTAAGATGAGCCAAGAGCTTGAACACTCTAGTAGACTAAATTTCTCTGATGTAAAAACCATCTGGAAGTGGCCAACGAAGCCTGATACTGAAATGGGAGAGTTCCCTTACCCCTTTGTGGGACTTGTGGGACTGAAAATCCACAAGGTGTGTGTGGCTCATTTGCTCAGCTGCTGCACACTCAAATCCCTTACAGGAAGGGGAGCATGCAGATGGGCAAGTGCAGGACCCAGGTGAGCACTTTTGGGTTTCAGCCCCATGGCCGCATCTAGGGGTGTGTTACAATTAATGCTCTTTTAGCAGTTGCCATCCATGGACGGCTAAGTGTTAAACCAGCTCAGTGGAGAGTCAGGGGCACAGCCTTTTACACCATGCCCTCTTGGTACCCAGGTCCTTGTCCAGTGTCCAGAAAGAATCAGGTCACATGGACTTGAAGGATGGTGGATGTGGGGATTTTATTAAGTGTTGGAGGTGGCTCTCAGTGGGATGGATGGGGAGCTGGAAAGGGAATGGAGTGGGAAGATCATCTTCCCTTGGAATTTGGTCATCCTGTGGCCGATCTCTCCTCTGATTGTCCCCAGCCGAATTCCTCTCGAAGTTGTGATTTTCCTTCTCTTCTCTCCTTCTCTGCTGCACCACTCTGCTGCTTTTCTGCTGGTGGAGCCTGGGGTTTGGGGTTTTTATGTGTAAAGGATGGGGGTGTGGCAGGCCAGGATGGTCTTGGAAAAGGCAGCATTTGGGTGTGAAAACAAGAATTTCTGTTTCCATTTAGGGCTGTGGGTTTGCAGACTTGAGGGTGGGGCCTTTGCTGAGGAACTGCCCTCTTCTACCCAGTATTTCCCTGTCTCCTATCTGTATCAGTACAGGGGTTCCACAAACTCATCTGAGTCCCAGGTTCTTTCCACCTTTCTGCTCTGCTGTTCTCAGGGGTCCTCCCCATCCTGATGCTTTCAGAACAGTTCCTAGAATTCCAGCCGTGTCTGCTTACAAGCAGGAGGAAGACAAAGAGCAAAGGGCACAAAGCCAGTATGCAACCCAAATACGCACACCCTTATCATGATTTTAAGATTTGCCAAATCCTCACCAAACAGCTTCTCATTATATTTCATTGGCCAGAACTTAGTCACTGGGCTGCCATATTTGCACAGGATGATGAGAAATGTAGGTTTCTCTTTTTTTAAAAAAAACAGGTACATTGCCTCCACCCACAGTAATAGTGAGATCTTGTAGATACAGTAAAAAAGAAGGGAGACTAGAGTTTCAAAAATTGTTACCTATTTCCCTGCTTGTTTAGAGACAGAGTCTTGCTCTGTTCCCCAGGCTGTAGTGCAGTGGTGTGATCATAGCTCTCTGCAGACTCGAACTCCTGGGCTCAAAAGATCCTCCCACTTCAATCTCCTGAGTAGCTGGGACTACAGACATGTGACACCACAACTGGATATTTTTTAAATTTTTGTGTAGAGATGGGGGTCTTGCTGTGTTGGCCAGGCTGGTCTCAAGCTCTTGGGTTCAAGTGATTCTCTAGCCTCAGCCCCCCAAAGTGCTTCAATTACAGGTGTAAGCCACCATGCCTGGCCAAGACTAGATATTATCAAAGCAACTAAGTGTCTTTATTTTCAATTGAAGCTTTTCACTGATGAACATTAAAAATGAAGGTTTAGGCCTGGCATGGTGGCTCATGCCTGTAATCCCAGCACTTTGGGAAGCTGAGGCAGGTGGATCATTTGAGGCCAGGAGTTTGAGACCAGCCTGGGAAACATAGTAAAACCTGATCTCTACTAAAAAAAATAAAAAAATAAAATAAAAAAATTAGCCAGGCGTGGTGGTGTTTGCCTATAATCCCAGCTACTGGGCAGCTGAGGCATGAAAACTGCTTGAACCCAGGAGGTGGAGGTTGCAGTGAGCCAGGATTGCACCACTACACTCCAGCCTGGGTGACAGAGCGAGACTCTGTCTCAAAGAAAAGTGAATATAAATCAATATACATGAAATATATAACCCACTACATTTTAAAAAAATAATATGAAAATAAGAGAGCCATCTACTCTAGGCACAGTTCCATCTCCTACCACATGGCTCTGGGGTCTTGAACTTGAAAGGAGAAACACTGAGCAGGATGGTGCCTAGCAGTAGCTGATTCCACTGGGGTTCTGATAGTGAAGCAAAGCCTGTTACCATGGTCTAGACCCCCTTCTTTTCTGAGATGGGCCTGCAAAGAAGTTGTTTTGGTTTGGCACCTTTATGCCTCTTGCTTGATAGGAAAGACCAAAAATATTTCCAGGATAGACCAACAGCTGCCTCCAGTCCCCTCTGTTTGGCCCATGTCCAGTTGGCCCATGAGCTTCTGACTACCTCTGACAACCACTGGTAGCACTTCCTGGGTGTTCATCATGTCCAGGGAGCTACAGATACTTTATCTCTTTTAAGTCTTATGAACAATATTCTAAGATAAAGGTCCTTATTTCATGGATAAAGCTCTTTGAGCCCTGTGAGAATACCTCCACTGCCACTGGACAGAATCTTTCTTCACTCTCCGAGCCTGGGGCAGAACGTTGATCTTGCACCTTTGTGGCTATTGGTTCGAATTCCTCCTATTGGTGTCCCCATCATCTAAGGACCTTGTTTTTTCCTTTTTCCTTTCTTCTACAGGCAGTGGCTGGAGCACTGGACTCAGGGTCAATGAGGAGCAAAGAGGAAACAAAATATAAACATGTACAATTATACAGGTTGACCTAGCTCCCCCTGTTAAGTTCTCAAGGAGAAGAGAGTACTGCACAGCATGGTGACTGTGCTTGATGAAATAAAATATGAGTTTGGGTTTTCTTTATTAGAAAAATCCCTTGTTCCTTCAACCTCGGCATGGAAGCCTCTTGATGCAATCGTCAAGGCTGCAGTGCATGGCTCCAAGCAGATCTTTTTGCCCCAGATGCTATAACAACAGGTGCTGCACATAGATGTGCAGATGTAATTGTATCCCAGTTCATTAAAATGAGCTGTCATAAAGTCAGAATAAAATGAGAAGAAATCAATTGGAAAAGGATGAATTGTTTTAAAACCAATCAGGTGATATTGTTGAGTATTTTTAAAAAGAAAATATTGATTTAAAAAACAAAGAAGCTGGTGAGGTCAGGAGTTCAAGACCAGCCTGGCCACGTGGTGAAACCTCATCTCTACTAAAAATACAAAAACTTAGCCTAACGTGGTGGCGGGCACCTGTAATCCCAGCTACTTGGGAGGCTGAGGCAGGAAAAATCGCTTGAACCCAGGAGGCAGAGGTTACAGTGAGCCAAGGTCACGCCATTGCACTCCAGCCTGGGCAACAAGAGCGAAACTCTGTCTTAAAAAAACAAAACAGGGCTGGGCGAGGTGGCTCACGCCTGTAATTCCAGTACTT
This sequence comes from Homo sapiens, assembly GCF_000001405.40. Taxonomy (NCBI): domain Eukaryota; kingdom Metazoa; phylum Chordata; class Mammalia; order Primates; family Hominidae; genus Homo; species Homo sapiens. The sequence continues at coordinate 127,791,516 of NC_000010.11, read as the reverse complement.
TGGGAGGCCGAGGCAGGCAGATCACGAGGTCAGGAGATCGAGACCATCCTGGCTAATGTGGTGAAACCCCGTCTCTACTAAAAATACAAAAAATTAGCTGGGCGCAGTGGCGGGCACCTGTAGTCCCAGCTACTCAGGAGCCTGAGGCAGGAGAATGGCATGAACCTGGGAGGTGGAGCTTGCAGTGAGCTGAGATCGCACCATTGCACTCCAGCCTGGGCGACAGAGCCAGACTCCATCTCAAAAACAAACAAACAAGCAAACAAAAACAAACAGAAAGAAAAAGAAGTTAGAATTGTAAGTTCTTAAAATACATGATGCCTGCCCTTTGTTTTTAAGGTTTAGTACATTCTATGTGATCTTTCATTAAGAGAGGTATTAGAGAAAGGAAATCTGTAACAGATGCAATTGGCTAAAATAGTCAGTAAAACTTTATCAATTCAGAACTTCAGCCCAAAGATGAAATGACTTTGGAGATCAGAAAGTATATTTAACTCTTTAAAGAGGAGAGATCTTCATGTTTAAGTGTGTCAACAACACCATTTTTATTTTAAAAGTTGTGCTAATTGACCTCTATCTGTATGTATCATTTTAAAAGCCCTGGGAGGCATTCTCCATTTAGCCATTCACTATTGTTTAGATTTATAATTTACAAAACAGCATAGAAGCTATAATACCAAGTTTTTAAAAATTCACACTTGCTTTTCTTTCAGCTAATCTGAGCAATGATGTTTTCTTGAACAGAGAATGCATTCTCATGACACACAGTGTTTAAAACTCCACAGACATGCACCGAGTGCCTGGCCACACACTGTGCTGAGCTCTGGGAATACAACAGTAACCAAAGAGGGGCCCTTGCTCTGCAGGAGCTGGTTGCAGGGAAGACAGATAAGCAATGGACTGAAAGGCTCTGGAAATGAGGAACCTGTTACAGAAAAGCTCCGTACAACAATGCAGAAGCCTCCAGATGAATGCCAGTGCCCTACTTCCTTGCAAAGAAAATGGTCCCAAGTGATTCTCTGTGGCCCATGCTCTGTGTGGCGAATGGCTTATTCACCATGCACAAGTGCTTTCATGGCACCTCACTCAAAGCTGATGGAACCAGAGTTGGTGCTTGAGCAGGAAGCAGCCCGACATGGAGGTTTCCTGCCAGAACGCTGCAGCAAGCCAAGCCTCTTTTTCGGAAGTTGTATGAGAGGGAGGAGGGTAGATATGGTAGGTCGGGGAGTGTGTTTGAAGTCAAGAGTTTTGTCTGACTCTGGCTCTCACCCTTACTAGTTACAATGCATGGTCTAACTGGCATGTAACATCCGTAAAATGCCTTGAAAGAACCTGTGTCCTTGGGCAAATTAATGTTCAAGTCCTCATCTTGTCATCTGTACAACTGCTGATCATAATACTTTCCTCACATAATTGTTGACAGTTTCAATATTATATAATTACAGTGTGTTTTATTGTGCCTAGCTTATAGAAATGGCTAAGCAAAGGATATTTTGCCTTAAATATGAATGTTCATGGAATTAAGAGAAGGGGGCCTGCGTGAACCTAGACGGTGTACAATAATGCTGAACTCCTTGTGCTCTGGGTCTGGGTTGAGCCTGATTCAGCCTTGGAAGTGAGAAAATTCAGAATGATTAAGTAGCTGATGAGGACATAAGAATATTTTCCATCTTGCCACACATTTCTATAAAATCTTGCAGCAAAACTCTAGTACTTAATGATACTTTTGTATTAGAAAAGAAACACACAGATTAGTTTTAAACAACTAAAATCATGTCAAATGGCCAAAAAACAATAATAATAAATATATCATTGAAAAGCATGACTGAGACTTATTTTACAATGAAGATACATTGTAAAATAAACCTATAACTGTCATGAGTTTTTATGTACCGAATAATATAAAATATTGTTAGCACCACCACTGTGCGTAAAATATACAATAGCATCAATATGCATGAAATGTAAACTGCAAACAATGTAAGAACAAAGTGGATAGAAACATAATAGTAGCAAGAGACTTTAAGTAACCTCTAATAGCTGATCAAAGACCTAACAGAGAAAAAATAACATGTGACATGGTCGTTCTTAAAAACATAATTGATAAAAGTACCTAATAGATATATCAAACTTTATCCCATTCTACCTGTGAATACATCTATTTTTTCACTGTTTATGATGCACCATTAACAAACATTGATGTAGGTTAGACTACAAATAGCTCAATAAATTCCTTCCAAATGTAGAACAGATGCAGACCCTCTGGCATAATGCAATATACTTGTAATTTTTAACGAGTATATTGTATTTTTAACAAATACAAAACTGAAAAACTCAAGGAAATTTTAAGTACTTTAAAATATTTAAAATTTCAGAAAAATCTCTCAACTATTTGTACTGACAGTGCCTTAGTCAGTTCGGGCTTTCATAGCAGAATACCATAGACGGGCTGGCTTAAATAACTGAAATTAATTGCTTGCAGTTCTCGTGGCTGGAATTCTGAGATCAAGTTGCCAGCACGGTTGGGTTCTGGTGAAGGCTCTCTCTCTGGTTCACAGATAGTTATCTTCTTGCTGTGTCCTCTCATCGGGGAGAGTAGAAAGTGGGAAAGCAGAGGCTCTCCTGTCTTTTTATAAGGGCACTGCTTGACCTAGTTACATTCCAAAAGTTCCAGCTCCTAATACCATCACATTGGGGGCCAGGATTTCAACATATAAATTTTGGGCAAACATCCACTTCATAGGAGGCAGAGAAGGGAAGCAGTCACTTGAGCCCCTGAAGATAATAATCTTTAAAAAATGGGTTAAAATAGAAAAACCAACTCTTTAAAGACACTAGGAAGCATCCAAAAACAAATAGAAGCCAAGGGAGTTTAATTTCAAAAGATTGCAAAGGGAAGTGGCAGCAATTTTGAGTTTGTGGCTCATGAGCACCAGAAGGATGATCAACCCCAATTATGGCTCTTAGGAATGATGGCTGGACAAAACATGGCCTTCCTGCCAGAAGTCAGAGTTCAGAGCTGAAAAAACAGCTGAAAATTGAAAGTGGAAATTATGGCAATACCAACACCTCAGAAAAGGTAAGACCCAAATTCAGGAATAAGCTCCAAAACTCTGGCTGATGCTAAATATGCCATTGTAGATGAGACCACAAGGGACCCCATAAAAAGCAACAAGAGGATGGAGAGAACTAGATTCTTGAAAGATAATCCACACATCTATGTAGAAACACAGAAGTGAGTTTGATACTTTTAAAAAACTGTCTGTATTCTCCAGTTATGAGGAGACTGAGTGACAGCTGAAGTTGAGTGGGCTTGAAATGTTACAATGCAGAGCCCAAATCCAGCAGAGTAACTGAAAATGAGAATCTCTACAAGGAAGAAAAACAGAGAGGTGAAGCCTCATCTCTGCTTAAATTATTGTCTGACCACCAAATTTCACAAGCACAGGGGAGACATACAGGTGGCAACCTACGAACGGAGCAGAGGAAGCCCTATGAATACACAGCAGCAGCTGCTTACTGGGGGGAGATGGAATTTGCAGTATGAATCCAGAAAAAAACCAATAATCCTCAGAAAAATTATCATACACTTATTACCACATGTAATTTACATTTTCTAGTTTTAAACCAAAAATCACTAGACATGTAAAGAAATAGGAAAGTATGACACATAGGAAGAAAAGAAGTCAACAGAAATTGACTTCTTTCCTTATTGTTGGAGCTGTTTGTTGAATTCATAGATGCTATGATATATATATTCAGAGAATTAAAATAAAATACATTTAAATAATTGGAGAAAATATGCTAGTAATGAATGGATAGACAAACTCAATAGAGGAAAGCAAACAATAAAAAGTCTTGGAGCAAAGAGTTCAATAATGAAATAAAAATTTGCTAGTTGGGTGCAACAGCACTTTATAAAGAGCAGAAGAATAAATAAACTTGACGATGGATTAATAAAAATTACTAATAAAAAATAAAAATAAAAATGTGACAAAAAGAGAGAACAAGTATTGAAGATTAATGAACGAAACTTCAGAGACCTATGGACAATATGAGGCGGCCCAACATACGTGTATGGGAATCTCAGGAAAGAAAAGAGAGAAAACAGAAAAAGTATCTATTTGATAAAATAAATTTGGTGGAAATCATTATTTTATAGATTCAAGGATCTCAACAAACCTCTTGCAGTACAAACACCAAAAAGTTGTTTCTAAACATACATAGTCAAATGCTGAAAGCCAAAAAGACAGAGGAACAATATTGAAAGCGTTAAGAAACAAAGAAACATATCACAGATAGAGGGGCAGTGACAAGATTAAGGGCTGACTTCTTTTCAAAACCTTGGGAACTAGAAGACATTGGAAAAAAATATTCAAAGTGCTGAATAAAACCAAACCAAACCAAACAAACAAATAAAACTCTCTCAATTAAAAATTTGATGTCCAGTGGAATCATCTGTCAAAAATAAAGGTAAGATAAAAACATGTTCAGATAAACAAAAAACTGAGAGAAATTGGTAGAAGCAGACACGTACAACAACAACAAATTGGTAAGGCAAATTCTTCAGGCTGAAGGAAAACAGCACAAATAACGCTGATTTACCAGAGGCATGAAGAGTACCAGAAATGTTGAGTATGTGGCTACATGAAAGACATTATTAATATATACATTGTCTCTTAATTTTCTTGAAAGATCTGTGACTTTGTAAAGCAAATATGATGGCACTGTATTGATGGATTTGTAACACCTATAGATGAAATCTATAAGGCAATAATATCACAAAGAAGGTGTGTGGGGATACACAGAAATATATAGTTTTGAGTTTCCTGTATTTTACTTGCAATAATTCAATATTAACTTTAAGTAGTTTGATGAAAATTTAAGATGTATATTGTAACTCTTAGAGCAACCACTAAAAAGTAATGCAAAGAGGTAGCTACAAAGCCACTAAAGGAATTAAAATGAAATATTGAAATATTTCTCTCTATATATTTCTCTCTCTCTCACAGACACACACACACACACACACACACACACACACACACACAATCTCTCTCTCTCTCAAGGCAGGGCATGAAGAAGAGATGAAAAATAAACAAATAAGACAAACTCTAAAAATAGTAAAATAGCAATCTTAAATACAATAATATTAATAATTGAAATGAACTAGATACTTTTCAAAAGACAGTATAGAAATTCAAGAACTATTAATATATACTATTACAAGATATTTACTTTGAATATAAAAACAAATCGACTGAAAGTTACAGCCTGGTTAAGGATACCCTATGAAGACTTTGAACGGGAGTTGCTACATTGATACCATACAAAATAGATTTAAAGGCTGGACATATTACTACAAAGAGGAACATTTTGTACATCAAGACAATATAACTACATTTTGCTATGAAAAGAAATTGTGTATATGTGAGATCAAATCTATCAATCCTTTTTCTTTTTTTCTTTTTTTTTTTTTTTGAGACAGAGTCTCACTCTGTCGCCCAGATTGGAGTGCAATATCCTGGTCTCAGCTCACTGTAACCGCCACCTCCCAGGTTCAAATGATTCTCCTGCCTCAGCCTCCTGTCTCAGCCTCCTGTCCCAGCTGGGACTATAGACGTGTGCCACCACACCCAGCTAATTTTTTTGTATTTTTACTAGAGGCTGAAGTACAGTGGTGCAATCACAGCTCACCGCAGCCTTGCCAGGGCTCAGGTGATCCTCCCACCTCAGCCTCCCAAGTAGCGGGGACTACAGGCACAGACCACCATGCTGAGCTATTTTTTGTAGAGACAGGGTTTCACTATATTGCTCAGGCTGGTCTTGAACTTCTGGGCTCAAGAGATCCAACCACCTCGGCACTCCCAAGTGCTGGGATTACAGGCGTGAGCCACTGCACCTGGCCTGTCAATCCTTTCTCTTACTGTTTTTGGGTTTTGACTTTTCTCCACTCCCATATTAAAGACAGATTCACTCACAGTTTCTTCTAGTACTTAAAAGGTTTCATTTTTTTTTACATTTACATTTCTGATCCTGTTTCACCAACATAAAAAAATATAGAATAATCATTAGAAATTTTTGCCTCGGCCGGGTGCAGTGGCTCACACCTGTAATCGCAGCACTTTGGGAGAGCCGAGCTGGGTGGATCTCTTGAGCCCAGGAGTTGAAGACCAGCCTGAGCAACATAGTGAAACCCTGTCTCTACAAAAAATAGTTCAGCATGGTGGCCTGCGCCTGTAGTCTCAGCTACTTGGGAGGCTGGGGTGAGAGGATCACCTGAGCCCTGGCAAGGCTGCAGTGAGCTGTGATTGCACCACTGTACTCCAGCCTGGGTGACGGAGTGAAACTCTCTCTCAAAGAAAAAAAAAATTATGGCTCTACTGTATTTTATTTTCTTTTTACCTTTTATTTTAAGTTCAGGGGTATATGTACAGGTTTGTAACGTAGGTAAGCTTTTATCATGGGATTTTTTTGTACAAGTTATTTTATTACCCAGGTATTAAGCTTAGTACCCACTATTTATTATTCCTAATTCTCTCCTCCCAACCTCCTCCCACCCTCCACCTTCTGAAGAGCCCCAGTGTGTGTTGTTTACCTTTATGTGTCCATGTGTTTTCATCATTCAGCTCCCGCTTGTAAGTGAGAACACATGATACTTGGTTTTCTGTTCCTGTGTTAGTTTGCTAAGGACAATAGCCCCCAGCTACCTCCATGTCCCTGCAAAGAACATGATCTCACCTCTTTTTTATGGCTGCATAGTATTCCATGGTGTATATGTACCACATTTTAAAAATCCAGCCTATCACTGCTGGACTTTAAGGTTGATTCCATGCCTTTGCTAATATGAAAATAGATGCAATGAACACATGCATGCATGTGTCTTTATAACATAATGATTTATATTCCTCTGAGTATATACCCAGTAATGAGATTGCTGGGTTGAATGGTATTTTTGTCTTTAGATCTTTGAGGAATTGCCACACTGTCTTCCACAATGGCTGAACTAATTTACACTCCCACCAACAGTGTATGAGTGTTCCTTTTTCTCTACAACCTTGCCAGTATCTGTTATTTTTTTGACTTTTTAGTATTAGCCATTATGACTGGTGTTAGATGGTATCTCATTGTGGTTTTGATTTGCATTTCACTAATGATCAGTGATGTTGAGCTTTTTTTCATGTGAGTGCTGGCCACATGTATGTCTTCTTTTGAAAAGTGTCTGTTCATGTCCTTTGCCCACTTTTAATTGGGTTGTGTTTATTTTCTTATAAATTTGTTTAAGTTTCTTATAGCTACTGGATATTAAACCTAGTTGGATGCATAGTTTGCAAAAATTTTCTCCCAATCAGTAGGCTGTTTACTTTGTTGATAATTTCTTTTCTTTAGCTTCTTTTTACTTTAATTAGATCCCATTTGCCAATTTTTGCTTTTGTTGAAATTGCTTTTGGCATCTTTGTCATGAAATATTTGCCTGTGCCTACATCCTGAATAGTATTGCCTAGGTTGTCTCCCAGGGTTTTTATAGCTTTGGGTTTTACATTTAAGTCTTTAATCCATCTTGAGTTGATTCTTGTATATGGTGTAAGGAGGGGGTCCAGTTTCAATCTTCTGCATATGGCTAGCCATTTATGCCAGCACCATTTATTGAATAGGGAATCCGTTCCCCATTGCTTGCTTTTGTCAGGTTTATCTAAGATCAGATAGTTGTAGGTGTGAAGTCTTATTCCTGGGTTCTCTATTCTGTTCCATTGGTCTATGTATCTGTTCTGGTACCAGTACCATACTGTTTTGGCTACTGTAGCTCTGTAGTAGAGTTTGCAGTCGGGTAGCATGATGTCTCCAGCTTTGTTCTTTTTGCTTAGGATTGTCTTGGCTATTTGGGCTTATTTTTGGTTCCATATGAATTTTAAAATAGTTTTCTCAAATTCTGTGAAGAATGTCAATAGTAGTCTAATAGGAATAGCATTGAATCTACAAGTTGCTTTGGGCAGTATGGACATTTTCGCAATATTGATTGTTCCTATCCATGAGCATGGAATGTTTTTCCATTTGTTTGTGTCATCTCTTATTTCTTTGAGCAGTGGTTTGTAGTTCTCCTTGTAGAGATCTTTCACCCTGCTGCTGAGCTGTATTCCTAAGGATTTTATTGTTTCTGTGGCAATTGTGAACGGGAGTTCATTCCTGATAAGGTTCTCGGCTTGATCGTTGTTGTTGTATAGGAATGCTAGTGATGTTTGCACATTGATTTTGTATTCTGAGACTTGGCTGAAGTTGTTTATCAGCTTAAGAAGCTTTTGGGCTGAGACTACGGGGTTTCGTAGATATAGGATCCTGTCATCTGCAAACAGGGATAGTTTAACTCATTCTATAAGGCCAGCACCATCCTGATACCAAAACATGACAGAGATACAACAAAAAAAGAAAACTTCAGGCCATATCCTTGATGAATATTGATGCAAAAATCCTCAACAAAACACTGGCAAACCAAATCCAGCAGTACATTGAAGAGCTTACCCACCACAATTAAGTAAGCTTCATCCCCAGGATGCAAGCTTGGTTCAACATACATAAATCAATAAATGTCATTCATCACATAAACAGAACAAAAGACTAAAACCACATGATGATCTCAATAGACGCAGAAAGGCTTTTGATAAAATTCATCATCCATTCATGTTAAAAACTCTCAATAAACTATGTATCAAAGGAACATGCCTCAAAATAATAAGTGCCATCTATGACAAACCCACAGCCAACATCATACTGAATGGGCAAAGGCTGGAAGCATTCCCCTTGAAAACTAACATAAGACAAGGATGCCCTCTCTCACCTCTCCTAGTCAACATAGTATTGGAAGTTATGGTCAGGGCAATCAAGCAAGAGAAAGAAATAGAGGGCATCCAAATAGGAAAAAAAGAAATTTTTGTCTCAGAATATGTAAAAGGTCCTGACTCCGCATAACTGAATCAAAATGACATTTGGTAGTTAAGAATGATTGTATTTTCAGTTGCATTTACATGGTAAATAATCAGCAAAAAATTTCAAGGTATGAAAACAAAACTTCCCAAATATCTTCTGTTTTCAGCATCAAAGGGGAGGGAAATTTGGCAAGTGTGAAATAGCTCAGGCTCCTCACAGTTTTCTTGTGGGTTACTTTAAAATGAGCAGGAAGCTGCAAGGATGAGGTTTGAGAATGAATCATTTCTGGAAAGTGCAGAGCTGTGATTTTGGCTTCCCAGCGTGGTTAAGGTCATCGTATTCCTCTTTGTTATTAGTGACTTTCAGAGGGTCTTTCATACCTGTCCAGCCAGGGTGATGTGTGGCTCCATGCTGTGGAGCCCAGCCCACCAGCATGAAGAAGGGTAAGGTTACGTGACAGCAGTGAGACAGGCAGACAGCAGTAGGGCCTGAGGAATCTCCACACGCTCCACTCCAAGGGGGTTCCATGTCTGACTTTTCATAACTATAACTTATATGGCACTATTGAGATCCTGGTTAAGTTTCTCACTTTATAGAAGCTATTATAGTACAGTTAATATTTTGCTCTTTGCAGAGAACACACTTTCTAGGTTTAGAAAACACATATACACGTATACACACTCACATACTTTATCTGTCTTCTATCTTTTCTGGCTTTTACACAAGATTTACTGCTATGTTGTTTCTTTAGAAAACAAAATTGATTTGGATAACCATTGTTATTATCAAATAACATGTGTCAAAATTAGGTGTAACTGTGTATGTATAAATGAGACATGTGGAAGTAATTTGTATAAATCACAACTCCTATGGTTTGCAAGTGTTGGATTATGTGAGGATCTTGCAGTCAGAGGCCCTAATTCAAATTGTCTTAGTATGTTACAAGCACTAAGGTTAGGGGAGAGTGATGCTCTTGGAATATCCTCCAATTACACAATGATTTACGAGGCCTGTGAACAGCTGTGTCCTTTAGTAATTAAATTGGAACCTGCTTTTAGTTCATCTTTAGGAGGGTGGGACTCCCATGAGGTATGGTGGGAAGGACCCACAATTTGAAATCTTCAGGCTTAGGTCAGAGCCCTTGTTTGGTTTCTTTGTGGCTAATTGATCAGAGACAATCCACTTGGACTCTCAGCCTCAATTTCTGTATGTGGAAAATCATGATGAAAATAATGTATGCACCTTAGCAGTTGTTTGTGGGGCTCTGACGGATAATTTTTGTGTAATAGGCAAAACTGCTTTGTGGTTGTGAGAGAACTTGAGCCAGACTATTTGGGTTCACATCCCATATCTTTACTTAGTTGCTGTGTCATTTTGGGCACTTTAATCAATCCTCTCTGTGCCTCAGTTTCCCCTTCTATAAAGCAAGGATAACAATAAGTCCTAGTTTATAGGGTGTGAGGGTTACATGAAATAATTCATATAGATCAGTGGGAATAAAGTCTGGGATGTAGGATATTAGCTATGATCACTAAAAATGAAAGGATGTTTAGAGAGAGATGCTGCAGAATAAAAAATTAAATAAATAAAAAATGTCCTACCAACTGCAGGACATTTTCCAGGAACTTTGTACGTAGTTTCTTATTCAGTCCTCACAGAAACCCTATGAGGTCGTGTGCCTTTTACCATGGCAGAAAGAGAAACCCAGGAATCTCACAAATTAAACAATTTTCCCAAAGTCATCCTGATGGTAAATACAGAGCCAGTGTATGAAGCCGATGCTCATACCTCTTCACTCCACCATGATTGTTTTCAAAAGCAAGTGGGCACAACCATTTCCAAGTAATCCCCTCCCCACTGGGCCAGCCCCTCTTGGCACCAGAAGCATCTGCTCTACGGATTTGTCCTGAGAAGCAAGTCCTAACTCCCTACAGGACTTGGACCTGCTTAGCCTCCCAGCCACATCTGGTGCCCCTTTCCATGCTGGACGCCAGCCATACTGATCTGCTGTCCTTTCCCTGAAACATGCCAACTTCTCCATTGCCTTTAAGGCTTTGTAGGTCCCCACTACCTGGAATACTCTTACATTCTTGTTCAGTATTTTTTATTTGAACAAAACTGTAGGTCATAAAGACAGGCAAAAGGTTTGGAAAACAATCTCAAGGACCTACATTTATTTTGTTTATTCGTGAGCTTTGCTGAGAATTATCTTTCTGTGTAAGAGAAAGTAGACAAGGAGACAGAATATTTATTGCTCTGTGGGCTGAACTCGAAGTCTGTTTATCTGACTAATCAGGTTGAAGCAATGGGCTTAAGCAAGAATAAATTTGGTCTGTTCTGTGTTCTTTATCATTAGAGATCCTCTTCTGCCTTCCTGGACACTCAATATACAGAAGAAATGGCTCCCTGAAATGACAAATTATTTCATTATGGAGACTTTTTTATTTTTAAAGAATATAATCTTTCAAGAAAAGGCTCATATTAACTCTAAAGTTGGCCACACATGTATTAGAAAAACAGCATTGTATTAGTCTGCTTTCATGCTGCTGATAAAGATGTATGCAAGACTGGGTAATTTATACAGGAAAAAGGGTTTAATGGGCTTACAGTTCCACATGGCTGGGGACCTCACAATCATGGCAGAAGTCAAGGAAGAGCAAGTCAAGTCTTACGTGGATGACGGCAGGCAAAGAGAGTGCTTATGCAGAGAAACTCCTGTTTTTAAAACCATCGGCTCTCATGAGACTCATTCACTATCATGAGAACAGTGTAGGAAAGATCTGCCCCCATTATTCAATCACCTCCCACTGGGTTCCTCCCATGACATGTGGGAATTGTGGGAGTTACAATTCAAGAAAAGATTTGGGTGGGGACACAGCCAAACCATATCAAGCATGAAATCATAAAAATGTTTATTACAGGATAGCAGGATATGTAGTGGTAGTTCATAAAAGATGCCTGTTATTACTGGGTTTAATTATAGCCCAGACTTTCCCCCCTTTTTTCTCTTCATTCCTCTAAAAATATGGCTGTATACTGGGAGCTTGCTGGAGAGGAGAAAATGCAATGCTCCATCACAACTTGTACAGTCATGCACTGCACAATAATGTCTCTGTTCATGACAGTTTGCATACATGACAGTGGTCCCATAAGATCGTAATGAACAATTCCTATGGCCTAGTGATATAGCTGTCATAATGTTGTAGCTCAGTGCTACTCTCATGTTTGTGGCGATGCTGGTGTAAGCAAACCTACTGCACTGCCGGTTCTGTAAAAGCATAGCACGTACAATTACGTACAATTCATAATACTTGATAATGATACATGATTATGTTACTGGTTTGTTATTTACTATACCATACTTTCTATAGTTATTTTAGAGCATACTCCTACTTATTACAAATTAAGTTAAGCCGGGTGTGACGGCTCACACCTGTAATCCCAGCACTTTGGGAGGGTGAGGTAGGTGGATTGCTTGAAGTCAGGAGTTCAAGACCAGCCTGACCAACATGGTGAAACCCCATCTCTACTAAAAACACAAAATTCACCAGGCGTGGTGGTGCACACCTGTAATCCCATGCCTGTAATCCCTCCTGTAATCTCAGCAGGCTGGAGCAGGAGCTGGGAGGCAGAGGTTGAAGGGAGCTGAGATCACACCATTGCACTCCAGCCTGGGTGACAGAGCAAGACTCCATTTCAAAAATAATAATAATAATAAATAAAAGTTAACTGTAAAACAGGCTTAGGTACGACTTGAAGGAGGTCTTCCAGAAAAAGGCATTGTTATCATAGGAAGTGACAGCTCCAAGCATTGTATTGTCCTTGACGACTTTCTAGTAGGACAAGGTGGAGTGGAAGACAGTGATACTGATGATGCTGACCCTGTGTAGGCCTTGGCTACCATTTGTGTTTGTGTCTTTGCTTTCTCCAAAACTTCTAAAAAGTTATTATAAAATTTTTTTTATAGATAAAAGCTGATAGAATAAGAATATAATGAAATAAAATATTTTTGAACAGTTATATAATGTGTGTTTAAGCTGTTATTACAAAAGAGTCAAAAAGTTAAAAAATTTGAAAGTGTATAAAGCCAAAGAGTTACAGTAAGTTAAGGTTACTTTATTATTGAAGAAAGAAAAATATTTTTACATAAATTCAGTGTGGCCTAAGAGTACAGTGTTTATAAAGTCTTCGGTAGTGTACAGCAATGTTCTAGGTTTTCACATTCACTTGCCACTCACTGACTCACCCAGAGCAACTTCCAGTTCTGCAACCTCCATTCATTCATTGTAAGTGTCCTATCAGAGGTATTAGTCCGTTTTCATACTACTGTAAAGAACTGCCTGAAACTGGATAATTTATAAAGGAAAGAGGTTTAGTTGACTCACAGTTCAGCCTGGCTGGGGAGGCCTCAGGAAACTTACAATCATGGCGGAAGGTGAAGGAGAAGCAAGGCACCTTCTTCACAAGGCAGCAGGAAGGAGAAGTGCTGAGTGAAGGGGGAAGATCCCCTTATAAAATCATCAGATCTTGTGAGAACTCATTCACTATCTTGAGAACAGCATGGGGGAAAGCACCCCATGATTCAATTACCTCCACCTGGTCTCTCCCTTGACACATGGGGATTATGGAGATTGTGGGGATCACAATTCAAGATGAGATTTGGGTGGGGACACAGAGCCTAACCATATCAACAGATGACTTTAAAAAAAAAAAATCTTTTCCATGCCTGCAGTCCCAGCACTTTGGGAGACCAAGGCGGGTGGGTCACCTGAGGTCAGGAGTTTGAGACCAGCCTGGCCAACATGTTGAAACCACATCTCTATTAAAAATACAAAAAATTAGCTGGGTGTGGTGGCAGGTGCTTGTAATCCCAGCTTCTTGGGAGGCAGAGGAAGGAGAGTTGCTTGAACCCAGGCAGTGGTGGTTGCAGTGAGCTGAGATCACACCACCCCACTCCAGCCTGGGCAACAAAAGTGAAACTCCATCCCCAAAACAAACAAACAAAACGAAGCAAAAAATCTCTTCTACTGCATTTTTACTTTACATTTTCTATGCCTAGATATGTTTAGATACACGAATACTTACCATTGTGTTACAACTGTCTTCAGTATTCAGTAGAGTAGTGAAACCACCTTTGCAAAATTATGACTGAGACAGTGAAAGAAGTCTAACTTAACTGACTCCTTCTTGCTTCTAACCTCCAAGCTGTCCTTGTTCATTCCTGGGCGTAGACTGAACTAACTTTGGGAGAAAGTTTATAGTTTAAACAAAGACGGTAACAGCCCTTTTCCAAAGCAGACCTCCTTCTTGCCTGGGGACTAGATTGCCTTTGTAGGATGAATTTTAGCCACAAGATTAGACATTATGGTTTAGGAGTCATGCAGCTGGAGGCTGCAAGATTCTGAACCTCCCTAAACTGCTCCTAAGATCAGGGCTTGAGATGTTTTGCAGACTCTGCACGTGATGGATCAGCTGGCATCACCCAGATGGATAAACTGGTTCATCTGATCTTGTGGTCCCCACCCAGGAACTGACTCAGAACAAGAAGACAGCTTCGACTCCCTATGATTTCACCTCTGACCAATCAGTACCCCTGGCTCACTAGCTTCCCCCAACCTACCAAGATATTCTTAAAAACTCTGCTCCTCACATACTTAGGGAGACTGATTTGAGTAATAATAAAAATCCAGTCTTCTGCACAGCCAGCTCTGCATGAATTACTCTTTCTCTAATGCAATTCCCCTGTCTTGATGAATCAGCTCTGTCTAGCCAGCAGGCAAGGTGAACCGCTTGGGTGGTTGCAATAACATGGCATAAAGGTTTGTAGCCTAGGAGCAATAGGTTACACCTTATGGCCTGGCTGTGTAGTAGGCTATGCCCTCTAGGTTAGTGTAAATACACTCTATGATGTCCACCTAATAAGGAAATTGTCTAATGACATGGCTCTCAGAATGTGTTTCAATCATTAAGGTACACATGACGGTACTTAAAAATGTCTCTGGCAGTTTCTGATGCAAATACAGGGAGGTTCAACTTTTCTCTCTGAAGCTTCAAGTCTAAGTCTGGTGAAATGAATTGACAATAGACAGATTAGCAGAAAAAAAGGCAATTTGATTACTGTGTTGATAACCCAGCAACTCAACCAGGTAGAGGTGTGAATATGCCTTCTCTATAGGGTAGGGAGGAGATAGGGAATGCAGGCAATTCTTTGGAGGGGTAGTAAATAATTATTAGGTGAATGAATGGACCTAGGAGACAGAAATCATCTTGTAAATAATTCTTTTTGGAATTTGAATGAGCTCAGGAGGCAGACATTATCTTGTGAAAAAGTCCATCAAGGTGTGGTTATATTCCTTCCTTCTCACTCTTCTTTTCTTCAATACATGATGGGATTTCAGGGAGGGGATGGAAGGTGATTGTGTTCTATTTTCTTAAGGTAGAAAAGCGCATATCTGAGTAGACCAATTTCAGCATCTGCTGACCTTCAGGGGCCTTTAATTTAAAATAATCAGCATACCAGGATGCCATATGTTGGGGTGAAATTCCCTGGGTTCCTTCACAAATATACCAGAAAGATATCTTTCTTCCACCCCCCCGCCATAAATACACTCAACGTGTGTCAAGAACAATTTTCTGATGCTTCCAACTGTCACTCCCAGAATCTAAAGTTTAGTCTGTGCCAGTTTGCTAATGAGGCCCAAAGAGCACGTCCTTACAGACAGCACAGCCTCCAGCATGCCTTCAGCTACAGATAATCACGTGTTTATTAAATACTAGTTGAGCACCTACTGTATGCCAAGGCATCGTTCTAGGTCAGGGGTCAGCGAACTTTCTCTAAAAGGCCAGAGAGTAAATATTTTAGGCTTTTCAAACCACACATTATCTCTCCCACATATTCTTCTTTGTTTTTGTTTTGTGTGTGTGTGTGTGTGTGTGTGTATTGTTTTGTTACAACTGTCAGCTTAAAAATCACAAGATCTATAAATTTCACAAGGAGCACTTTATTTCTCAGAAGTGTGGTGCTGCAGGTTGGGAATCAGGGCCTCCAGCTGAGACAGAAAGGCACTTCGAGGGAGGAAGGGTGGAACAGGAGTTTCATGCTACACGGATTGGCTAAACATACATATTTAACAGGTTATAGGGTAACCGAACCCAGGTTTGGCTGCTCATTGCTCAGAAACCAAACAGGAGAGAGGAGAGTTGGTGGGGGGAAAAGCAGGTTTATTCAGAGAGCCAGCGAAACTGAGAACTGGCATTCTAAAGTATCATCTTAAGTCAGCACAGATTTTAGACTCTTTTATGTTAAGGGAATGGGGGCGGGGGGAAGATGACAGTTCATCAACAGTTCTTTTGCTACTCGATTCTTACAATAGGATGAACTAGAACTAGAATATTTTGTGGGGGGATCATGTGCACGTGTGGTAAGCAAACATATGTGTTACATATGTCCAGTGTTTACTTTGGGGTGGAGACTTAACATTAAAATGCTGTAAACCTAGGCTGTTTACCTCCAAAGGTGAAACTTTAGACGTAGGGGCGCTTAGTGCAACACCCTCTGTAAACTGGCAAAAGCTGCCTGTGGTCAGGGTCATTTAACAGGAAGGAAACTGGTCAGCTGTCAATATCAAACCCACAAAAAGTGCAAGGAGTCTGGCTGCAGTGTCAGGCACTGGTCAGTGGAGGAGTCTTTTGTTCTTTGTTTTCCAGGGCGGGTTTCTGTTTAACTCTTAGGGGGAAAAAAAAGGTCTGGCAATGGTTAGCTGGGAAAGGGTGTGTAATGAGGCACAACCAATCTCCCTCCTTTGATGGCCCTGAAATTTAGTTTTTAAAGTTTTCTGGAGTCTACTTGGCTAAGACTGGTCTGTTCAGTCAGTCAGGGGGCTTAGGATTTTATTTTAATTTCATAAAACAATTTACAAATATAAAAGCCACTCTTACCTCAGAGCAATACAAAAGCAGGCACCAGGCTGGATTTGCCCCGGTGCTATTTCAAGGGGACACTTTGAGGAAAAAACTCAATATGTTCCCTATCGCAAAGAGTAACTAGGAGTGTGCTGACCATTATCCCAGGAAGTAGGGGTTGTGAAAATGAAGATCAGGCCAAACTTAGAGAGGGCTTTCTGGAGGAGCTATGCTGCTGCGTGGGCTGAGTGGGGCTGGGAGGAAGCTTCAATGGGGAGGATGCAGGCAAAATAAGCAGGAAGAGGAAGGCTCTGCATGGTTCAAATTTGTGGGCTGAGGGGTGAGTGTGGCCTGAGAGGAGGCAGAGGCCTGAAGTCTCAGAGCCCTGTGGGATGTGCCAGTGATTTGGGGTTAGAAGGCAATAGGGAGCAGCTGAAAGAGTTAAGCAGGGATGAGCATTCTCCAACCTTGGCTGCAGAGGGGCATGAACGGAGGCAGCGACAGGGCAGAAGCTTGTCCAGAGACAGGCTGTGCAGGGACGCAAGAGGGAGAGGACAGGGCTGAGACTTCTCCACTGATCT
The DNA here is from genome assembly GCF_000001405.40 of Homo sapiens. Taxonomy (NCBI): domain Eukaryota; kingdom Metazoa; phylum Chordata; class Mammalia; order Primates; family Hominidae; genus Homo; species Homo sapiens. The sequence goes on along the minus strand of NC_000010.11, from coordinate 127,774,111 downwards.
TGAAGTTTGTCTGGGAGATACCAAGCCTCCTCTTTACAGAGGAATTGCTTGGGGAGGGGAAGGGGGACTTTGAGATTATCCTGGGCTGTTCCACCTTTCCCACAGCCCCTGGACCTTCCAAAGATGAACCAAGTCTCCATCTAGTGTGTCAGGTGCCATCAGCCTGGTTATGCTAACTCTTAGGCAGGGAGTGCCCTTCTCCCAGCAGAGCTTCCATTGGCCGCCGCCTGATGGAAAAGAGGCCCGAGTTCTCATGGGCAGAGCTTCTGCAAGCATCTCACCAGGGTCAGTTCCTTTGCTGTTTTTATGGCCTCTGCAGGAGTGTCCATGACCATGACCTCAGTCTCCTGTTGGCTTCACTTTCTAGTCAGGTCTTGGGGGTGCCTGGCCACAGCAGGTGTCATCTAATCGCCACAGTCCACCATACACATGCTTCTCACTCTGAGGGGTCAGCAACTTCACTGCGAAATGAGTCACTCGTTATAAGTGACTCCATTTTGGAAGATTTAGGATTACAAAACATTATTATACATCACCATCTACCCTACTGACCCGCGAATGGAAAGCCAAGTTCAGCTAACTTGTGCACTTGTCTTACAGGTCCTAAGAGTCCACTGGCGAGCTCCACACCTGTGCCCTGGGATTCTGAAGACTAGTTAGCCTGCTTTGTCCAAAGAGAGCCAACAATCCACTCAGGGAGATAGACAGGCAATGCAGTAAAAATACAAGAAGTAATTTAAAAATCTTGATAATTAGCAATAGGAAGAAAGCATTGTGGGAGGAGGTAGAATGCTGGATAGATGGTAAGGCAGCTTCCCACAAGCTATGGTGCTCTGAGCTGGACAGAACTTGCATTCTAGGACTCAAGTTCCTGTTATTTGGAGACTCTGGATATTTCCAGAGGTGAATGAAGGGATCTTTGTTTTGGGAAACCATCTTGGCCACACTATGGGAAATGGGTTCAAAAATGGAGTGATTTATGGCACAGAGAACCCATCTCTCTGATTTCTGCTTTTATTTTACTCATCTTGATGAACTTAACTGCCTGTCCATCAGGCAATGCCTGCAATGTGGGCAACTGTGGGAATGGACCTTCCCTCTCATCCTCGTCTATCCCAACACAGCCCTCATCCCAAATGCTGGAGCGACTCATTAACCAAGCCCAGCTAGAGAGACAAGAGCTACTGGATGATAATGACTCTCATTCATTATTGAGTGATAGTAATGATTCAAGTGAAACGAATGACAATTTTTTCCCTCAAACAGAAACTTTGTGCCAAACTTCTCGTTGATGATGCTTGAAAGATAGTAAGAGGTCATTAAGGAGCTTCTCCCAATTTTGTGTTCCTATTGTATAACACTTTTAAAGAAACAGTTAGGTTTGTAGTCAATAAAACCCCATAAACTTCTAGGTCTTACTTAAGTCAGTTATCTATTTATGAAGAAATGTTCAAAATGATGCAATATGGTTCAGCTGAGCCTTCCTTGATTATGCTTTTCACAAATGTGTTCTCTCCAAAGTTACAGGATTGTCAGTCTGATACTAAACTGGGGCCTGGGTGGAGGATAAGCTCAATGCGACTTCCTACTCGACTTTCACATTCAGGGTGGAGGAAGATGACCAATTTTCGTGACTTTCCTGGAAAAATCAAGATCCTAAATGCAGAGGCAAATTCTCTGGCTGACTGGGACAACCAGAGAGGTGGGTCCTGTTGTAATTTTACCCTGTGGCCTCCATGGGTGGTGGGCCTGGGTACTTATAGAAACCTCTGTTTTCAGTTACCCTGCTAGGATGAAATATTTCTATTTACAAACCACAGTGAATTTGAAACAGTGAGACCATGGACCACAAGCCTCCAGCTGGGGAGAGAAATGAAAAAGATACACTTCAAAGCAAGCTTTCCGGAGGCTTGCTTGATGGAGGGAAGTTGGGTTGGAAGGAAGAGAGAAGCAAACTTTAACCTGAGCCCCTTCCCCCAGCATCAATTCTGCTTCATCATCAGCACATAGCATCACCATCAGACTGGTCGCCTGGGTACATAGGACCACTGTTTGGACAAACAAATGGTTAGGAATGTTGGTTTTCAGCCAGTAGGGCTGAATAGAGCTATCCTAAGTATTTAATATAAATTCCGTTTAAAAGAGGTTTTTGTAGGTGTAGACTTTTTATTTCCACTGTTTATCAACCTATCTGTAAGTAACAGTTAAGGATATTCTGTAGAGAAATGACATCAGGGAAACTAATATTAAAATATATTTTCATTTTTATTACATATTTATTGCTTCCAACTTTAAGAGAACAATAAAACTTGAGCATATATGTAATCTGATCAGATTTTTCACTGTGAACTTGTAGAAGCTTTAAGTTCAATATTATGATTATTTGCGGTAAAATATCTGAAGCCAGTAGGGTGCATTTAGGAAAGGAATTCTGCCTATCAAATATCACCTGCAGAAGCTGTGTTGCACTGCCAGCTCTGAACACTATACTTTGGCTGATATTGAACGCTTATGGTGGCTGAAGCTGGCAATACCACCTATGGCCTGACCAGTGAGATATATCACTAGCAAAAAGAAACAGAGACAAATTTATCTAGTGTCTGACTATTGGATTATTACTCGCATAAAAATTTAAGTGTCTAAGCCTATGGACAGAATAAACACACCTGTGAGAACTGCCCAGACCCAGGTGAAATTGGAGAAAAATGAGAATATGAATGACAGTGATTAAAGACTCTTTTCTCCCGTTGCTGGTCACAGGCTTCTTCCATGGAAGTGCTTAGCAGTGGGCCTGGGATGAAGGTGCTGCCCAATAACATGTGCAGAGAGGACACAGTGATGACTCAGACACACCTTGATTAAAAGAAAATGGAAGTGTCAGGTAAGATAAGTACAAAGTAAACCCTTATAGAATGTATTTTGGACATCAGGAATGGTGTGACATGCTGGGGTTGCAGAGAAGTGGAAATTCCAGACTCTTTCCACAAAAAGTAAACATGCAAACAAATAATGAAATCCCAATATGGGGCATACACACCAGAGGCATGTGTGTAGAGTGCAAAGGGAGTCATGGGGAAGCGGCTATTGGGTCTGATTGGTGGGGAAAATGTCTATCCCAAGGGGAGGCCCAGAGGAGATGACCCGACGTGATATGTGATATTTTAGAGATGAGACCAGAACACAAGGACGTTGCCTCAGTGTGGCTACGGGAACAACCACTGTCTTTTGTGCATTTTATATATCACAGGTGTGCTTTTCACTGGGACTCACGTCTCTCGAACTTGAGGTTCTCTTTGCAGAGACCATGACATACATACTAAGGCCCTTCCAATCAGTGGCTATTTTAATAGAATATTATTTTGGACGCCAAAGAAAATGTCTATTTTAAAGTGCAGAAGAACAAAATTGCTGATTGAAAAGTGACCTGTAAGTGACCACTTCACCAACAGAGCTAGAAAGAATAAATAGAATGTTTGTAATCTCAGCTAAAAGTCCAGGCAGTGAATATTCCCAGAGACTGAGGCAGAACTTGGAACATGTATTTTCAGGTTGCAGTGGAGACCCACGAAGCAAGTTTCACGTAGAATACAATTTTAGTTCCACAGGCACATTAGTCAGGGTTCTCCAGAGAAACAGAACCAACAGGATGCCTATAGATGGAAATGGATTTATCATGAGGAATTGGCTGCCATGATTATGGAGGCTGACAGTCCAAGATCTGCAGTGTGAGTCAGCAAGCTGGATAACCAGGAGAGCCAATGATGCAGGTCCAGTCCAAGTCCGAGGCCTGAGAACTGGGAAAGCCAATGGTAGAATTCTAGTCTGAATGCTGGCAGGCTTGAGACATCAAAAGAGTTAACCCTTTAGTTTGAGTCTGAAGGCAGGAAATGACTGATGTCCCAGCCTGAAGGCAGTCAAGGAGAAGAAAGTCCCTGTCACTCATGGCAGGGTCAGCCTTTTGTTGTAGCCAGGACTTCCAAGGCTCAGATGAAGCCCACCCACAATGGGGAGGGCAAGCTGCCTTACTCAGTCTACTAATTCAAATGTTAATGTCATCCAGAAACACCCAGAAGAATGTTTGACCAAATATCTGGGCACCCCATGGCCCAGTCAAGTTGACATATAGAATTAACCATCAAAAAACATGTACAAAGCGAGAAGTTTGGGAAAATGGAGTACCAGGACATTTTTTGTTTTGTTTTGTTTTTTTGCAATTTAAAAAAAAAATTTCAGTAGATTTTTGGGGACCGGGTGGTATTTGGTTGCATGAATAAGTTCTTTAGTGGTGATTTCTGAGATTTTCGTGCACCCATCACCTGAGCAGTGTACACTGTACCAAATGTGTAGTCTTTTATCCCTCATCCCCCTCCCACTCTTTCCCCCGAGTCTCCAAAGTCCATTGTATCATTCTTATGCCTTTGCATCCTCATAGCTTAGATTCCACTTCTGAGTGAGAACATATGATGTTTGGTTTTCCATTCCTGAGTTACTTCACTTAGAATAATGGTCTCCAGTTACATCCAGGTTGCTTCAAATGCCATTAATTCATCCTTTTTATGGCTGAGTATTATTCCATGGTGTATATATGTATACCACAATTTCTTTATCCACTCATAGTTTGATGGACATTTGGGCTGGTTCCATATTTTTGCATTTGCAAATTGTGCTGCTATAAACATGCCTGTGCAAGTATCTTTTTCATATAATGACTTCTTTTCCTCTGGGTAGATACCCAGTAGTGGGATTGCTGGATCAAATGGTAGTTCCACTTTTAGTTCTTTAAGGAATCTCCACACTGTTTTCCATAGTGGTTGTACTAGTTCACATTCCCACCAGGAGTGTAAAAGTGTTCTCTTTTTACCACATCCACGCCAACTTCTATTAGTTTTTGATCTTTTGATTATGGCCACTCTTGCAGGAATGAGGTGGTATTGCGTTATGATTTTGATTTGCATTCCCTGATCATTAGTGATGTTGAGCACTTTTCATATGTTTGTTGGCCATTTGTATATCTTCTTTTGAGAATTGTCTATTCATGTCCTTAGCCCACTTTTTGATAGAATTGGTTTTTTTTTCTTGCTGATTTGTTTGAGTTCCTTGTAAATTCCAGGTATTAGTCCTTTGTTGAATGTATAGATTGTGAAGATTTTCTCCCACTCTGTGGGTTGTCTGTTTACTCTGCTGGTTGTTTCTTATGCTGTGCAGAAGCTTTTCAGTTTAATTAAGTCCCATCTATTTATCTTTATTTTTGTTGCATTTGCTTTTGGGTTCTTGATAAAGTCTTTGCCTAAGCCAATGTCTAGAAGGGTTTTTCTCATGTTATCTTCTAGAATCTTTATGGTTTCAGGTCTTAGATTTAAGTCTTTGATCCATCTTGAGTTGATTTTTGTATAAAGTGAGAGGTGAAGATCCAGTTTCATTCTTCTACATGCAGCTTGCCAATTATCTCAGCACCATTTGTTGAATAGGGTGTCCTTTCTCCACTGTTTTTGTTTGCATTGTCAAAGATCAGTTGGCTGTAAGTATGTGGCTTTAGTTATGGGTTCTCTATTCTGTTCCATTTGTCTATGTGCCTATTTTTATACAAGTACCATCCTGTTTTGGTGACTGTGGTCTTACAGTATAGTTTGAAATCAGGTAATGTGATGCATCCAGATTTGTTCTTTTTGCTTAGTCTTGCTTTGGCTATGTGGGTTCATTTTTTGTGCTATATGAATTTTTGGATTTTTTTTCTAGTTCTGTAAATAATAATGGTGGTATTTTGATGGAAATTGCACTGAATTTGTAGGTTGCTTTTGGCAGTATAATTATTTTCACAATATTGATTCTACTCATTCGTGAGTATGGAATGTGTTTCCATTTGTTTGTGTCGTCTATGACTTCTTTCAGCTGTGTTTTGTAGTTTTCCTTGTAGATGTTTTTCACCTCCTTGGTTAGTTATATTCCTAACTATTTTATTTTGTTGCAGCTATTGTAAAAGGGGTTGAATTTTTTATTTGATTCTCAGCTTGGTCACTGTTGGTGTACACCAGAGCTACTGATTTGTATACATTAATTTTGTATCTTGAAACTTTGCTAAAGTCATCTACCAGATCTAGGAGCTTTAGGGTTTTCTAGGTATACAATCATATCATCAGCAAACAGCAACAGTTTGACTTCCTCTTTATGGATTTGGATGCCCTTTATTTATTTCTCTTGTCTGATTGCTCTGGCTAGGACTTCCAGTACTACGTTGAATAGAAGTGATACCAGGAAATCTTAAGAGAATTTTCAGTCATGTTGGAAATGGGTTGATTGCTTGTATGTTCAGTTCTGCTTTGTGTTATATGACCATCATTTTCAAATGCCTAACTGCAAATAAAGCTTGGGGGGTATACAACTAAGTTATATTCCAGTTAGAGCTGCCAGATTTAGCAAATAAAAATAGAGGAGGATGCCCCCCAAAATTTGAATTTCAGATACACACTTTTTTTAGTATGTCCCAAATAGTGAATAAATATTCAAATTTAATTGGAGTCCTAAATTTTAACTGGCAATTCCAACTTCAATACAAGCTCAAGTTAAAAAAACTACCCTTAAGTTTCTCTGTCCTAATTTTTGTGTATATTTACAAAATAAATTTACTCTTTAAAATTTGAATTTCTATTCCATTTCAATCTATCAAAATTTGAATTTAAAAAAATGAATTTTCTTTAAAAAGTGAAACTGGAAAATGACAATATATTTGATGATCATAATAAAAAGTTGAAAAATCTTAAAAAAAACTAGGCCGGGCGCGGTGGCTCACGCCTGTAATCCCAGCACTTTGGGAGGCCGAGGCGGGCGGATCACGAGGTCAGGAGATCGAGACCATCCTGGCTAAAACGGTGAAACCCCGTCTCTACTAAAAATACAAAAAATTAGCCGGGCGTAGTGGCGGGCGCCTGTAGTCCCAGCTACTTGGGAGGCTGAGGCAGGAGAATGGCGTGAACCCGGGAGGCGGAGCTTGCAGTGAGCCAAGATCCCGCCACTGCACTCCAGCCTGGGCGACAGAGCGAGACTCCGTCTCAAAAAAAAAAAAAAAAAAAAAACTAATGACTGCAGTAGGAATTTCCACGGGAAGATTTCCTGAGTGGTCAAGCAAGACTTTTCTGCCAGCATTAATGTTATTTTGACTTGATTTTAAGTTGTTTTTGATATCAATGCTTGTGACTAAAGTCACCTCATATTTCAGTGCCATACTACAAAGCTGACAGAACCTTGGCAACACGAACCCTCGTATTCACTCCCTATACCCCACTACATTTGTTTGCTGTTTCAAGCCACTACGTTTGTGCTCATCCAGTCCCTGCTACCAGGAATGCCTTCCACCCAGCCCAGGTGGGGAAGCACAATTTGCCCTTCAGGACTCAGGAGTAGGGGTTGAAACCGCCATTGCTGACATAATCCATTCCATCTTGCTTCCAACCTCCAAGTTGTCCTTGTTCATTCCTGTCATAGGCCAAACTAACTTTGGGAGGAACTTAGTTTATAGTTTAACTTTAAAACAAAGATAGTAACAGCCTTTTCCCCAAACAAACCCCCTTCCTGCCTGGAGACTAGACTGCCTTTGTAGGACTAACAAATTAGCAACAAGATTCAAAATTATGGTTTAGGAGTTAGGCAGCGAGGGGCTACAAGATTCTGACCCTCCCCGAATTGCTCCTGGGGATAACATCACTGTTACAAAACCTAAGGTCAGGGCTTGAGATATTTTTGCAGACCCTGCACTTGATGGATCAGCTAGCACCACCCAGATTGATAAACTGACTCATCTGATCTTGTGGTCTCCACTCAGGAACTGACTCAGTGTAGGAGGACAGCTTCAACTCCCTATAATTTTATCTCTGACCCAGCCAATCAGCACTCCTGATTCACTGGCCCCTACCCACCAAATTATCCTTAAAAACCCCAATCCCCGAGTCTTTGGAGAGACTGATTTGAGTAATAATAAAACTCTGGTCTCCCATACAGTCAGCTCTGCATGAATTATTCTCTTTCTCTATTGCAATTCCCCTGTCTTGATAAATGGACTCTGTCTAGGCAGTGGACAAGGTGAACCTGTTGGGCCGTTACATTGTCTCATAATGAAGTCTTCTGTGGGCTACATGCTACCGTGTAGATGGGCATAGCCCCCCTTCTCCAATTTTATTGTCTTCCCTGATTTACTCACTGACATTTCCCAACTCACTTGCAAGCTGTTCAGCTGTTTTCATAGAGCCTCAAGTATATACTAGACAGAGTTTGCTGAAAGAATGAAGACATAGGCCTGTTCATAATTTGGTAAGCTTTATTCAAGCCCCTCAAATATAACATCAATTAAGTAAAACAGTAATTAATCTGCCTGCTTTTTGCCCCTGTCTCAACTCTTTAAAAAATAATGTAATTCCAGCTTAACTAACCAGAAGCTGCTGTCTATTATTTTATGAAGCATACCTGGTTTAATTTTAAAACACATTAGTGGAGAGTTTGTTTTTCCTTCTGTTCTCCTCCTTGGTGAATAGTGAGGTTTCCTTCATGGTGGGACTTCTACATTTAAATCATATAATTTACTAAACAGAGGAAGGCATGCAAAATGAGACAAATGTTTGAAGATGCATGGGGTTTTGCTTATTTTTCCTGTTATATTATTAGTTAATAAAATATTTGGTTGCTTGCTTAGTGTATTTCTAATGAGGGTATGATAAGGGTGTCAGGTGGGCAAGAGTAAACGTAGAAATCAGCCAGGTAATCTCAAGACCAGGATAAAGATAAAAGTCAGTGAAAAGCCCAGATCCTTCCATTTTATAATAGTAAACATTGTTTTCTTGAAACAAATATTGATGAAATATTTCAATTTTCTTGCAACAAATATTAATCAAATATTTCAATTTTCATATGGTTTCTTGGTGTGAGAACTAATACTTATTGCTTGCTGTATACCTCTGGCTTGTCAGGCCACAAGAAGTAACTGAGGGTGAGCTGTGTCTCCTAAAAAGCCACATATTTTTTAGCAGAAGAGAAAAAATATATATTTATAATCACCTTAGAGAGTTAAACGTCACAGAAAACATGCATGTGTGTAAACATGGAAAAGGAATGAATTCATTTTGCCTAGGAATTAAGGAAAGATGAACGAGCTGCTTAAGGATTATTAGGGGGTCCATGGGACATGGGGAGAGAGCAAGGACAATGTGGGCAAAGGGACTTGCCCCGGCACAGTTGGCAAGGGGTGGGAGGAGTTATGGAGATGAGAATGGAAAGATGAGTAGGCAGCTGGTGACCAGAAGGTAAAGGATCTTGCATGCATGGTGAGAAACTTGGACTTTGTCTTATATTCATGATATTTTAAGAATAATAAGGGAACATTAAAAATATAAGTAGGGTAGTAATGTAGGCAAAGGACTGGAGGGCATTGAAGTCAGGAGACCACCGGAACATCCCAGACAGAGGTGACTGCGACCCAAACTAAGGTTATGGCTATGGGGATGAAGAGCACAGGTCTCAGTTAAGAGCTAAGAAGAAGCAAGTGACAGGTTTATTGATAAAATAGAGGAATTTGGGGGAGGAAGTGATCAGTGTCTAAAAGGACCAGAGTGAATGCAGAACTAGCAGCTGGTTTGGTGGAGAAGAAACCGAGCTCCAGATTGGAAATATTGGGTTCGAGGGGCCAATGGGACACCCTTCTAACAGCTAGAGGCATGTATCTTTGATTTAGGAGGAAAGGCAAGGCTGGAAATGAAGCATTAGAAGTTCCCAGATATCTATGTCAGCTCAGCAAAGGCAGGGATTTTGTGTCTTGTGTTCACTGCCATGTGGCATGATATGGAGTAGGCTTCTAATAAATATCGGGGAAAAATGCATGGGACTTCTAGTTTCAGCTTTGACACACAAAAAGCTTAGAGGTCATCACTCCCCTCCTTGCAACAAGAAAAAACTGAACAAGCTGAAGACCAATGACTTTTCTCAGACTCATCAGAGAACTGAGGCCTCAGGACAAACTGCTACCCTAAAATCTGGAGAGACAGGCAAATCTAGAGTCACAGCTTGAAGCAGATCTAGAGATCTGCTTGCCAGGAGCAGAAGTTGCTGGGGCCATAAACCGGTAGGAACAATTTAAATGGGAATTTTAACAAATTGCTTAAGGCTGAGTGTGAACTACTGTGAGAGTGAGAAACTACTGGGGATCCCCAGACTTTCCTGGGTTTGACTTCCAGGAATCCCACCAGGCTGTTGTTAAATTAAGCCTAAAGCTGCCTCCTTAAATATTTTGAGTTTGGCCTAAAGGTTTCTCTGTACATAGTGAACTATAACCTAAATAGATGTGTAAACAGACTGTAACCTACTCTCATGCCAATCATTGAGTTCTGGTTAATCCAAGGGGGCCAACTGTTCAGACCATGTTTAAATAAGGCAAATACCAAGCTGTAACCAATCTGGCTGTTTCTGCACCTCACTTCTGTTTTCTGTATACCACTTTCCTTTTTCTGTCCATAAATCTTCTTCCACCAAGTGGCTGTACTAGAGCCTCTTTGAGCCTACTTTGGCTCGGGAGGTTGCCTGATTTGTGAATTGTTCTTTGCTCAATTAAACTCTATTAAATTTAATTTGGCTAAGAATTTTATTTTAATATTACCATGGTGAGGAGATGAAAATATTCCCTCATGGTTCTGGCAAAGGAAGGGGAAGAGTATTCTTTCCGAAGTACAAGCAGTGTTCTTCATAGGACAAGCTTATTCTCCAGGGCAAAAGACCACCACAGCCTTAGTCAGATGGGAGAAGAGCATTTCTCTGACTCTAGCCCCCTTGGATATTCTTGTCTAAGAAAGGGCATAAAGATTATTAAGAAATACTTGTGAAGATCACAACCCAGGGACACAGGCCAATTAAGATGCTGAGATGTAATCATAAGATTGTAGAATGCTTCCCTTCCTGCATACCTCACCACCACACCAACAGGGAGTCAGTAAAATCACAATGGATTCCAGCTGAAAGAGCTGCAAGACACAGGCTGTCTTTCAGGAGGAAGATTTAGGTAAGCCCAAAGTCAGCAGGGGAGCCAAAAACAAGGACTCTAGGGGAATTTGAAGCCTCTGGCACCTACAGCTATAGCAAATATTAAACACAGCCAAATCCCCAGCCGAATAAATATACAAGCTCACACTAAGGTTCTATTTATTTGAATTCCCAAGACATTATAGTTGGCTTTTTACAAAAAACTACAATGCATACTGAAAGGCAAAAACAAACAAACAAACAAAAAAACACAGTTTGAGGACACAAAGTAAGCATCAAAACAAGACTCAGATATGACACAGATGTTGGCATTATCAGATAGGTGATTTAAAATACTATGATTAATAGTTTAAAGACTCTAATGGAAAATATAGATGATATGTAAGAACAGATGGGTAAGTTAAGCAGAGAGATGGAAGCTCTAAGAAAGAATCAAAAGGAAATGCTAGAGATAAAAAACATAATATAAATTAAGAATGCCTTTGATTAACTCATCAGTAGACTAGTCATGGAAATAATCAGTGAACTTAAAAATAGGTCACTAGAAATTTTCCAAACTCAAATGTAAAAATTTTATAAAACCGACAAAGCAGAATAGAACATGCAAGAACTGTGGGACCATTGCAGAAGATATTTTATATACAAATAATGTAATACAATTAATTACATACAAACAACTGAAATACCTGAGAAGAGGAAAATGAGCCAAGTAAATATTTGAAGCAATAATGGTTGAAGAACTTTCAAAATTAATGACAGACACCAAATCAGAGATTTAGAAAGTTCTGTGAACACCATGCCGGATAATTATTTAAAAATTGGCATCTAAGTGTATCATATGCAAAAGGCAAAAAGCCAAAGGCAAAAAGAAAATATTGAGAGATAGCAGAGGAAAAAAATAACCAAGATAGACCACATTATGGGCCATAAAACACACCTTAACAAATTTAAGAGAATAGAAATCATAAAAGTATGTTTTCAGATCACAATGTAATTAAGCTAGAAATCGGTAACAGAAGATAGCTAGAAAATAACAAAATGTTTGGAGATTAAATGATGCAATTTTAAGAAATGTTATAGAGTTGCTAGATTCATAGACTACTGTGTTCAACAGACCAGTACACTGAGACGGTGGGCTTGCAGCAGAGAAGGAGTTTAATAATCTCAAGGACACTGAACAAGGAAACAGGAGTAGGAGGAATCCTCAAGCCTAAAATCTTTCTCTATGAGGGGTCCTGGGCAAGGGTTATTAAGGGGATTGTGGAGGATGAGGGACTGGAAAATTGGGGTCATTAATTGGTTGAGGTAAGGGGGGAGGAGATAATTAGGATATAGAAACTACATTCTTTCATGAGTTAGGTTTTTGCTGGGCCCTTTGAACCAGCTGGTGTTGGTGGTATGCAGAATCTAAAGGAGAGGCTCAGAATGGAAAGCTTATATAGAACTTATATGTAGAACAGAAAAGGAACAAAGAGTCTCATGACAAGGGCTACGTTATCCTGGGGTAGTAAAGTGGCAACTAACTACAAAGAAGGGGCCGAAGGGCGAGCTGGCTTATTGATTGCTGCCAATTGTTCTTCAAGCCTACTTAATCTTTTTTTCCTTTAATCAATTTATAAAAATTTCCTAGGGATAGTTTCAGTAACACATGGTTAAATAAGAAGTCTCCAAGAGAAATTTTAAAATATTTTGAACTAAATAAAAATTAAACATACAATTTATTAAACATATATTTATTATAAATGAGATGCAGCTAAAGCAGTGCTTAGAAGGAAATTTATAACACTAAATGCAAAATGAATATATTAGAAAAGAAAAAAGATCTAAAATCAACAATTTAAGCTTCCACCTTAGGAAGCTAAAGAAAGATTAGTAATTAAATCCTAAAACAAACAGAAAAAAAGAAATAACACAAATTAGAGTGAAAAATCAGTGAAATTAAAAACAGGAAAGCAATAGAGAAAATCAAATGCAAATCTGATTCTTTGAAATGTTCAATAAAATTGATAAGCCTGTAGTCAGGCTACCCAAGCAAACAGAGAAGACTCAAATTACCAATATCAGAAACAAAATAGAAATAAAAACTATTATAATAAAAAATATTATTTGTAATAGCATGGAAAAATAAATATTTGTATATGAATCCTACAAAATATATATAGGATCTATATGTAGAAAATTAAAAATCTCTGATTTTAAAAAATCAAGAAAGATTTAAATAAAATGGAAAGAGATTCCATATACATGAACTGAAAAACACAATATTAAGATATCAATTTTATCTTCTCTAGAGGCTCAATGCAATCCCAAAATTCAGCAAGTAAGGCCAGGTGCGGTGGTTCATGCCAGTAATCCCAGCACTTTGGGAGGCTGAGACAGGCAGATCTTTTGAGCCCAGGAGTTTGAGACCAGCCTGAGCAATATGGCAAAACCCTATTTCTACAAATAATACAAAAAATTAGCCAGGCTTGGTGGTGTGTACCTGTAGTCCCAGCTACTTGGGAGGCCGAGGTAGGAGGATCACCTAAACCCAGGAAGCTGAGGATGCAGTAAGCCAAGATCGCACCACGGCATTCCAGCCTGGGTGACAGAGTGAGACCCTGTCTTAAAAAACAAAAACAAAACAAAACAAAAAAACAAAATCTAGCAAGCTATTTTTGTATATATTGACAAATTTATTCTAAAGTTTATATGTCAACACAAGAATAGCCAACACAATGCTGAGAAAAAGGACAATGTTGAAGGACTCATGCTACCCGATTTCAAGACTTACTATAAAATCAAGTAATCAAGGCAGCATAATATTAGAGAAAGAATAGGGACATAGATCAATGAAATATGATAGAGAGCCCAGAAATAGACCTCTACAAGTATAATCTACTGATCTTTTGGCAATTCAAATGGATGAAGTCCAGTCTTTTCAATAAATAGTGGTGGAATGATTAGACAGACATATGTAAAAAATAGCTTCCAAAGAGGACAGTGTGGGAGAGAAGAAGGATAACTTTACGATGAAGAAACCTGACAAACATGACCTCTGGCAGGTGATTAAAGTTACAGGTCAACATGATGATAAATCATTGTGATAAATCTTAATATGATGTGATGAAAATGGCACTTTATCTCTGCTGTCTTCCTCTAAATAACTCAATCTGAGCCTAATTGTGAGGAAAATATCCGAAAACCCAAACTGAGGAGTATTCTGCAAAATACCTGACCAGTGCTCCTCAAACTGCCAAGGTCATAAAAAAAAGTCTGAGAAATTGTCACAGCAAGAAAAAGCTAAGAAAACATGATCACTAAATGTAATGTGGGTTTTTTTTGGATGGGATCCTGGAACTGAAAAAGGACGTTAGGTAAAACTATAAAATAATAAAGTATTAATAATTTTTATTAATAATAAAGTTTATTAATTGTAGCAAATGTACCATACCAGTGTAAGATGTTAGTAACAGGAGAAACTGGTTACAGGCTAGATGGGAACTCTCTGTTCTATCTTCATGCTTTTATGTAAATCTAAAACTGCTCTAAAAGAAAAAGAAGTGGATAGAGGGATGAGCAGATCTCACTCTTTATGGAGACCTCATAGAGGGCAGAAAAGGGAATTTTTTTGGAACGTCAGCAAAATGTAGGAGAAGAAGGGCCAATCAAGAGGTGCAGAAGCTGAGGAATTAGAACACAAGAGAAAGCAAAGTCCCCAGAGACATGGAAGGAAGAGGCAAGGGGGGAAGGGGTTGGAGTGTGGAATGCCTCAGAAGGTCGGCACTTAGGAGGGAACCTGGGAGGGGAGAGCATTTCAAACTTTCAGGAGCTTTCCCAGAAGGTGGATCTTCTAAAGGAGCAAGAAAAATTCTAAAAATAGCTAAATGTGATTGTAAGGGAAGTGTTAACTGGGGAGGGGGACGCTGAGAAGGTAACTTACCATGAAATATTGGAGAGCTCAGAACAGCTTGCTATCTGGACATGCATTGCACAAGCCCATGGGTTCCTCATCATCTCAGCAACCTTGATAGGCTTTGGATGTCCTAATGGGAGCTAGGAGCAGTGTTGAGGAATAAGGTCCAAGAGAGATGAAACCTTCTGCACAACAGAGGGAAGCGAATTGGGATGGCTGGAGGCAATCTTCAAGGATAGGAACATAATGAGAAAAGACACGGGATTGGGAAATGAGATGCTGAGGCCAGCTGAGCCCGCATCCACGGGGGCAGGCATGGTCTTCCGCAGCCAGGGGCAGAGGGATATTTGAGGAACAGATGCCCAATCCTAGAGTCTCAGATTTCTGCTCTGAGGTATGAAGCACTGTCCCCTCTGTGGCCTGCAGATGCCCAGAAACAGCTAAGGGGACAGAATTCTGAAGATGCAAGGATGCAAAGCACCCGGAAGTCTCTGAGTGGGTACTGGACTTTCCATTCTCCTTAACTTTCATTTTCATCAAGCTTATATATGCTTATATTTTAGAAAGCTAAATATTGCTACAGAGCTTTTATAAAAGTTTTTACCCTAATTTCCTCCCATTTTCAAGTCCAAATCCTAGGTGGTAACTACAGTTGACGCCAGAGGGGATCAGGGGTGCCAAGTTCCTGCACAG
This sequence comes from Homo sapiens, assembly GCF_000001405.40. Classification (NCBI taxonomy): domain Eukaryota; kingdom Metazoa; phylum Chordata; class Mammalia; order Primates; family Hominidae; genus Homo; species Homo sapiens. The sequence goes on along the minus strand of NC_000010.11, from coordinate 127,758,510 downwards.
TTAAAAATCATGTATAACTTGTGACTCCCCCAAAACTTAACTACTAATAGCCTGCTGGTGACTGGAAGCCTTACTGATAAACAGTCGATTGACACGTATTTTGTACGTTATATGTAATATATGCTGTGTTCTTAAAATAAGCTAGAAATGAAAATTATTATTAAGGAAATCATAAGGAATAGAAAATATATGTACTATTCACTAAGTGGCAGTGGAAAATGTATTTATTATTCACTGAGTGGCAGTGGATCATCATGAAGGTCTTCTTCCTCATCATCTCCACATTGAGTAGGCTGAGGAGGAGGAGGAAGAGGAGGGGCTGGTCCTGCTGTCTTAAGGGTGGCAGAGGTAGAAGAAAATCCATGTATAAATGGACCCTGAAGTTCAAACCCAGGTTGTTCAAGGGTCAGCTGTATTTATAGTTCTTCTAGCTGGGTTTTTTTTTTTTTTGTATTTTGTTTCGTATTTCCAAATAATATGTCCTCACTGCCATTTCTTTCTTTCTTTTTTTAAAAAATTTTTAGACATTTTCCTTTGACCTCCTACAACATAGGCGTATATTTGGTCCCACCCCTACCTCACCTCCACTTCTTGACCCCATTCTTCCATTCAAATTATGATTTTTGGTTAAATTAATGTGCATTGTTCATATTACTTTAACAAGTTAATTATTATTTATAGCTGAACTTTGTAAAATTCTAAGATTATATTTTCTGCCTTGTACAACTTGTATTCTTTTGAATCAATTGCTAATTGTTCTCCAAACTTTCCAGCAAAGCAATAAAATTCTGCTCAATAGCGTGAAGGGCACCATGCATGCCATTCCCCCAGCTTTCTCTTTCTGTGTCTGCACCTATGGGATACAGAGGGCTCTAGAGAGCAGTCAGGAGGGGGATCAAGAGTAGGCTTTGCTGGGAGGGTCCCAGCAGGTAAGGCTGGGCAGTCAGGGGACTAGTGAGCAGGAGGTAGAGGAGCTTCCATTTCAAAGTAGGCGCTGAGCTGGAGGTCAGGAGACCTGGGGACACTCCGCAGGCCTGGAAGCCCTTGGTGGAGCCAAGGAAAAACATTATTTTGCAGGGCCTGGCTCCAGCAAGCCTGCCCCAGGTGCTCTTGGTGTGTTCCTGATAGAGTCTTTCCAAAGTCCTATGAGATGCGTGATATTGTTGTGAGTCTTCCAGGAGAACCGAGAAAAAACAAAACGCTGCTAGCACAGCGCCTAGTATCCACTTGTCACTCAAGACGTGGTCTTCCCTGGCCCAACGTGCTTTGCTCTTCTGCCTCCTTGTGGTGGGCAGCAGGGTAACTCAGCAGGATGGCCAGCTCCTCCCTCTATGTGGTGGACTCAGTTGTTCTAGATGAACAACAGCCTCCTTTATACCCACCACCTGGCTACACCGATTGAACATCCTCCTAGGAACCCTCAGACAAGGCCCCTATGCAAAGATCAATAAGGCAAGGTTCCTCCTTCCTCCTTTATGGAGTTTCTGACGTAACAGGCGATGTCATGTACCCATGTAGCTAACTAAAATAATGTAATAGCTATTACATTATAATACAGTATAAAATAATGTAATAATAATGTAACTAACTAAAATAATGATCTGGAACATAAAATGCAGAACAAACATAACTGAGCTAAATACAGATTTCCTTAGATTTTGCCTTTTACTTGAAAAGAGCTTATCATTTAGGTGATAGGTATTGAGAAGTAAATATTATTATACTTAATTAGCAATTAAAAATGACAAAGTAGGAAAACCTTGAACTTGGCTAATGAAGCATTGTTTGATTAGTTATATGTGATTTAAAATGGATTAAATCAACACTTGGCTCTCCTATGGCCTCATTCTTTATTTTCTACTCTTAGCCCTTTTGCCAATAGGTCCGTGTGTGTTAAAGACAATGACTTTCCATACCTATGTTGGTTATCCCAATTCTGTCTCTACTGAGCACAGGTGACTTCACATCCATGTGCCCTTCTCAAATGATACTCTCTAGAGAGGGGAAGTCAGCTTTGTGTAACTCTTCTTACACTGCATTTGGCAAACTGCCAGGGGTATTAAGTTTCCCAATAGATATATGTGTTTTCACACACACACACAAAAACAACAACCAGGATTCTTATGCTCTCTGGAATAGCTAGAGAATCACAAGAAAATGAAGACGATAGAACTTGGTGGACTAATTATGGCTAAGTTCTAAAGTTGAGGCTAAGATGTATGACATTTCTGTTGTGATCCTCAAATACCATCTCAGATATCAATTGGTGGACTGGTGAATTAAGGAAGTGATTAAAAAGATGCACTTATTAAACAACTTCCATAAAAGATTCATTTTTTCTTCAGCAGCATGCAAGTATGTTTCTGCCTTTAGTTCCAATAAGTCATGATCTTTCGCTACTCCTTGTCCCCAGAGAGAAGTGCCTCTTCTATTCTAGAGACTTTGCCAAGACCTGGCTGTTAAAAGAGAGCTGGTGAAATGAGGATCCAGGTTTGGGTGAGAGAGCACTTGAACTCAGTATGTGGGCTTCCTCTTTCTTGCAGTGCTGTGAAGTGCAGAGTCCCTTCTCCTAGCGGCAGTGCTGAACTCCGCTGTTAGAGGGAAACATTGAACTGGCTCCAGGATCACCCAAGCTTGGTTTTTAGCAGAGTTGTGTAAGAGAACAGGGAAGTTTCACACTGGCCCAGGCATGGAGTTCCATTTGTTCAACCTCTCTCTAGACTGAAAATGGCAGGAAAAAGAGAAGTTGGAAGACAATAAAGAACTGTGTGGAATGTGCACAATCAAAGAAAACAGAAGGATTGCTCTTCTCTCCCAGTCTTTGTTGGAATTGGATGAAAATGACCAAGAGTGCAGCATGGCCCCCTTATCCATAAGGGTCCCACACTGGAAAGTCATCAGATGGTATTATCGTACCATCAAGTTTCAGTCAGATTAATGTTCACATCTTTATAACTCAGAGATTTTTGAGGGAACTATTTGTTACAAAGTGTGTAGCTCCTACCAAGCATATTAAAAAATACATGGTTCTTGAAGGCCAGGGTGACTAAAATGCTTACAGACTCACTGTTTTGAAATTTGTCTTTTTTTTAAAAAGGAAGGAACATCAGTAGCTTCTAATCCTGTATTTGATAGTTTCTTTCTTTAAGGTAAAGAAAAAATTTTAAGCTACCCAGGATGACCTTTAAAACAGAAGATACTTGCTGAAATATGTTATTGGTCATGGCTTATGAACTCTGCTGAGAGGATGTGTTAAGGATTATTCAGGGTCCAGCTCTGAATCAGGTGGCCTGAACTTGAATTCTGGTTCTGTCACCTTCCAGCTGTGTGACCTCTCTGCAAGTCCCTTGACAAGCCCCTTGTGCCTCAGTTTCCTTATCTTTTCAATAAATAATATCTACTTGGATATGTTATTATGAGATAATTAAATAATATATCTCTTTATAAGATTATTGGTAGGATGATATAAATTTATATAATAAATTTAAAGTATTCAAAGTAGAGTGTTGCTCATTTGTGACATGTAAATATCAGCTCTTGGGAATTGCACTTAGGAGAGAACTTTCAGAGACACTCATATGAAGCAGCAACTGAAATTTCCAACACAAAGGGTATGCCTGGGTGGCCATTTAAAACCAAGCCTGACTGGGCCAACAGCACTTCTGTTTTGGAAGTTTTCTTTTTTTTTCTTTTTTTGAAACAGGGTGTCACTCCTGCTCCCCAGGCTGGAGTGCAGTGGCATGATCACAGTTCACTGCAGCCTCAACTTCCCAGGCTCAGATGATCCTCCCACCTCAGCCTCCCAAGTAGCTGGGACCACAAGCACACACCACCACGCCTGGTTAGTTTTTGTATTGTATTTTTAGAAGAGATAAGATTTCACCATGTTGTCCAGGCTACTTTTGAACTCCTGGGCTCAAGTGATCCTCCTGCCTCAGCCCCCTAAAGTGCTGGGATTACAGGCCTGAGCCACCATGCTCATCCTTTGGAGGTTTTCTTAATGCTTCTTTGACTTTTTCAAAGATGTCTGTCCAATTTGCACAAAATGCTGGAACCAGGATATTCAAGGAGATTTGGGTCTATTATACAGTTATTGCTGAAATACAGAGATGTCTGCCACCTTTTCCACAGCACATCAGAATGACAGATGGCAGACTGAATGGAGAGACCTAGAGTCTTTGTATGGCTGAGCCACTAAGCAGTAGTCCTACTTTGAACAAATTACTTGACCTCTTTCAGTTTTCATTTATATTATCATGGCTGGAAACAGGTTTAATTACACATATGAACTCTGATGGACAGGCAATGACTTCCTGAAAAGCAATGATGAGAAAGGCTCTGAAGACAGGGCAGGTAACCATCCAGTGACAGATTACTGATGTCTTCTCTGGGAGAAACGCCTGCAACGGATTTGCCATTTCTGGAATAATGGTGTCAAAGGGTCCTTCTTGCTCTAAAATGCTTGAATTTTAAGATCACTTTAAACCAATACAACTTCATAGTTTGTAATTGGAAATAATCGTTTGAAGATAACATAGCTTTTAATTTTTAGATAGAGCCTTGATAATTCTGCCCCTCTCTGCTTGACACTAGGATTTAGACCCAAATAAGGGACCTATTCTTGCCCTTGCCTGGACCCTTGGTGATAGTCCCCAGAACTTTTAGGGCTATTTAGTCACCTCCTTTTATCATTCACCGCTATATTCCTCTATGCCGTCCCTTCTAAATCCTTCCTTCACTCCCTCTCATACTTAACTTCTATTACCTGCAATTACTTTTATGCCAACCTAATACCTCTCAACAAGTAACTTCACCTTATGCTTCTCAGAGAAAGGCAGAGCCTCAGATGGGAGCTCCTCCACCATTGCTGGAGGTGGTGACTGCATCCTTCTAGCCCCTTCCCTCCAGTGAAAAAGGAGGAGGTGGCCTTCTCCTCTTCCAGCTCAGCCCCTTCCCTGGGTTCTAAGCTGCCTCCTGCTCTCCCAGGTCTTTCTCTATCTAGGATTCCCCGTCTTGTCTCTATTTTTTACTTTTCCTTTCCGTTGGTCCTTTATCCTCTAAATTTAAACTTGCTCACTCTACACACCAAGCAAAATTCAAACAAACTTTGAACTCGTTTTCCTCCATCTTCTTTGGGATCAGCACTTAAAATACTTGTCCACATCCTCAGACCCCACCCCACTGCCTCACCTCCTAGTCCCTTAAAACTATCTGGTTCCCACCTTTGTATTGAAACTCTTGCCTCTGAGATGATGAGTTCTGCTTCAGATATGGTGAGGTGGAGGTTCTAGGAGGACGTCCATGCGGAGATGTCCACTAGACAGTTGGATATCCATGTGTGATGTTTAGGAGCGATGGAAAGGATGAAGAAACAGGAGATGAGCTGAAGCAGTAGTAGACACCAGTGTGACCCTTGGAGACAGATGTGGAGCAAGCAGAGAAAATGTATGGCACTGGGCTTCTGAGGACAACCAGCCTCTCAGGGACAGAATGGTGGGAGGGACTCATCTTTCCAAGAGTGTTCATTTGTTTCCTTCTTTCCTCTCCATCTTTCTGACCTTTTGCCTGCTTTCTTTATTTTTCAAAGTACCAACACTTGGCTCTGTTGATCATCTCTATTGTTTTCTTTTCTTTTCTTTCTTTTTTTTTTTTTTTTTTTTTTTTTTGGCGGAGTTTTGCTCTGTCACCCAGGCTGGAGTACAATGGTGCGATCTTGGCTCACCACAATCTCTGCCTCCGGGATTCAAGCGATTCTCCTGCCTCAGCCTCCTGAGTAGCTGGGATTACAGGTGCACGCCACTGCGCCTGGCTAATTTTTGTATTTTTGTTTTGTTTTGTTTTGTTTTTACTAAAGACGGGGTTTCACCATGTTGGTGAAGCTGGTCTCGAACTCCTGACCTCAGGTGATCTGCCTGCCTCAGCTTCCCAAAGTGCTGGGATTACAGGCATGAGCCACCGCACCAGGACTGTTTTCTATTTTATTAGTTTATTCTTACTGTTGTGATCTCCACTATTGTTTTTTGAAATAATTTTTCTTTTATTTAAAATGTAACTGAATTATTTTGATATTCTTTTCTCTAAATAACTCATTAAACATAATGCTAAATATATACTTCTATCAATCATCTCACAAGAAGTTTTTCTTTTTTGCTTGAGACAGGTTCTCACTGTGTTGCTCAGTCTGGAGTGTGGTGATTTGATCACTGCAGCCTCAATCTTCTGGCCTCAAGCTATTCTCCTGCCTCAGCCTCTTAAGCAGCTGGGACTACGTTTATGCACCACCATGCCAGACTAATTTCTTTTTTATTTTTAGTAGAGATGAGGTCTCACTATGTTGCCCAAGCTGGTCTCGAACTCTGGAGCTCAAGTGATCCTCCTGCCCTGGCCTCCCAAAGTGCTGGGATTACAGGCATGAGCCACCATGCCCCACTACCAGCACTTTCACCATTGCTTTTTTCTATTCTGTCTTTAACTCATGCAATTTTTTTAAATTTTAATTTCAGAATGTTAAGAATTTATGTTAGTGTCCAAAAATTTTTAATGATCTTTTATTGTTGATTTCTAATTTAATTGCATTGTGATCAGAGAACATTATCTATATGATAAAAGGTTTTTTTTTAAATCATTATTGAGATTTCCACTTGGGACCTAGACTGTGGTTAACCTATAAAATAAACCACTATATTTTACTTGTAAAGACTGTATGTTATTATCATATTTGGTACATGCCTCTGTAGCTATGATATCACGTTTGGTAATTTTGGTGTTCAAATCTATAACCTTACTAATCTTTCATTTTTTTGTCTGCTTGATCTACTAGGTGAACGTGAGTTCAAGCTGACTATTCTGTGGATTTCTTCAATGGATCTGTTTCTGTCAGTTTTTCTTTATTCCTTGTTGTTTGCAATATTCCCATATCTTCCTTATGGTCAATTATTTTTATTATTATGTTGGTTTCTTCATTATCCATATTAGCATTTTTGACTTAAATTATATTTTTAAAAATTAACATCACTATAGCTTTGTTTTGGTTAGAATGTGCCTGCTATGTCTTCTTCTATTTCTTTGCTTTCAATTTTTTTTGAGGTCTTATTCTACATCTATTTCTTGTCAGCAATGTATAGCTAGATTAAAAAATACATATCCAATCCTCTGTCTTTATTAGAAGAGTTCAACAATTTATATTTGTTATGATTAATTACATGTTTGGACTTACTGCTATCATCTTACTTTGTTTGCTATTAAATATTTTTTCCCAATGTCCTTTTCTCTTATCTGATAGGTCAGGAGTAAGCAGTTATTTTCTATAAAGGGCAGATGGCAAACATTTTGGGCTTTGTGTACCAAGGGGCAGAGGCAAAGATGCACTGTGATACTTATACAACAACAGAGAAAACAAGTTTCCACAAAATTTGTATTGATGGTGTTCAAATGGTAATATATAATTATAATAGAACAAAGTTGAGGACAAAAGCTAATACTTCTAAACAAGTTTATTTTTCCTGGACCACTTCTGGGCACATTTCTTCAACTGCTGCAATCAAACATGACTTAATTAACTTCTCATGGGTAAATGTATTCCCTGCTTGGCCAACAAAGGAGACACTTGGAAACTTACTGTGGCCATAGCCTTTTTTCATTTTCTTTCTTTCTTTTACTTTTCTTTCTTTTTTTTTTTTTTAGAGATGTTTTTGCCATATTGCCCTGGCTGGTCTCAAACTCCTGGACTCAGGCCATCTGTCTGCTTTGGCCTCCCAAAGTGCTGGGATTACAGGTGTGAGCTACTGCACCCAGTCCATTTTCTTAACTCTGTAAAGAAATTTTGCTGTGGTAAGGGAGAGCCTGTTCTAATGTCCTTGTTTCCCTCACCATAGCTTCCATGAGAAGCAGTGTTGTGAAGGGTGCCTAGTCTGGCCATGCTGGCAGATAGTGGGTTCTTGGAGCTGCAGCATGACATCATTGCCTAAGATACACAAGGCTTAGCTTAGCCAGCTGACTCAGTAACAAAATAATCCATACTCTACCTTGCCTTAAAATTGCAACATGTGAAGTCCACTTTTTTCTTTTTTCTTGTTTTGATATGATGGGTAGGCACCAGTAAAAGAAAAGTCATGGCCTGTCAACACATGTGGCTGTTGACATGCTGTGCTATATGCCATAGGCTATAGCCACGGCTATATCATATATAGCTATATGCTACATGTCATATGCTATAGCGTAGCGTCTCAAGAGTCACATGTGTTGACAGGCCATGACTTTTGGTGACCTGTCCAGTATGGTTTCCATTCAAAACTTTCAGCGTATGGCCAGGAGAAAACCACGAGTCTCCTGATGGGGCTGCCCAATTCTGTGCATGTAGCACTAAAGCCACCATGGATTGCCTATAAATGAATGGGATTGCCATGTTCCAGCAAAACTATATTTATGGGCACTGGGATTTTAATTTCATACAATTTTTACATGTAATGATGAAATATTCTTCTTTTCAGTTTTTTTGTTTTTTGTTTCTGTTTTTTTGTTTTTGTTTTTTGTTGTTTGTTTGTTTTTTGTTTTTGTTTTTGAGGTAGAGTCTCACTCTGTCACCCAGGCTGGAGTGCAGTGGTGTGATATTGGCTCACTGCAACCTCTGCCTCCTAAGTTCAAGCAATTCTACTGCCTCAGCCTCCCAAGTAGCTGAGATTACAGGCACACACCACCACGCCTGGCTAATTTTTTGTATTTTTAGTAGGGATGGGGTTTCCTTATGTTGGCCAGGCTGGTCTTGAACTCCCAACGTCAAGTTATCCAACCGTCTCAGCCTCCCAAAGTGTTGGGATTACAGGCATGAGCCATAGCACCTGGACTTGGAGGTTTTTCAACCATTAAGAAATGTAATAACCACTCTTAGCTCATAGGCCATACGAAAATAGGTGGTGGGCCAGATATCATAAATAATTTAGAATTTCCTGCTGCAAATTTGTTCCATCTCTCCTGCTTGGAAGCTATAGATTGTATTCCTTTAGTAGTCTCTCTTAATTTTTAAAATCATGTGTACTATTTTTATAATAAAGAACAAAGTCATATTTCTATTTTTAAAACTAAATTATACTTGTTTATAGTAAATCCAAAGTTAATCATGTTTCTATCCTGTATTTGATCTTTCATAAGAGGACACAACAGACTAAGGTCTCCAGATCAGAGCTTTAGGACAAGGAACACAGCATTTCTCAGTCATCTCCATTTATTACATAGAAAGGCCATGCAGACAGCGGTGGGGAAAACATGAACTTTGGGGTCAGACAAGTCTGGCTTTAAATGTTAAATGTTGGTCCTCCCCATCCTCCCTAACTCATTTAATGAAGCCAGCATCATCCTGATACCAAAACTCGGCAGAGACACAATAAAAAAAAATTTTAGATCAATATCCCTGATGAACATCGATGCAAAAATCCTCAGTAAAATACTGGCAAACAGAATCCAGCAGCACATCAAAAAGCTTATCCACCACCATCAAGTTGGCTTCATCCCTGGAATGCAAGGCTGGTTCAACATATGCAAATCAATAAACGTAATCCATTACATAAAGAGAACCAAAGACAAAAATCACATGATTATCTCAATAGATGCAGAAAAGGCCTTCGACAAAATTCAACAGCCCTTCATGTTAAAAACGCTTAATAAACAAGGTATTGATGGAATGTATCTCACAATGATAAGAGCTATTTATGACAAACCCACAGCCAATATCATACTGAATGGGCAAAAACTGGAAGCATTTTCTTTGAAAACCAACACAAGACAGGGATGCCCTCTCTCACCACTCCTATTCAACATAGTGTTGGAAGTTCTGGTCAGGGCAATCTTCTGGCCAGGGCAATCAGACAAGAGAAAGAAATAGAGGGTATTCAATTAGGAAAAGAGGAAGTCAAATTGTCCCTCTTTGCAGATGACATGATTGTATATTTAGAAAACCCCATCGTCTCAGCCCCAAATCTCCTTAAGCTGATAAGCAACTTCAGCAAAGTCTCAGGATACAAAATCAATGTGCAAAAATCACAAGCATTCCTATACACCAATAACAGACAGAGAGCCAAATCATGAGTGAACTCCCATTCACAATTGCTTCAAAGAGAATAAAATACCTAAGAATCCAACTTACAAGGTATGCGAAGGACCTCTTCAAGGAGAACTACAAAACACTGCTCAACGAAATAAAAGAGGACACAAACAAATGGAAGAACATTCCATGCTCATGGATAGGAAGAATCAATATCATGAAAATGGCCATACTGCCAAAGGTAATTTATAGATTCAATACCATCCCCATCAAGCTACCAATGACTTTCTTCACAGAATTGGAAAAAACTACTGTAAAGTTCATATGGAACCAAAAAAGAGCCTGCATTGCCAAGACAATCCGAAGCCAAAAGAACAAAGCTGGAGGCATCACGCTACCTGACTTCAAACTATACTACAAGGCTACAGTAACCAAAACAGCATGATACCGGTACCAAAACAGAGATATAGACCAATGGAACAGAACAGAGGTCTCAGAAATAATACCACACATCTACAACCATCTGATCTTTGACAAACCTGGACAAAAACAAGAAATGGGGAAAGGATTCCCTATTTAATAAATGATGCTGGGAAAACTGGCTAGCCATATGTAGAAAGCTGAAACTGGATCCTTTCCTTACACCTTATACAAAAATTAATTCAAGATGGATTAAAGACTTAAATGTTAGACCTAAAACCATAAAAACCCTAGAAGAAATCCTAGGCAATACCGTTCAGGCCATAGGCATGTGTAAGGACTTCGTGACTAAAACACCAAAAGCAGTGGCAACAAAAGCCAAAACTGACAAATGGGGTCTAATTAAACTAAAGAGCTTCTGCACAGCAAAAGAAACTACCATCAGAGTGAACAGGCAACCTACAGAATGGGAGAAAATTTTTGCAATTTACCCATCTGACAAAGGGCTAATATCCAAAATCTACAAAGAACTTAAACAAATTTATAGGAAAAAACAAAAAACCCCATCAAAACATGGGTGAAGGATATGAACAGACACTTTTCAAAAGAAGACATGTATGCAGCCAACAGACACATGAGAAAATGATCATCATCACTGGTCATCAGAGAAATGCAAATCAAAACCACAATGAGATGCCATCTCACACCAGTTAGAATGGTGATCATTAAAAAGTCAGGAAATAACAGATGCTGGAGAGGATGTGAAGTGATAGGAACGCTTTTACACTGTTGGTGGGACTGTAAACTAGTTCAACCATTGTGGAAGACAGTGTGGTGATTCCTCGAGGATGTAGAACCAGAAATACCATTTGACCCAGCAATCCCATTACTGGGTATATACCCAAAGGATTATAAATCATGCTACTATAAAGACACATGCACACATATGTTTATTGCAGCACTATTCACAATAGCAAAGACTTGGAACCAACGCAAATGTCCATCAATGATAGACTGGATTAAGAAAATGTGGCACATATACACCATGGAATACTATGCAGCCATAAAAAAGGATGAGTTCATGTCCTTTGTGGGGACATGGATAAAGCTGGAAACCATCATTCTGAGCAAACTATCACAAGGACAGAAAACCAAACACCTCATGTTCTCACTCATAGGTGGGAATTGAACAATGAGAACACTTGGACACAGGGCGGGAACATCACACATCGGGGCCTGTAGGGGGGTAGGGTGCAGGGGGAGGGATAGCATTAGGAGAAATACCTAATGTAAATGACAAGTTAATGGGTGCAGCAAATCAGCATGGCACATGTATACCTATGTAACAAACCTGCACATTGTGCACATGTACCCTAGAACTTTAAGTATATATTTTAAAAAACTATATATTTCCAACAAATTTTTAAAAACATGTTTGTGAGAAAAAATTAAAAGTAGAGTTGTTACAAAAAAAAATGTTGGTCCTCCCCAATCCCTCCCCTTTGGGCAATTCACCTTACCATTCTGAGTCATAGTTTTTTATTCATTTGTAAAGCTAAGCTAGTAATACTTACAATGACTATGAGTTTTTATTAGAAATCATATCTATAAATCTCTGTTCTTATTAGGCACTCACTGAAATGTCCTCATCACCCTAACTTTACTCAAGCCAGTGTGCTGTATCTTAGAAACATTAGTTGCAGTTGTAGGTGTCTGCATTCCTCAATACAACAATCCAGCTCTAAACTTTTGCTCTGTCTTGGAGATTTCACTCAGTCTGTTGTGCAAGAACATTTATAAAGCAAGCAACACATCACCTCTAAATGGAACATCTCCATTTCTCAAAGGCCACAACACCACGTCTGGTTTCGTGAAAGACTGCTCTGGTGGATGGTAAACTGGACATCTCAGCAAAGACTCATCATTCTACACTCAGCTGTGCTGAAAGTCTGTTTTACTGTGGGCACCCCATTAGGCCATCAAGGGAGCTTTGATGTGCTGTATGAATGAGCCTGTGTGAAATCTGAGCTCGAGAGTGGGTCCCTCCTGCCAGGTCAGAATGTGCGAGCATCCATCTTACCAGTTACTTGAAAATGTATGGCTTTTTCCTGTTATAAATCTCATTTTAATTTTGTTCCTGCAGTGAATGCGGAGATATGGTTATGCGTACTAACAGCCTTACACATTCTAAACCTGAAAATGAAGAAAATATTCTCACCAATGATAACAAAAATAAACTTGCCGATAAAAGAGTATTATTGTTATGGATTCTTAAATTTTTATGTCTCAAATTTTCTTTCGCATACTATGTATATTAACTAGGGCATTGTAGAGAAATTAAAGCAACAGTGAATGACAGAAAGAAAAAGACTACGAGCAAAGTATCTCTTAAGAACTGCATAGCAAATGATTATTTAAGTTTTCCCTCTTCCTCCCCTTGCAATTCCTTTCTTAGATGTTGCATTATTTAAACAGTAAACCAAACTGTCTTTAATTTCCTCCAATTGAAATATACAACGTAGTGTATTCTTTTTAGCAAAAGGAAAAAAAAATTTTTTAAATCAAAGTAGTCAATATAAACAGAGCAAGGAGGCAGTCCTATACCATTCAGGATTACAAAAAGAACATAGAGAATTAAGCTCCACACTTTTCAAGAATGCTGAAACAGAAACCTTCCATTAAAGTATTAATTCTACTCACTCCAGAAGTCCATCTTTTCCCATAACCTGACCTGCCCTTAGGCTTCTCACAGTAAAGTGGTCTCAGCCCAGCAAAGGGAGGTTCAGTCAAAGCGGGTGGAGTTGTTTGGTTCAGGTGTCGAAGGGAACGAGTGCCTTAGGCAGATCGGAACCACCCGTGCATGCAGGTCTGGGGGCCTCCGTGCAGGTGATGGATTGCCAGACCGGATTAGGGGCCTGGGGACAGGCGACTCCTCAACACCTCTAGAAGGCAGTAAAAATGATCCCTCACAAGCATCTTCAATGCCTCTCTCATCTTTCAGTCTGATTGCGCCCTGGCCCTGTGAAAGGAGCACACTAGCCTGACTCCATTCCTGACCTCAAATTCTTCCTGCCTCCTTGGGAGCTAAGCCCTGTTCTGGATGAGGAGGTTTAGATCCAGGGAGTGCAGCAGGAAAGGGGAAGGGTGATCTGGAAAATGCTTGGACATCATTGGCAAATAACAAATCATCCCTCAGATAAAAATATACATGTCTGACCACTGATCAACACTTGAAAGCGGGGGTGTCAGCCTAGATTCTCAAGGACATAATTTACATGATCACGATTTCTTTCATGTTCAAAGTGAAACTTATATGGACTAACCAAACCCTACTGGCCTCACTGTCAACACTATCTCTGAATATTCCTATCCCCCAGCTCTGCGCCCACTACAAATTCCCCCAGCATGGCACACAGCCCTCCAGCATGGGTATTCAACAGCAATGGCCTTCTGGGCTTGGCCCACTCAGTGTTGTACCTACAGGGTCCAGCAGTAGGCCTGGCCCTGGGTAAGGAAGAATCACACCCATCATAGGAGTCTGGGGGCTGGGTGGTGGGTAGAAGGGTTTATGAAAAGCTGAGGGTGTAACTGTATTCACTCACACATGTACTCATTCAGTCATTCAGTCAGTCAGTCCATCGTTCAACTGCTACCACCTGTCCACAGTCTTCCTGGCTCTAGGGATGTTACTCTGGAAGAAAGCAAGCTGGTCCCTTCCCACATAAACCATAGGAGAAGAGGCAGGAAGGAACTTGGTCTTCTGTGGGTGTGATGCAATACATCCAAGGCCCCAAGAACACACCAAAGGGCACTTAACTTGGACCTGGATTGTCAGAAGGAGTCTGGAAAAGTGAGGTCTCTCTAGCACCTGAGGGATGAAGGGGGAAGCAGAAAAGTCAGGAACAGAGAGTAGGAAGGCTGCTACTGACGTAGCTCAGTATTATCTGTGGCCTCTGAGAAACAAGTCAGTTAACTTGTCTGAGCCTCAGTTTCCCCATAAGTAAAATGGGGATGATAATAGGGGCATCACTGGGTTGCTGTGAAGGCTTAATGAAAAACGCACAGGAAGCATCTAACAGAGTCCCTGACGCTTTCCTTGACCTTCAATCTGTCTGATGGATGAATGGGTGACTCTTAGGGGTAGAGAAAGACTCAATGACTTGTAAGTTTAATTTGCTCTAGATTACAGCAGGGACGCAACTCCAATTTTCTTTTCTTTCTTTCTTTTCTTGGTGAAGGTCCAATTCAATATACTATTTATTGCCCTCCATGAAATGGGTGAAACTAAAGATATTTTTAATTCTTTGTGTTCAGCCACTGATGAAATCTGACCAAAGAAAGTAGTTTATTGCAGGTACCCAGGGGTTAGCCCTGAATAACGTTGATCCGCAAATTTAAATTAGATTAAAAGAAAAGAGCTCTAAAAACTTTAACCTATAGATGGACTGCACACTCAGAAGCCCTGGGGAAGGGCCAACTCTGGTCACATTAATTGTCTCCCCTGTCACTGCCAAATGACAGATCTTCTAATATGAGGACAGGTTTTAAGTTTCCTAAATGACACTGTGGAAAAGTGAGCAGATGGGACCTACACCAGCCCGGGGCAGTGCTTAACTCCCTGCCTAAAATCACAAAGAAGTTATGAAACTGAGAAATCAAACACTTCCTGAGTTAGCAGGGTGTGGAACACACTGGGGTCTGTATATAAGACACAATATGTTACTTGTGTTAACAAGTGAGATGGTTGATGACTTGATCATCTATAAGTAATCCTTATAGAGCCAAAAAGCCACGTCCAGCCTGTAATTGCTCACTCATCTTTGTTCCGACCACTGGAAGGAGGCTCTGTGAGGGTAGCAACAGGCTCAGCTTATTCACTGCATGACTTAATACCACATAGTTAACACTCAAAAGAGATAGACTGAACAAGTCACATTTTATTAGGATACAAGTGACTCAACCTCTATTGCATTCTGTGGCGGTTCCACATGTTTCTCTCCTACCTGGAGTCAAATCCTGAACTCAAAGGGTTATTTGAAAATACTATGCCTTTAGGTATGGAGGGTAGGGGGTGTAATCTGTGGCTTTTCCCTTGAAGATCCTACCCAAGATGGGGTTTGGTGGTGTGTGTGGGGTGTGTGTGTGTGTGCGTGTGCGCGTGTGCGCATGTCCATCAATAGGTGCATTTGTGAATATGAGCCACGTAAAAGTTGCAGGTGCATCTGAAGTCCCTTTTAGCTCTCATCAGTTTAGCTTCTGGAGATCTTTTAGCCCCTTGACTCAGCTTTTCTATCTGCAAAATGGGGATGAACTTCAGTGTTCTGTTTCACTGAAGAGAGAGTTCTAATAATTACTATAATGGTATTTCTTTGAATGAAAAATGTCACTTGACCAGCAGATACATTTTAGAAGACTAAAGATTGAAGGTGGATTAATATCCCAAGGCAGCATTGCTAAAATGCAAAACTTTTTCATCAGAAAAAAACATACTCAATGTTTAATCAATATGTGAAATATCTTGAAATCCAATGTTCACTTTTTAAAACACTATATATGGCACTTTACAAAACATTTCTAACAAATGTTGAGTCTTCTTCATGAATGGTTCTTCTTTGTATGGGGATAATTGACCCAGTGACCAAAGGTTTCTAGGACAGATTACAGTTTCCTGTATTATTATTCTCTTTCATTTTCAGTCACTAGGAAATTACCACTGCTGCTTGGCAATGCAAAGAATTCCCAATCACCCAATATTTTGGCATGTTTTAATTGTCTTTCACCTCTGAATTTTGAAGCTTGCTTCTATATTTGAAACTATTCAGTGCCACCAAGTTGTTTATTCAGACTAAGAATTGGATATTCCTATGGCACACTGCCACGTGCCTATGCCACGATGCAGAGGTTTTCCTTTCATTGAAGTTTCACAGTTACTTTTGGAATTGTCTGCAGGATTCACGATTTCAAACACACACACACACACACACACACACACACACAAGACAGGGCAGGGGAGCAGATGGGATCTGAGTGCCACAGTGGGCTCAGAACCCCGGGGTTAGAGCACCCTCCTAGCCACCTGGCAGCAATGCCCTGGCCTGACCAACAGGACCACGTCCTTCTGCTGCCTGCATTCAGTGAGCTCTAGGGACTGTGGTCAAGTTCACCAAGCCCTGGCCAGAAGAAAGTATTTAACCATAAAGTGACCTCAAGCTGCATTTTTTTGTTTTGATTTCAACAGTTTCTTTGCTATGGGAAAATGTTTCTTTGGGATAATGAGTCTGAAGCTGACTGTGCCATGCCTGGGCCTATGAAATGCATTTTGGCCTGGCTTCCCCTCTCCTAAGCACATCCAGGCATGTGGGCTGTTTTGGAGGAGAGAATGGTTTGGCCATCTAACCCCACCCATGTCCAAATACCTTGCACTGCTGGAAGTATTTTTAACCAAGCTTTTCTCATGAAGATTTCACCTATTTGTTTATACTATTACCTACTAATGGTATAAAGCTTTGAATAAATGAGCAACTTTCAAACGGTAAAAAACGATCTTTGGGCAACAAACCAAAAGTTGAAAAATCTTAAATATTTTTTTCTCAATTTTAACATAAATACCATTGTTAGAGAAAAAAAAAAAGCAGCTTCCCAACATCTAGCAGTCATGCAGCCATGACATTCCATGTTTACATCCACACGTGTCAGCCAATTTTCTCAAAGCTCCACTGATTGTCCAATTGTCCATTGCATTTTCCAACTGTTGTCAAATTTAATTAGGAAAAGATCTTTCCAAGTTTCCTGCAAGTTCAGACTCTAAAATGGGGATGTTTGTCATAGCAGTGGAATTCTTATACGAAATAGCATACACATGCCAGCTATGTATGTTATATTGGTCTTTATTTTTAGCATTTCATTCTATTAAAATAGGTTCAAGGGATACTTTTTAAATGTATAAGCTAAGGAATTTATTTTCCTTTCCTGGTCTTCTTTAATTGTATTGCTTATGGGGAGTGTCCCCCCAAGAGAGATTGCGGGTTGGTTGTGAGTTTAGTTAGGCGACATCATCACCTTCAACACAACTGGCACTCTGCTCACCTGCTTGTGGAGGGCAGCAGCAGAGATGGCACGTGGAGTTAGGAGCCACTGCTGATGAAACATATGACCAGGGCCAGGTTTATCCCAACTCCTGGCTCCTTCTCTCCATGTTCCCCCGCCTCCTTCCTTCTCCCTCCCTCTCTGTCTTACGCACACACGCACACACACACACACACCTCACTCTTCAGCAGGGCCATGATGAGTCAGCTCTAGGGACAGTCAGGAGCCCTGCTCTCATTTCCAGCACTGGTGGCAGCTGCAGTGAGGGGCCCTGCAGGCAGATCAGGAATACCTGCGTGGCTGGGGCTTAGGATTGCTAAACCAGCCTGTCCCACTCCAAAGTAACAGTAACCTGTCTCCACTCTCTTCCTGGGAAGGACCCCTCCCACCCTCCCCCAAAATGCAGGGAAGATAGGTACCCCCATCAACAACAAGGTGGGTACCCCCCCCCCACCAACGTCTCCATCTCCAGGGAGTCCCAGATGCCACAAAGACTCAGGGCATCTGACTGGGGCACTTAGGTCCTCTAAGGAGTACAGAGGCCAAAAAATTCCTCTTCCCAGTGACTGGGGGCTCCTTGTCCTTCACAAAGATACCATCCCTAAGAAGGAACTGGGTGGGGCAGGGTTCAATTTACACAGGAGGCTGCTGTTCAGGAGCTCTGAACACACGCACAGCTTTGGCTCAAACTGTGGGTTTGGAGGGGAAAGAGACCAAAACAAGTGTGGCCTTCCATGAGCCTGTGTGAGTGTGGGTGTGGGTGTGGGTGTGGGTGTGGGTGTGGGTGTGGGTGTGTGAGTATGAGTGTGGGTGTGGGTGTGAGTATGAGTGTGGGTGTGTGTGGGTGTGAGTGTGGTGTGAGTGTGGGTGTGAGTGTGAGTGTGGGTGTGAGTGTGAGTATGAGTGTGGGTGTGAGTGTGGGTGTCAGTGTGAGTGTGGGTGTGAGTGTGGGTGTCAGTGTGAGTGTGGGTGTGGTGTGAGTGTGGGTGTGAGTGTGAGTATGAGTGTGGGTGTGTGTGGGTGTGAGTGTGTGTGGGTGTGAGTGTGGGTGTGGGTGTGAGTGTGTGTGAGTGTGGGTGTGGGTGTGGGTGTGAGTGTGGGTGTGAGTGTGGGTGTGAGTGTGAGTGTGAGTGTGGGTGTGGGTGTGGGTGTGGGTGTGAGTGTGGGTGTGAGTGTGGGTGTGAGTGTGGGTGTGGGTGGCACAAACCTGGACCCTTGGGGAACTCCTGGGTGCTGGGCACCGCTCCTGTGGTCAGTGGTGGCGGGGCCCTGGGGAGTTGCCTTGTCCTAGAGGGGGGTCATCAAGGACCAGGGCTGAGTGACAGGGAAGGGAGCTGGTATCCCAAGGGCGCTTTCTGCCCACGCAGTGCTTCTCCCTCCCACCACCAGCAGTTCCAACCATTAGCAAGACCTTCCTTACACAGGACCCAATGCCAACTGTCTCAGATCCCCTCACTGCAGGCTCCTGGCCCACCTGGAGCCCACTGCAGCTGCTCCTGAGCTCTGTCCCCCAGCCCCTGCGGCAGCTTCCCTGAAGCAGAAGGGAAGGCCCTGAGCCAGGTGGGCCAAGCTGGGTGGAGGTGGAAAGGGCCCCCACCACCTGGGCCGCTCTGGCAGCCCACCTTCTTCCCATCTGCTCTAAGGCTCTTTGGAGTCAGCCAGCCTCCTTGGAAAACGCTGGAGCTGAGGGCCGACCCGCCGCCCCTTCAAGGCAAATCCCTCGAGAGCACAGGTTCTAGACGCCCAGGGCGGCTGGACTTAGAGGCAGAGCAGGGAGGTTCCGAAGGTCGCCTGGGTGAGGGGTGCACAGCAGAAGGGCCACCCACCCCAAAGCCCAAGAGCCGCTCAGCCCAGCTCCCTGCTGGCCGAGCCGCCCCCGGCTCTGCGCTTCCTCCCAGGGCACCAAGGCCTTCAACGCCAACACGTGGGGCTGTCACCAGGGGAAACCGGAGGCCTGAGCTCAGCACCTCTGGACCCGCACCCGGCTAGCCTCCAGCCTCCCTTCAAACTTCGGTCCCTTCCCGGCTGTAGAGGAGGTGACTGAGGCGGAAGCCGGCGGCCGCGGTCTGGTGGCCAGGGGCGAAGCCAGGGGAGGGGTTAAGGGTCTGGGGAGCGTGGGTGGCGACTGTCGGTGGCCGCCTCCCGAAAGAAAAGTCGCCCGCCAGGCCCCCGGGGAAGGTGCCAAGGCCGCCAGCCAGAGCGCTCATAGCAGAAGCGAAACCGGAGAAGCAGGTGGCGGCCTCGGGTGCGGATGGAGAGGGCGAGGCCTGCAGGTCCAGGCAAGCCGCGCTCGGGGGCTCCAGCGCTGGCGCCTCGGCCCCTCCCACGCTCCTGGCTCCCGAGCGCACGGCCGCGCTGGCTTCAGCTCTCCTCTTCCTCTTCCTTCGGAAGTTCCCGTTGTCAAACATCTTCTCGCAGTTGGGGTCCAGGGTCCAGTAATTGCCTTTACCTGCAGAAGAAGAAACAGCCCAGTTCAGAAGGTTCGAGCTTTGACGGGCCGTGGTGTGAGCCAGCGAGGAGGTCAGCTTCAGAAAGATCCCCTGCTGGCCCTTACAGAGGGTCTGAGTCCTCGCCCCCATTCCACCCTTGACGGGCACTCTGTACCCGATGGGCCTCCACAGCAGGACTGGGAAGAAAGTGACAATCCAGAAAGGAGGAGGAAGGGAGCCCTGGGAAAGGCCGAGCCCCGTTAAGGTGAAGGAAGGCCTGCGAGATGCTAATGGTGGGACTCCGCCAGCCGCTCTGCCAAGGACAGCGCAGACCACGCCAGGCCCCCAGGTAGGCTCCAGAGCTTTCCAAACGGGCATCCTATTTGTTTTGCCCATCCTTGGGGTAGGCGCTGTCTTCCCCATTTTACCAGGTAGGGCACTGAGGCCCAGGGAAGTTGAGTCACTCCCAAGGTCACCCAGCTTGCTGGCTCTCCCGCTTCTTCCTCCGAAGGAGCGCACAGAGATTGAGAGCCCCGGGACCGCCGCACTGTAAACGCGGGCCTGTGGTGGGCTCAGCCGCTGTCTGAGAACCTGTCCATGCCCAAGCACTTCTTCCCCTTCTCCCTCCTCCCCGGGTATCCCCAACCGCGCAGGGAGAAATTAGGTTGTCTAAGGTGCTCCCACCCCCGGAGTGCCCGCGGCCCGGCGGGAAGATGGGGAGTCCTGGACGGAGCGAGCCGGCGCGCCGCTGTTACCTGGGTCGTCCTCGTCGCGGGGCACCTTCTTGAAGCAGTCGTTGAGCGACAGGTTGTGGCGGATGGAGTTCTGCCAGCCCGCCTTGCTGCGCTTGTAGAAAGGGAAGTTACCAGCCACGTACTGGTAGATCTGGCTGAGCGTCAGCTTCCGCAGCGGCGCGCTCTGGATGGCCATGGCGATGAGCGCCGAGTAGGAGTAGGGCGGCCGCACCAGCCTCAGCAGCTCCTGCTGGCCGGAGAGGCTCAGCCAGGCGAGGTCGGCGCCCGCCAGGCCGCCCGGGGCGCCGAGGAGCGGGCCGGGAGCCCCGTAGCTCGGGGCCGCGTAGGGCGGCGCAGGCCCGGGACCCGAAGCGTAGGACTTGGGGCTGAGCGCTGGCGCGTTCACCCACAGGAGGGGGCCCCCGCCCACCGCGCCCAGATCCCCTGGCTCATAGCCCGGGGGGTGCGCGGTGGCCTGGGCCTGGCCGGGCGGGGCCGAGGAGGGGCCCAGGTCGTCGCAGTAGGTGGCCATGTCCAGCCGCGCCCGGGCCTGGGCCAGCGGTGCCGCACCGAAACTCACTGGCGACCCATCCAGCTTGGCCGCCAGCAGCGCCCGGGTGCGACCAGCCCGGCCCAGCCCTCCGCCCTTTAAACACCGTCGGGGCCAGAGCCCATGGAGAGTGACGGTGGCGAGCCCCTCCCCTGGCAGCCCTGGAGGAGCGAAATCCTTGTCCTCGCCCTGGTGTCAGTTTTCCGCCCCGCCCAGGCCTGACACGTCCTGGACCGGACGCCCCTCTGATTCCCCCTTCCTCCTTTGTGCGATCCGTCCCGAGTCCACAGTCGCTCGCGGTCTTGGTTGCAGGGACCCTAAGTCCGTAGCCTCGTCTGGCTTCACGGGCCCCGCAGCCCCGACTGCCCTGGACCGTACCACGACTCCTCAAGGCCCCCAGGGCTGTGGCTTGGGAGCCCCGTCCAATGCGCGGCCCCTTTGCTCGGCTCGGGACATCTCGCCCCAAAGAAACTCGCCTCGCCGGGGCCCCTGGGTTACCCGGGACTCGGGGCTAGGGATAGAGGGCGACTACACTGCGCAAGAGATCGCAATGAAGTCCGTAGATCTCCAGGCTGGAGCCGCAGAGCGAGGTGGCGAGGTGGAGAACGCGGGGCTGGGCCTGGACAGCGGCCCTGGGGTCGTCTGGAGTCCTCGCTCCCTCAACCCGGAAGGCAGCGGACTGACATCTGCGCCGAAGTCGCGCGTACCCCACGGAGGGTCGGGACCCTGGAAATTTCGAACGCCCCAGCAGTTCAGGGCAGTCATCGCTTTTCCCAAGCCGGGGAGTCCGGGGCCCCGCCAGGTTTCTCCGCGCTGTGACCTCGGGCGCGCAGAGCGGAGAGCGCCAAGCTCTCTGCTGGGTGTCGGAGGACGCGCCGAAAACAGGGACGTCTCTGCAGTGCGTCCGACACCAGCTCTCCAGTCCTGCTGCCGCCCGGGGTTGCTGCAGCCCGGGTTATCCCGGCCCCCCAAGCTGCCCGGCTTTCGGCCTCCCCTGCTCCCCGCGCTGTGGGGTGGCGGAGGATGGACCCAGGCTGACGCTGGGCTGGGTACCTGGAAAGAGGGCCCGCCTCCCGGACTCCGAGTCGGGCACCTGTGCGAAAGAGGCGAAAATTCAGGCCTGGTGCTCAAGGCTCAGAGATGAGGAGACCTCCCCATCCCCCCAGATTCCTGCCGGCGGTGTTGGCGCTGACCTCCTGGAAGCTGGCCTCGCCCTGGGTATTCCCCAGCGTTACGCGGGCCTGTGGATCTAATTTTAATTCATTTGTAAAACAAAAGGACCAACCCTTCCCGACTTTTGGCGGTGGAGGAGGCTTGTAGGTTGAGGCCAGCGGTTCGATCGAGGAAAGAGTTTGGGTTTGGGGATTAAAGGGCCCATTTGAGTCAGCGACTTACTGGTGGTGCAGCCCCTCGGCCTCCCAGATCGTAGTTCCAAATTTTATGTAAAACAACTAATTTATGGAACAATTTAACAAATGGCAGAAAGAAGTGAGAGTCCCTCTGTTGGGACGTTGGCCTCTCGCCTTAGAAGTGAAGCCCCTTCAGAAGTGGTGGGTGAACCGAAGGCATTTCCCAAGCAGTCAAGAGAAAAGAAATACCCCAAAATGGTTCTTTGAGGTCGGCTTTTCGGCTGGACTCTGCCCCCTTTTCCTTCCCCCTTTCCCAAAGATTTCTGATTTTTGTCAAAGGAATGCTAGTTGTGGGGGTCCCAGGTGCCTTTTACGAAGCCGCCCTCCCCTTCCATCCCCGTCGTTGCAGGGGCGGTTGCGGGGTCAACGGGAAGTACTCGGGGTGGGACACGCCTCTTCTTGCTGAGTCTCAGGTGAACACAGTCTATTGCTTCCACCCAAAAGAGCAGCCAGTGCCACCTGCCACTCAGCTTAGCGATTTCCAGTGCCCCCCTCAGGGGAAACCATGCTGCTGTCCGTAGGTGTGACCAGCTTTTTGGTGACTACCTCTTGAAGAAAGTGTCTTTCCCTCAGCACATGTGTAGCAAACAGGACTTGGATCCTCTCCTTATGGTGCAAACCCATATCACCGCCTATAGACACCCACTTTCCTCCCATAACACCCTTCCGGAGCTTGCCAGAGGGTCTGGGATGACTCCACACCTTCAGGAATTTTGAAACGGCTGCTGATTAGGACTCAGTTTTTGAGTCCGTGCTTGATGAGGATGTACAGAGGCTGCACAGCTCTGCCTTGACCCAAATCATCCCAGAGAGAGTGCGAAGGTGGGAGCTGCAGCCGGACCCGCAGGGCCACCGGCATGGCAGGTTCTGCAAGAGCCCGCCTGGCCGTCCCTGCTTTCTAGCGGCTGACGTGAAGTACTGGACAAAAGCAGCTGCTCCTTGTCAAGGATTTCCATTGTCCAAGGCTGTGTACGTAGAAGACACCTATTTTGGTGGAATAACACAATGATTTGACAGGAAGAACTAATTTTATCTGCAGTTAACTGCTCTACTGTGAGAATAATATCAGAGATGTTGAATTTTAAAGAATAGCTTGGGTCATCTTTTGCAATGTAAAGGAATTTTTTCAAAAAAGACGGCAGCTCCTTCCACATTCTCTTGAATTTTAATAGCCTTTCTTTCTGTAAATACTATAACTCTGTAACACTCGTGAGTTTCAGGACCTCTAAGAAAATCAAATGAAACTTCCTGTAATTTCCTTTAATTATACTTTACAGAAATCATTAAAATTTGTGCCATGGATATATGTGTCCATATCTTTTTCACCCTTCTTTGCTCTCTGAGCCCAATTTCCATCTTCCATCTCCACTGTGATAGTTTTCTTATCTTTCAACAGACTGGACTCATAAAATGAATTTCAGTAGAGGGACTGCAGTCATTTTGGGGGAAAATGTGTTAACCCTTAAATGGTCTTGCATGGAACTTTGATGAGAATTTTTCTAAGAGAAAAAAAAAATATCGGGAGAGAAATCACAAGGACAAAGACTGTGCCCTGTCTGGGAGTCCTGCTGGGGTTCTCTAAACAGAGCAGCCCTCCACACCCCTCTCAGGCCTCTGATCCATTTTCTTCTCCTTTATTCTCAAAAGTGACCCCCGCTGCCTACATGGAGGATAAGTCTCCCCAACCTCCCACCTTTCAAATTGCCAAGCCCACCTCCAGCTGCACCTACACCTGTTGCTGGGGGCACCTCTTCTCCTTCTCCATCATCAGGCCAGTCTCTCCTGGGCAGGACTGGGACTCAGGTGCACACCTGGGATGCAGCACTTAGGGGACACTCACTGCTTGGGCCTGGAAGAGACGTTGTGCCCTTAGTTCTCTTCTCACACTTTTCTCAGGGGCCTCACTCTGTGATCTCCTCCTCTCTCTTCTTCCCATCAGCATTTGCAGATCTCAATTCTCTCCGTGGCAACAAATCCCTTCAGCCCACATCCCTTTTGAGGTGTCTCCAGGTCTTCAGAAGCCTGGTCTCTGGTGGCTGTTGCCCCAACCTCCTCTCTCAAGAGCACACTCTTCACTCAGCACAGACAGCCGTCCACCCCCACGACTCAACTGAAACTGCTCAGGCACAGCCTCTGGTGGCCTTGGTCACCCTAAATCCAATGATGGTTTTTACTCCTCATTTTGCTTGACTCGCAGCAGCCCTTGACACCCGCCAGAATCAACACCTCTTTCTCTGCCTGCTTTTCAACACTGTTCATCTGGTTGACCTCCCCTTCTCTGGCTTCTTCTCGGGCTCTGGGCTGGCTTGCCTTGCTCTGAGGCTGGGGTTCTGCAGGGCTCCATTCTGGGTCCTCTTCTTCACTCCTGTGGCTTTAATTTCTGGCCTCTGGTTCAGGGTTTGTCAACCTCAGCACTATTGACATTTGGGGCTAGGTAAACCTTTGTTGTCCTGTGTGTTGTGGGATTTTTAGCAGTACTCCTGCTTTCTACCTGCTCAATGTGGACAACGCCTCCACTATTATGGCAACCAAAAATGTCTTCAGACATGGCCAACTGTCCTCTGTGGAGCCAAATCACTCCCATGGAGAACTCCTGCGTTAACCAATGATTCCCCCATTTTTATCATCCATTTGATTGTCTTCCTTTCAAACTCAACATGAAGAGTAATAATTTGTTATCTTCTACTCCAAAACCTGTTTATCCATAGTATCTCTGTGGATGGCAACATCACTTACTCAGTTGTTTGAGGCAAAACCTGGGAGTCCTCCTTGACTCTCCCTTCCCTCCCTCCCACAACTAATCAGTCAGCAAGAAGTCGTTATGCTGTGTGTAAATCATTTCTCACTAATCCAAAGCCCATTCCTCTGTCTTTCAGGATGATTGCAACAGCTTTTAGTAGATCCCCTTTGCTGTCTGTCTTGTCCCTCCCAATATATTATCCACACTATGGCCAGACTGACCTTTCTAAAACCATGGTGGGAAGGATTCCAAAGATGATTCCCAAGATTCTCAGATTACTCAACCAAACACTAACCTAGTTACTGCTGTGAGGGGATTTTGCAGATGTAAAGTCCTAAGTCAGTTGACCTTAAGATATAGAAGTTATTCCAGTGGGCCTGACCCAGCCAGGTGAACCCTTTAAAAGCAGAGTTTACTTTGGCTGCCAGTAGCAGCATAAGTCAGAGAAGGAATTTTTTTTTTTTTTTTTTTTTTGAGACAGAGTCTTGCTCCATTGCCCAGACTGGAGTGCAGTGACACAATCTCAGCTCACTGCAACCTCTGCCTCCTGGGTTCATATGATTCTCCTGCCTCAGCCTCCCAAATAGCTGGGATTACAGGCGCTTGCCACCATGCCTGCCCAACTTTTGTATTTTTAAGTAGAAATGGGATTTCACCATGTAGACCAGCCTGGTCTTGAACTCCTGACCACAGGTGATCATCCCACCTTGGCCTCCCAAAGTGCTGGGATTACAGGCGTGAGTCACCGCACCTGTCCAGAAGTCAGAGAAGTATTTGATGCACCATTGCTGGCTTAAATATGGAGGCCACAGGAGGAATGTGGGCAGCCTTCAGAAGCTGAGAGTGGTCCCAGCTAACAGCCAGCGAGGAAACAGGGACTTCAATCTCACAACCAAAAGAAAATGAATTCTGCCAATCACAAGAATAACCTTGGAAGAAGACCCCAAGCTCCAGATGAGAACACAGTGTCTGACACTTTGACTTCAGTCTGAGCAGAGAACTCAGACATATCCTGCTAGACTTCTGACCTACAGAACTGTGAACTAATAAGTGAGTATTGCTTTAAGCCACCGAATGTGTAGTAATTTGTCACAAAGCAATCAAAAACTAAAAAAGAAATCGGGTCATGCACCCTCCAGGACAGACACTCCCCTTGTCTCAGAAGATTCCCACTTCTCAGTGTGACTGAGCCTCCCCAGGACACGGCTCTGTCCCTATAGCCTGTGTTCTCATCATCCCCAGTGTGGGATCCCAAGCAAGGTGTGTTTGCTGAAATTTACAGCTGTTGTGCAGGAATCAACTTGGCTGGAGGAGTCTACTTAGTATTTTCAAACTTTCAAAATCTAGAGAGAGCTCAAGAGGCTTTTGTCTTAGAAGGGATAATTTGCAACATCCTCAGATACTCTCCTTGACCTTTGCAGTTTTTTTCTTTCAAATTATGTTGCAGGTTTTGGAATTTTATGTAGACTTCTGGTTTCTCACATTAGAAAGGATCAGGTCAGGGGCTACTGTGGCCAAGAGCTTAGTCTGGGGATACAACCAGATCTTGGTTTGAAACTGGGCTCCAGCAATGAGATCTGGAGGTCAACCATTGCATCCCTGAGCCTCATTTTTTTCCCTGCCTGTGAAGTGCTTTGACATAGTAAGTTTCTCAGTTAGCACAGGCATACTTTGTTTTATTATGTTTCACAGATACTGTGTTTTTTACAAATTGAATAATTGTAGCAATCCTAACTCAGGAAGTCTATCAGCATCATTTTTCCAACAGTGTGTGCTCACTTCATGCCTCTGTGTCACATTTTTGCAATTTTTGAAATATTTCAAACTTTTTCATTATTATTAATCTGTTATAGTAATCTGTGTTCAGTGTTCTTTGATGTTACTATTGTAATCATTTTGGGGAGCCATGAACCGTGCCCATATAAGACGATGAACTTAATAAATGTGTGTGTTCTGACTGCTCCACCAACCAGTCATTCCCATCTGTGTCCCTCTCCTTGGGCCTCCCTATTCCCTGAGACAAAATAATATTGAAATTAAGCCAATTAATAACCCTACAATGGCTTCTAAGTTCAAGTGAAAGGAAGAGTTGCAAATCTCTTACTTTAAATCAAAAGCCAGAAATGATTAAATTTAGTGAGGAAGGCATGTTGCAAGTTGAGACAGACCAAAACATAGGCCTATTGGGCCAAATTGTTAACCAAATTGTGAATGCAAAGGAAAAATTCTTGAAGAAAATGAAAAGTGCTACTTCAGTGAACACGTGAATAATAACGTGAAACAGCCTTATTGCTGATATGGAAAAAGTTTTAGTGGTCTAGATAGAAGATTAAACCAGCCCAGAACATTCCCATAAACCAGACCAATTCAGAACAAGGCCCCAACTCAATTCCATTCTATGAAGGCTGAGAGAGAGGTGAGGAAGCTGCAGAAGAAAAGTTTGGAACTAGCAGAAGGCTCATGAGATTTAAGGAAAGAACCTGTCTTTATAACATCAAAGTACAACGTGAAGCAGCAAGTGCTGATGTAGAAGATGGAGCAATATATCCAGAAGATCTAGCTAAGACCATTTGTGAAGGTGGCTACACTAAACAACAGATTTCCAATGTAGACAAAGAAGATTCCATCTAGGACTTTCATAGCTACAGAGGAGAAGTTGATTCCTGGCTTCAAAACTTTAAAGGACAGGCTGACTGTCTTGTTAGGGGATAATGCAGCCGGGAACTTTAAGTTGAAGCCAATGCTCACTTACCATTCTGAAAATCCTAGGACCCTTAAGAATTAGGCTAAATCTTCTCTGCCTGAGCTCTATAAATAGAACAACAAAGCCTAGATAACAGCACATCTATTTACAGCATGGTTTGCTGAATATTTTAAGCCCACTATTGAGATCTACTGTTTAGAAAAGAAGATTTCTTTCAAAATATTACTGCTCATTGACAAAACATCTAGTCACTGGAGAACGCTGATGGAGATGTACAAGGAGATTAATGTTTTTATACCTGCTAGCACGATGTTAATTCTGTAGTCTGGATCAAGGAACATTTTCAACTTTCAAGTGTTATTAAAGAAATACATTTCATAAGGCTATAGCTGCCATAGACAGTGATTCCCCTGATGGAGCTGGGAAAAGTAAATTGAAAGCCTTCTGGAAAGGATTCACCATTCTAGATGCCATTGGGAACATTCATAATCCATGAGAGGAAGTCAAAATAGCACATTAACAGGAGTTTGGAAGAATTGAATTTCAGTGCTCATAGATGGCTTTGAGGAGTTCAAGACTTCAATGGAGGAAGTCACTGCAGATGTGGTAGAAATGACAAGAGAACTGTAGATAGAAATGAAGCCTGAAGATGTGACTGAATTGCTGCAATCTCATGATAAAACTTAAACAGATGAGCAGTTGCTTCTTACAAATGAGCCAAGAAAGTGGATTATTGACAACCCAAATGCCCATCAATGATAGACTGGATAAATAAAATGTGGTACATATACACTATGGAATACTATGCAGCCATAAAAAGAAATGAGATAGTGTCTTTTGCAGGGACATGGCTAGAGCTAGAAGCCATTATCCTCAGCAAACTAACAGAGGAACAGAAAACCAAACACCGCATGTTCTCACTTATAAGTGGGAGCTGAACAATGAGATCAAATGGACACAGGGAAGCGAACAACACACACTGGGGCCTGTTGTGCAGTGGGGTCAATGGAGGGAGAGCATTAGGAAAAATAGCCAATGCATGCTGGGCTTAATACCTAGATGATGGGTTGATCTGTGCAGCAAACCACCATGGCACATGTTTACCTGTGTAACAACCTGCACATCCTGCACATGTACCCCAGAACTTAAAATAAAAATTAAAATTAAAAAAAAAACAAAGCAGATTATTCAGATGGAATCTATTCCTGGTAAAGAGTCTGTGAACATTGTTGAAATAACAACAAAGGATTTAGAATAATCCATAAATTTAGTCAATGAAGCAGCAGCAGAGTTTGAGAGGATTGGCTCCAATTTTGAAAGTGGTTCTGCTGTGGGCAAATGCTATCAAACAGCACTGCATGCTACAGAGAAACCTCTTGTGAAAGTAAGAGTCCATCTATTTGGCAAACTTTATTGTTGTCTCATTTTAAGAAATTGCCACAGCCACCCTAACCTTTAGCAACCACCACCCTGATCAGTCAGCGGCCATCAACATTGAGGCAAGACCCTCCCTTAGCAAAATGATTAATGACTCACGGAAGGATCAGATGATTGTTAGCATTTTTTGAAAGTATTTTAAAATTAAGGTATGTATATTGTTTTTTAAAGACGTAATGATATTGCACACTTAATAGACTACAGTAAAGTGTAGACAAAACTTTTATACATACTGGAAAACCAAAAAATTAATTTGACTCACTTTATTGTAATATTACCTTTATTACGATGGTCTGGAACCAAACCCCCAATGTCTCTGAGGTATGCCTGTCCATATCCTGTTTCCTTACCACTCCCTGGTAATCATAACTAAAATTTGCTTCAAACTCTCCTCATTGAGAAAAACTATATTAAAGCAACATTAGGCCTATGTAGACTCTCAGGAACTTTTCTCAGCTGGTGAATTTCTCAGTTCTAATTACAGGTAGACCTGTAGTCAAATCTTGGCTCTAGTTTCAAGCAGCTAAGTGGGTAAACTGCTAGTCCCTACAAGTCTCAGTTTCTTCCTCTGTAAAGTAGAACTAATAGTGCCCACCTCATAGGACAGTGTGAGGATGAAAATGAAATAATGCATGCAAAACACTTAAGCACAAGTATTAAGTACTTTATGTATAGTATTTATTGGTATTCTCTCTCTCTCTCTCTCTCTGTCAATCATTCATTGACCTAGAGAATGAATCTTATGTTTAAAGTTTGGCTCTCTATATGTTAAATACACTCTTCTATTCAAATATGTTGTCTATATTCTTGATATCAAACTGAGAAAAGACTTTATTTACAATATCTTTTCTCCAAATATATGCTAGTGTCCATTTACTAGGAAAAACCTGACTGTACCAAAATACAATGTTTAAGAGTATCCCATGTAATTGATTTCAAAACTATTTTAAATTATATATATTTGAACTTATATTCTAAAAAGTCTAGACATTAAATTTAAATTCGTAAATAATTGCTATATTTACTTCATTTCTGTTTATATATGTATTTTGTTGTTGGAGCCTTTAAGAATATAAACTTTTAAATTTTTACCCTTAAACACTTCGGCATCCATCTAAAAAAAGGGAAGACATTCTCGTACGTGATCACAACTAACACATTAGCTGCAATCCCTAATATTATCTTATACACATCTCATATTTCCATTTTTTCAATTTTCTCTAAATAACTTCTTGCCTTTTTTTCCAAATCAGAATCCAGTGTATTTATGAGACTGCTCATGTATTTGTCATGTTCATTATGTTTCTTTTATTCTAGAAGAGCTCTTCACCCCACCTCAAATTTTTTATTTAAAAAAATGTTGTGGGTACATAGCAGGTGTATGTATTTATGGGGTACATGAGATGTTTTGATACAGGCATGCAATGTGAAATCAGCACTTGGGTAATGGGGTATCAAATGGGGTATCCATCCCCTCGAGCATTTATCCTTTGAATTGCAAACAATCCAATTACATTTTTTATTTTTAAATGTACGATTAAGTTATTATTAAATATAGTCACTCTGTTGTGCTATCAAATAGTAGGTCTAATTCATTCTTTTTTTTTTTTTATCTGTTTACTATCGCTACCTCCACTCAGCCCTCCATTACCCTTCTCAGCCTCTGGTAACCGTCCTTCTACAATGTCCATGAGTTCAATTGTTTTGATTTTTAGATTCAACAAATAAGAGAGAACATGCAATGTTTGTCTTTCTGTGCCTGGCTTATTTCATGTAACATAATAATCTCCAGTTTCATCCATGTTGTTGCAAATGACTGGATCTCGTTCTTTGTTATAGCCAAATAGTATTCCATTGGGTATAAGTACCACATTTTCTTTATCCATTCATCTATTGGACACTTAGGTTGCTTCTAAATCTTAGCTATTGCAAACAGTGCTGCAACAAACATAGAAGCACAGATATCTCTTTGATATACTGATTTCCTTTCTTTTGGGTATATACCCAGTAGTGGGATTGCTAGATCACATGGGAGCTTAATTTTTAGTTTTTTGTGGAGCCTGCAAACTGTTCTCCATAGTGGTTGTACTAATTTACATTCCTACCAGCAGTGTACACAGGTTCCCTTTTCTCCACATCCTCACC
This sequence comes from Homo sapiens, assembly GCF_000001405.40. NCBI lineage: Eukaryota > Metazoa > Chordata > Mammalia > Primates > Hominidae > Homo > Homo sapiens. The sequence goes on along the minus strand of NC_000010.11, from coordinate 127,726,820 downwards.
AGCATTTGTTATTGCCTGTCTTTTGGATATAAGTCATTTTAACTGGGGCAAGATGATATCTCACTGTAGTTTTTATTTGCATTTCCCTAATGATTAATGATACTGAGTTCCTTAGTTTTTATTTGCATTTCCCTGATGATTAATGATATTGAGCTCCTCTTAATAAGCCTCCTTGCCATTTGTATGTCTTCTTTTGAGAAATGTCTATTCAAATCTTTTGTCCATTTAAAAAATTAGATTATTAGACTTTTTTCTTATGGAGTTGGTTGAGCTCTTTATATATTTTGGTTATTAATTCCTTGTCAGATGAATAGTTGGCAAATATTTTCTCCCATTCTGTGAGTTGTCTCTTCACTTTTTTTATTGTATCCTTTGCTATGCAGAAGCTTTTTAACTTGATGTGATCCCATTTGTTCATATTTGCTTTGGTTGTCTGTGCGTGTGGGGTATTGCTCAAAAGATCTTTGCCCAGACCAATGTCCTGGAGATTTTCTCCAATGTTTTCTTGTAGTTGTTTCACAGTTTGAGGTCTTAGATTTAATCTTTAATCCATTTTGATTTGATTTTTGTATATGGTGATAGATAGAGGTCTAGTTTCATTCTTCTGCAAATGGATATTTAGTTTTCCCAGCACCATTATTGAAGAGACTGTCTTTTCCCCAGTGTATGCTCTTGGCACCTTTGTCAAAAATGAGTACACTGTAGGTTGTGGATTTGTTTCTGGGTTCTCTATTCTGCTCCGTTGATCTATGTGTCTGTTTTTGTGCCAACACCATGCTATTCTGACTACTATAGCTCTGTAGTATAATTTGAAGTCAGGTAATGTGATTCCTCTAGTTTTGTTCTTTTTGCTTAGGATAGCTTTGGTTATTCTGGATCTTTTGTGGTTCCATATAAATTTTGGGTTTTTTTTCTATTTCTGTGAAGACTGTCATTGGTATTTCCATAGAGATTGCAGTTAATCTGTAGATTGCTTTGGGTAGCATGAACATTTTAACAATATTGATTCTTCCAATTCATTAACATGGAAAATTTTCCCCATTGTTTGGTGCCCTATTCAGTTTCTTTCATCAGTGTTTTATAGTTTCTATTATAGAGAACTTTCACTCCTTTGGTTAAGTTAATTCCTAGGTATTTAATTTTATGTGTGGCTGCTGTAAATGGGATTACTTTTAAATTTCTTTTTCAGACTGTTCACTGTTAGCACATAGAAATGCTACTGATTTTTGTATGTTGATTTTGTATCCTGCAACTTTACTGAATTTGTTTATCAGTTCTAATAGTTTTCCTGTGGAGTCTTTAGGTTTTTCCAAAAATAAGATCATATCTTCTGCAAACAAGGATAATTTGACTTCTTCATTTCCAGTTTGGATACTTTTTATATCTTTCTCTTGCCTGGTTGCTCTAGAGAGGACTTCCAGTACTATGTTGAATAACAGTGGTGACAGTGGACATCCTTGTTGTGTTCCAGATCTTAGAGGAAAGGCTTTCAGTTTTTCCCCATTCAGTAAGATACTATCTGTGGGTCTGTCATATATCGCTTTTATTATATTGAGCTATGTGCCTTCTATCCCCAGTTTTTGAAGGTTTTTATTATGAAGGAAGTTGAATTTTATCGAATGCTTTTTCAGCACCAATTGAAATGATCATATGGCTTTTATCCTTCATTTTGTTGATACAATGTATCACATTGATTGATTTGTGTATGTTGAACCATCCTTGCATCCCAGGGATAAATCCCTCTTGGTCATGATAAATGATCTTTCTAATGTATTGTTGAATTCAGTTTCCTAGTATTTTGTTGAGGATTTTTGCTTCAGTATTCATCAGAGATATTTACTTGTAGTTTTTTTTATGTGTCTTTGTCTGGTTTTGGTATCAGGGTAATACTGGCCTCATAGAATGAATTTGGAAGTATTCTGTTCTCATCTATTGTTTTGAATAGTTAGAGTAGGATTAGTATTAATTCTTCTTTAAATGTTTGGTAGAATTCAGCAGTGAAGCCATCAGGTCCTGGGCTTCTCTTTAGTAGGAGACTTTTTATTATGTCTTTGATCTTGTTACTTGTTATTGGTCTATTCAGGTTTTGCATTTATTCTTAGTTCAATCTCAGTAGGTATGTGACTAGGAATTTTTCCACTTCTACTAAATTTTCCAATTCGTTGGCATATAAATGCTCATAGTAGCCAATAATAATCATTTTAATTTCTGCAGTACCAGTTTTAATGTCTCCTTTTTCATTTCTGATTTTATTTATTTGGATCTTCTCTCTTTTTTTCTTAGTCTGATTAAAGGTTTGTCAATTTTGTTTAACTTTAAAAAGAAAACAACTTTTTGATTTGATCTTTTGTATTGTTTTCTTTCATTACAATTTCATTTCTTTCTGCTCTGATTTTTCTTATTTATTTTCTTCTAATTTTGGGTTTGATTTGCTCTTGCTTTTCTAGTTCTTTAAGATGCATCATTTGAAGTTTTTCCTCTTTTTTGATGTAGGCACTTAGAGCTATAAATGTCCCTTTTAGTACTACTTTTGCTGTATACAATAGATTTTGGTATGTTGAGTTTCCATTATCTTTGTTTCAAGAAATTTTTCAATTTCCTTCTTAATTTCTTCTTTGATCCACTGGTCATTTAGGAGCATATTACTTAATTTCCATGTATTTGTATAGTTTCAAAAGTTCTTTTGTTATTAATTTCTAGTTTTATTCCATTGTGGTCAGAGAAGATGCTTGATATTATTTCAATTTGTTTGAATGTTTTAAGACTTGTTTTGTAACCTAACGTATGGTCTGTCCTTGAGAATAATCCATATACTGAGGAAAAGAATGTGTATTCTATAGCTCTTGAATGAAATGTTCTGTAAATACCTATTAGATCCATTTGGTCTATAGTGCAGATTAAGTCTGATGTTTCTTTGTTGATTTTGTGTCTGGAAGATCTGTCCAATACTGAAAGTGGGGTGTTGAAGTCTCCAGCTATTGTTGTACTGGGGCTTCTCTCTCTTTAATATATCCTTTATATAACATATAATAACATATCCTTTATATATCTGGGTGCTCCAGTGTTAAGTGCATATATATTTAAAATTATTATATCCTCTTGCTGAATTGACCCCTTTATCATTATAGAATGACCTGTTTTGTCTCTTCTTATAGTTTTTGTCTTGAAATCTATTTTCTATAATATAAGTATAGTGACTCCTGCTCTTTTTTGGTTTTCATTGGCATGAAATATCTTTTTCCATCCTTTTATTTTCAGACTACGTGTGTCTTTATAGGTGAAGTATGTTTCTTGTAGGCAACAGGTCAATGGGTCTTGTTTTTTCATCCATTCAGCCAGTCTATGTCTTTTGACTGAAGAGTTTTGTGCATTTACATTCAATGTTATTATTGATAAATAAGGACTTTTTTTCTGCCATTTTGTTATTTGTTTTCTGGTCTTCTCTTCCTTCTCTCTTTTCTTCCTTTTCCTGTCTTCTTCTAGTGAAGGTGATTTTCTCTAGTGATGTGATTTAGTTTTTTGCTTTTTATGTTTTGTGTATCCATTGTATTTTTTGGTTTGAGATTATCATGATGCTTGCAAATACTATCTTATAACCCATTACCTTAACCTGACAACACCTTAACATTATGTGCATAAACAAACAAGAAAAAGAAGTCTAATGAAAACTCTACATCTTAACTTCTTTTTAACTTTTTGTTGTTTCTATTTGTATCTTATTGTACTATGTCTTGAAAAGTTTTTGAAGTTATTATGTTTGATTGGTTCATAATTTAGTCTTTCTACTTAGGATAAGAGTAGTTTCTACACCACAGTTTCAGTGTGATAATATTCTGTGTTGTTCTGTGTACTTATTATTACCAGTGAGTTTTGTACCTTCAGGTGATTATTTATTGCTCATCAACGTCCTTTTCTTGCAGATTGAAATACTTCCTTTAGCATTTCCTTTGGGACAGGCACTGATGCAATCTCTCAACTTTTGTCTGTCTGGGAAAGTCTTCATTTCTTTTTCATGCTTGAAGGATATTTTTGCTGGATATACTATTCTAGGGTAAAAGTTATTTTCCTTCAGCACTTTGAATATATCAAAACACTCTCTTCTGGCCTGTAAGTTTTCCATTGAAAGGTCTGCTGCCCAACATATTGGAACTCCATTTGTATGATATTTGTTTCTTTTCCCTTGCTGCATTTAGGATCCTTGTTTTAATCCTTTACATATGGGTGCTTGATTATTAAATGCCTTGAGGTAGTTCTTGGGTTAAATCTGTTTGGTTTTCTTGGTTAAATCTGCTTGGTGCTCTTGTACTTGGATATTGATACCTTTCTCTCAGTTTGGGAAGTTCTATGTTATTATCCCTTTAAATAAATTTTCTACCCCTATCTCTTTCTCTACATCTTCTTTAAGGACAATAACTCTCAGATTTGCCATTTTGAGGCTACTTTCTAGATCCAGTAGGCATGCTTCATTGTTTTTTTATTCTTTTGTCCCCTCTGACTGTGTGTTTTCAAATAGCCTGTCTTTGAGCTTACTAATTCTTTCTTCTGCTTGATCAGTTCTGCTACTAAAAGATGTTGATGCATTCTTCAGTATGCCAATTGCATTTTTCAGCTCCAGAGTTTCTGCTTGATTTTTAAAAATTTTTTCAATCTCCTTGTTGAATTTGTCTAATAGAATTCTGAATTTCTTCTTTATGTTATCTTGATTTTCTTTGAGTTTCCTCAACACAGCTATTTTGAATTCTGTGTCTGAAAGATCACGTATCTCTATTTCTCCAGGATTAATTCCTAGTGCTTTATTTCCTTCATTTGGTGAGGTCATGTTTCCCTGGGTGGCACTGATGCTAGCAGATGTTCTTTGGTGTCTGGGGATTGAGGAGTTAGGCATTTATTGCAGTCTTCACTGTCTGGACTTATTGGTAGTCATCCATCTTGGGAAGGCTTTCAATATATTTGAAAGGACTTAGATGTTGTGATATAAGCTGCATCTGCTTTAGGGGAATCCCAAGTCAAGTTATGCTGTAGTTCTTGCAGACTCAAGTAGAGGTACCACCTTGTGATCTTGGACCAGACCTGGGAGCTTTCTCCGGATTACCACAGAGACTTGTTCACTTCCCTTAATTTTTCCCACACTTACAGAGTCTCTCTCTCTCTCTCTCTTTCTCTCTCTTTCCTTTTCTCTCTGTTCTGAGCCACCTAAAGCTGGGGGTGGAGTGACACAAGAACCCCTGTGGCCACCACCACTACTATGAATGCACTGGGTCTGGTCCAAGACCTGCTGTAACCACTCCCTGGCTACTGCCTATGTTCAGTCAAGGCCATGGGGCTCTACAATCAGCAGGTGGCAAAGCTAGCCTGGCCTGTCTCCTTCCCTTTAGGAAGGTGAGGTCCCCCATGCCCTGGGTGGGATCAAAAGTGCCAATGGGGAGTCAGGTGCCATTGTGGAGTCAGGAACTAGAGTCAAAAACTGTGGATGTCTACCTGGTGTTCTACTGTATTGCAGCTGAGCTGGCACTCAAACCACCAGACACAGTCCTTCTGACTCCTTCCTCCCTTTTCCAAAGCAGAAGAGCCTCACCCTGTAGCCTCTGCCACCCCAGTCCATGAGGAGTACTGCCAGACTACTGCCCATGTTCCCTTAAGGCCCAAAGTCTCTTAAGTCAGTTTGTCACAGACGCTCCCTGGCCCAGGACTCCCCCTTCAGGGCAGTGGACTCCCCTCTTGCCTAGGGGAGGTCCAGAAATGCCATCCAAGAGTCAAGCCCTGGCATCTGGCCCGCTTGGTGCTTTACCCCCCTTGCTGTGCAGGTACCTAAGGTATAAGACAAAGTCCCCTTTACTTTTCCCTTTGCTTTTTTGAAGCAGAAGGAATTTGCCCCATAGCCGCCACAGCTGGGAATGTGCTGGGTCTCACTCAAAGCCTGCAAGCCTGAGAGGCAAAAGACCCTGATGTAGTACCTGAGTATCACTGTTGATTATTCTGGGCCCAAAGGCTCTTCAGTTAGTAGGTGATGAATGCTGGCAGGACTAGGTCCTTCCTTTCAAGGCAGCAGGTTCCCTTCTGGCACAGGGTGTGTCTAGAAATGCCATCTGGGAGGTAGAGCCTGGAATGGGGGCCTCATGACTGCCCAGTGCCCTCTTGCTGTGGCTGAGCTGGTATCCCAGATGCAAGACAAAGTCCTCACTCTTCCCTCTCCTCTCCTCAGATGGAAGGAAGGGGTCTCTTGGAGCCTCCAGCTGTGCAGGCTGGGGTTAGGAGAGGGGTGATGTCAGTACTTCCTTGGCTGCCCCAGCTGGTGTCTCAGTGTGCCACGTGCCCCCTCAGTCCACTGTCTCTGGGCCTAATTCAGCACTAGGACTCGACTAAGAGTTGCAGTTCTTATGGTCTAGACTCCTTTTCAAGTTTACTTGGAGACATAGAGTGCTGTAGCCCTCAATGGAGGGGTTTTCAGGCACTCAAGTTTGGTCCCCTGGGGTTGGTGATTCCCCTCTGGCTAGAGCTGCTTTAAATGCTCCCTCTGTGGGTGGGCATCAGCTGAGTTTTGTCCGGGTTTCCTTTCTGCTCTAACAGGACAGCACTGAGTTCAATTCCTCTCAGTTGCTGTGCTCTCCACCCCCCAGCACCCAGAGAAGCTCTCAGCACCATGCTGCCACTACCAGGGGTGGGAGGGGTGGCATCGACAATTCCAGACTGTTTATTCTGTCTCTTCAGTGCCTCTTTCAGTGATATGAAGTTAAATCTACGGACTGATTTTTGGTTCTTATGAAGGTGTTTCTTTCTGTGTAGACAGTTAACTTAATGTCCTTGCTGGGCCCAGGCTGGTGAGGGTGGGGAAGGCGGAGACAATCAGTGGAGCTTTCTATTCCACCATCTTACTCCACCTCTCTCTCAAATTTTTTATTTAAATGTGTTATTTTATTCTTTTTTTTTTTTTTTTTTTTTTGAGACAGAGTTTCCCTCTTGTTGGTCAGGCAAAACGAGTTAATTTTTTGAAAAGAGCTGTCCACTCAACTCATAGAAGGTCCCACAATCTGGGTTGGGCATGGTTGCTCACACCTGTAATCCCAGCACTTTGGCGAGGCGGGTGGATCACTTGAGGTCAGGAGTTCGAGACCAGCCTGGCCAACATGGTGAAATCCCGTCTCTACTAAACATACAAAAATTAGCCAGGCGTGGTGGTGCACGCCTATAATTTCAGCTACTCAGGATGCTGAGGCAGGAGAACCGCTTGAATCTGGGAGGCAGAGGCTGCAGTGAGCAGAGATCATGCCACTGTACTCTATCTAGCCTGGGCAACAGAGTGAGTGATATTCTGTCTCAAAAATAAGAGTCCCACAATCTGAAATTGTCTGATTGTTTCCTTCTGGGGATGTTTCACTTATTGCTCTATCCTTTGGATTTTCTATACACTGAAAGTTTAGTCTATGAAAAATAAAATCAGATCAAGTAGGACAAATTTAAAATTTTATTGTCATTTAAAACTACAGATCACAATCCAGGAGACTTCAAACCAAGTGGTAGGAAGTGCACTGTTTAATTAGCAGTTTCCACAGAGTTTAAGGAGAAAGTATTTTGATATTTTTTGTGATTGGCTATTATATTTTCTTTTTTTGGAAGGCAAATAGAGTTGTTTTAGCCAATCTGTTTATAGCTGTTTGATTTAATTTCACTGAATCATGCTGACAAGGCCATAAGACTTACATCTTGTATTTCATTTGTGACGAGAACTAGCATTTAGGGGAAATCAGGATGACTTAAAGTTTTGATTACATGGTTATGGGCAGTTGGCTTTAGGTTATCTCTAACCTGTGGTCTCCATTTTTCTTTTTCTTTTTTTTTTTTTTTTGAAACGGAGTCTTGCTCTGTAGCCCAGGCTGGAGTGCAGTGGCGCAATCTTGGCTCACTTCAACCTCCGCCTCCCGGGTCCCAGTTCAAGCAATTCTCCTGCTTCAGCCTCCTGAGTAGCTGGGACTACAGGCACGTGCCACCATGACCAGCTAATTTTTGTATTTTTAGTAGAGACAGGGTTTCACTATGTTGGCCAGGCTGGTCTTGAACCTCTGATCTCGTGATTCAACTGCCTTGGCTTCCCAAAGTGCTGGGATTACAGGCATGAGTGAGCCACCTTGCCCGGCCCATTTTTCTTTTTCTTTTCTTTTCTTTCTTTCTTTCTTTTTTTTTTTTTTAGACGGAGTTTCACTCTTGTTGCTCAGGCTAGAGTGCAATGGCGCGATCTCGGCTCACTGCAACCTCCACCTCCTGGGTTCAAGCGATTCTCCTGCCTCAGTCCCTCGAGTAGCTGGGATTACAGGTGCCTGCCACCACGACCGGCTAATTTTTTGTATTTTTAGTAGAGACTGGGTTTCATCATGTTAAACAGGCGGGTTTCATCATGTTGGACAGGCTGCTCTTGAACTCCTGACCTCAGATGATCCACCTGCCTCGGCCTCCCGAAGTGCTGGGATTACAGTCGTGAGCCATGGCACCTGGCCTCCATTTTTATTTTTCTTTAACAGGTCTAAAGCTGTGTTTAGATTCAGGTTAAATTATTTACCTCATCACAATAGAAGGCACATAATGTCAGGCGCGTCTACTATTCCTGACATGGGGTTTGATCATTGGGTTAGGGAATGACAGCTGATCTCTTCATTGCAAAGGTCATCAGCCACTAGTCCATGGAGTGATGCCTGGATACATTGTGAAAATCCAGTTCCACAGGTAATTCCCGATAAGAATTGCTATTGCTTTTGTTTTCCATTAATGACCTCTACCTGAATCAATTGTTCACGTAGGAACTGGGAGTTGCAAAATTGAAATTTTCTAGTTCTTTCATTAGTTTAACATTCACTAACTGGCATTTTTCTGTAAAAACGAGCTTTCTATCATCTCAACTGAACTTATTTGGTTTCACTGAAATACAATTCCTATTAAAAAGGCAAAATAATTGCTTAATTCTTTTCTTTTATTGACTGGTTTTTAGAGTAATGTATTTGGTGAAACAGTCATCTTCATTGGTCACAACTTTTTGTTTTGCTGTATGGGATTTCTCTTCTTTTGAGTATCAGCATAGACTTAAACATTTTAATATGTTCAATGTTTCAATAAATTATTATTATTTTTGTGATGCTTATATCATCACAAATTGGGTCATGTGGAGTCCCCGGGGACTGGCTCTCGTGTCCTTTGGACGTGGCTCTACTAGTCTCTAGATGTTTCCTTCTTTTCTGACACGAGCTGGCCCAGTCTCGCTTTGTACAGTCCCTGACCCTGATATTAAATAGGCTACTTCTCCAGTGGTCCTGGATTCCTTTTCAGAAAGAACAGTAAGAGAAACCAAATGATGGGACTGGCGGTCTAAGTTTCCTGGGGAAGGGGTAACCTTGCTTCTAGACCTTTCAATGGACAGAACTAGGAAACATATTTCTAAAAATCATATGCTTCTTGTTTAAATTAAATACTTACAGGCCTTTAAAAAACCTACATTTACCCTCTACTTGTATCTCATTTCTCTTATACTGAAAATCTTGGTTTCTAATAATATCAACACAATTATCTCTTGTGTTATCTTACAGTATACCTGTATAGTTTCAAATTACCTTATAAGTGTTAGTATTAACAAACTACTAAATGAGATTTAAGAGATTTAAGATTCCTTGGTAGTTTTTTGTTTTTGTTTTTGTTTTTGTTTTTTGCAATGGAGTCTCACTCTATTGCCCAGGCTGGAGTGCAGTGGTGCCATCTCGCCTCACTGCAACCTCCGCCTCCTGAGTTAAAGCGATTCTCCCGCCTCAGCCTCCTGAGTAGCTGAGCCAGGCATGCGCCACCACACCTGGCTAATTTTTGTATTTTTAGTGGAGATGAGGTTTCACCATGTTGGTCAGACTTGTCTCAAACTCCTGACCTCAAACGCTCTGCGTGCCTTGGCCTCCCAAAGTGCTGGGATTATAGGCATGAGCCACTGCGCCCGACCTGTCTTTAAAAAATAGATCCCAGTAATGACATACAGTCAAAGGACTATGTTACAGAGTCACTTGAAATATTTTTCTCAGTGGTTTCTTGTTTTGGCATATAGTTAGGGTCATTTCATTTCATGCCACTTAAGTTTAAAGCCTTAAATTTGCTAAGAAATAAGAAGTTGGAAAACACAGTTGGTCATTTACCTACACAATATTTCTATTCTTCCCCGTATGTGTTAAATAATTAGGTGTGATGGAATTTATATAGGTTGATCGAGTGTTAAAATTTATGGCAAGCATTGGGATCATCTAAGGACTTTTAGGTTCGTGGTAACCTTTGTTGTGTTGTATCTCCACAGATAAGCAGACCCTTTCAGAGACTGAGAGGGAAGATGCTAAGCGTGCTTGACTTTGGCGATGAGAAAAAGTGTTTGAGATGTCAGCCTGCAGGGTCAGATTGACTCAGGCAAGAATCCTAGTCCTGTCAGTTATTACCTGTGTAATCCTGGATGAGTTAACCTGGACCCTCAATTTTCTTATCTGTAACACAGTAATAATAATCATCTCACAGGGCTTCATTTCCCATCCGGGTTAAATGAAACCATGCATATAAAGCACTTTGCACGTTTCCCGGCACCATACATGTAGCTAATGTTATTAGGGTGGTAAATAAGACTGCACTTTTTCTCTAATTATTCTATTGGTTTTTCAAAAAAGTGTTTTTATAATGAGCATGGTTTGTCCTCATAATAGCAAACAAACAGCAAACTCCAATAATCTGGGGGTGAGGGTGAGAAGGAGAATGAATTCCCTATGGTAGTTTTGTGTATTGATCATTCCTCTGTGAATTTTTCTGTCCTTAATTATGTGACTTTAATGCCATCTAGTGGAAGGTGACAGAGTCTATTTCCTCAAGTAGCTTCATTTGATAAGGAAAAAATCCCATGTTTATTTTATGTAATAGATGGCTCAAGTTCCATTCCTTCCTTATTAAAGAAATGTTCAGAATCCATAGTCATCAATAAAGATATTTTTGGTGAAATTTATTTTAAGGGCATAGCCTTTAGTATTTTATGGGTGAAAAATTTCCTACAGAGAGGGTAGGTTTGTTTTATTCTCAAACTTTTCTCTTGTATTTTTTATTTGTATTTAAGATTTTACATGTCAATTTTTATGATAAATCTACTGAATTTGTTGTAACATAATGCTAGCAAATACGCAGGAGCTTGCAGTAAGACTATTCTTTTTAAGAGAAAGACCTGTTGTCGTTAAACACTTTTTTTATTTTGCCTTGATTTTTTTTTAAATACTGAATGTGGAATGAATATAAAGTCTCACTGATCATGAACCTAAGCTCATCCAGTTTCGTGGTGGCAGCAGGGAGCGCCAGGGAGCCAGGGGTCAGGTTGGGCTCCTGCTTTTCCATCCAGTGTGACCTCGAGTAGAGCCCCACACCCACTTCACGTGCACATGATCAGACTGGGTGAGAAGCTCTCTCACATTTCATCTTGTGGCATCCTTTAATCCTTAGCTTCGGATTTGTAAAGGAGAGTGAGACCTGCTCTTTACCACTGTAGCTTACCAGTTATAGGGGAGTCTAAGTCCTGATTTTTACTTTGAAATAGTTACGGTAATCTATCCATCCTGTTAGGATGCTCTTGGCTGCTGGGGCATTTCTACCCCTTCCTTGCTGCTACCCAGATGTAACCCTGGCCACACCTTGTATTGACTAGACTTCAGAAATTGTTTTATGTTTGAATTACTTTAATTTTATTGCTTTAGTTGAATCAGTGTCTCCTGACTCCAGCCACCTTGCTTTGGGTTTGCTGCTGAATTGGGCCAGCATATGCAGGAGGGCCCAGGGGGCCCGGCTCCCAACTTCCTGCCAGAGATGCAGATGGAGATCATGAGACACACCTTAATGAGGGTACCATTGCTCCAGCGTTGGCACTTGCTGTGTTTAGGTACCACAAAAAGAAAGTACAGCTGTCATGTCTGAAGGTTACTGACTCTCCAGAAATGAGGAAGGCCTACGTGGTCTTCTTGATCTTGCTGCTGCACAAATTGTTGACACCTGTCCCCTGTCCTGGCTCAGAGATGATCCCTTGTGGCAGGGATCAAAAGGACATGAGAGCCCGAATGTTGTCCTAAGTGGCGGTGAAATTCGTGTTTAAGTGTGGGCTCTGGATAGTTGGGGGGGTCCTGGCTCTGAATCTATTTCTTTGCTCTGTGCCCTTTCCTTGGTTACAAGTGATGAACCTCATTAGCCTGGTGTGTAACGCACGTGTAATAACAGCACCTGCTTCCTCCAGCCACAGGAGGAAGCTCATATGTGCTAAACGGTTAGCATATTGCTTGACATCTGGTTAGTGCTTAATACATTGTTATTAAAAGTTAACTGTTATATGTTATGTATATTAAATGAATAAAGTCTCACTGATCATGAACCTAAGCTCATCCAGTTTCGTGGTGGCAGCAGGGAGCGCCAGGGAGCTACCTTTAGGTAGCTACTAACAGAATGTCAGCTCTGGGGACATAAAGCCAAATGCCCAACATCTGTCTAGGTTTGTTATACATTTCTAGAGAATTGCATTAAGAAAATAAAACTAGGCAGGGCGTGGTGGCTCATGCCTGTAATCCCAGCACCTTGGGAGGCTGAGGTGGGTGGATCACCTGAGGTCAGGTGTTCGAGACCAGCCTGGCCAACATGGCAAAACCCCCGTCTCTACTAAAAATACAAAAATTAGCCAGGCGTGGTGATGAATGTCTGTAATCTTAGCTACTCGGGAGGCTGAGGTGGGAGAATCACTTGAACCCAGGAGGCAGAGGTTGCAGTGAGCCAAGATTGCACCACTGCACTCCAGCCTGGGTGAGAGAGCAAGACTCCCTCCCAAAAAAAGAAAAAGAAAAAGAAAAAAAGAAAAGAAAAGAAAACCAATCTAATTACAATATGGCAATCATCTGTGTATCTCCACGGCACATGGAGTGGGTGGGGCATTGGGTACAAGGTTGACCAGTTCATTCCGAGGCACCACACTGGGCTGGTGGGTCTCACTCACCCTTCTTGGTCTGTGAGGACCAGGTCTAGTAGCCATGGCCAGAGTCCCTTACACAGTGCAGCTTCTGTGTCCTGAGACCTTTACCACCCTGGAGACCCTAGAGAAGCAATGGGAAGAGCTCTGACCAGGGAGCAGGTGGGCGGCCTTCAGGTTCCCGTTTCACCAATTACCATCCAGGTGCCCTGGGGCACCTCCGTTTCTCTGAATGGTGAAACATGTCATATCTCAGAAAGGCTTTATAAAGAATAAAAAGAGATGCGTCAAAGTACTTTGTGATGTGCTACACAAGGATATTGGTTTTTTTTTCTTCCGCAGGAGACACTGAAGGAATATGTACACCTCTTAAAAAGAAATGATGTTCAATTAGCCTTTTACCAAAACTGAAAAATTTTTAAAATTTACTCTTCTTACACATATTTTTTTGAAGTCCCCTTAAAATGAAGTGCAGCCTACTCAGTCTCACTTTCTCCTTAGATATCGGTGTGGTTACAATGACCAGGGCTGCATACATTTTAGAATAACAAGTATTTAAAACTGTGCCAGATATCGTCTGCAGCACACATTTCTCCATCTGCTCTTCCAGGCCTTTGTATCTGCTCTTTTGTTCTGCGGGGATACAAACCTACAGGAGCAGCTGGGGTTCCATTAGCTTCTGCCAATTTGAGACTCTTGCATTAGGCAGGAGAAGGTGGGAGCCATTCTCTTTCTGACGGCACCTCTGGTGAGGCAGGGCTGTAGATCCCTGCTAGGGGCAGTAGCAGGGGACTGTGGAAAGCTGCAGGTCTGGCAGGAGCACCTGTCGCAGTGGCAGGTGCATGGGATTCTTCCTGCAAAGGTGGCAGCCGGCAGAAGACAGCTCCTGGAGCCCTGCACAGGATGGCAATGGGCACGGGATCCGGTGAGTTCCAGCTCTAGCGAGAGGTGGCAGCTCTGCAATCCCTGATATCACTGTAAAACGATGACAATCTTTAATATGTACTATTTTGTATCTAGATCTTTCATTCAACAATGTTTGTTAAATTCTTCCACATTGTTGCAAGTATTGATAGGGTTTTTGTTTGTTTGTTTGCTTGTTTGCTGTCGTCTATTCCATTGTGTGACTGTGCCATAATTTAACTATCCATCTCTCCCGTTGGTGGATATTTTCATTGTTTCCAGTGTTTTGACTATTAAATATAGCACTGCCAGGAACATCCTGTACAATGCTTTTGAGGAATATATGTATGGGTTTCAAGGCGTAGAATTACCTAGTCGTAGGGTAAGTTTATGTTCAGATTTCTTAGATATTCACAGTTTTCTAAAATGGTTGTACTAATTGACATACATATCATGTGTAAGATTTCTATTATAATAGTTGCTCTGATCCTTTCCAACTCTTGATATTGTCTAACTTTTCATCTTACTGGTTCCATACACTTTGGGTGGGTGGTAAATGTAGGATTCTATCTTCAGGATTTATAATTGTCAGGGTCCATAAACTGTATCTTGCCCTGAACCCTAATAGTCTGATTGGTAGTGGGCTTCGTTTTGCAGGATTGTATCACTGAATTTTAAAATCGTTGACATTTTCTTCACTCAGAGCTCCTGTTTCTCTTTTTTTTCTTCAGGAACTTTTTTTTTAATGCCTTCCAATACAAGTTTAATAAGAAAATAGTTGATTTATTTATTTCTATTATTATACTTTAAGTTCTAGGGTACGTGTGCACAACGTGCAGGTTTGTTACATATGTATACCTGTGCCATGTTGATGTGCTGCACCCGTTAACTCGTCATTTACATTAGGTATTTCTCCTAATGCTATCCCTCCCCGCTCCTCCCACCCCACGACAGGCCCCGATGTGTGATGTTCCCCACCCTGTGTCCAAGTGTTCTCATTGTTCAGTTCCCACGAGAACATGAGGTGCTTGGTTTTCTGTCCTTGTGATACTTTGCTCAGAATGATGGTTTCCAGCTTCATCTATGCCCCTGCAAAGGGACATGAGCTCATCCTTTTTTATGGCTGCATAGTATTCCATGGTGTACATGTGACACATTTTCTTAATCCAGTCTATCATTGATGGACATTTGGGTTGATTCCAAGTCTATGCTATTGTGAATACTGCCACAATAAACATATGTGTGCATGTGCCTTGATAGCAGCATGATTTATAATCATTTGGGTATATACCCAGTAATGGGATGGCTGGGTCAAATGGTATTTCTAGTGCTAGATCCTTGAGGAATCACCACACTGACTTCCACAATGGTTGAACTAGTTTACAGTCCCACCAACAGTGTAAAAGTGTTCCTATTTCTGCACATCTTCTCCAGCACCTGTTGTTTCCTGCCTTTTTAATGATCACTATTCTAACTGCTGTGAGCTGGTATCTCATTGTGCTTTTGATTTGCATTTCTCTGATGGCCAGCGATGATGAGCATTTTTTCATGTGTCTATTGGCTGCATAAATGTCTTCTTTTGAGAAGTGTCTGTTCATATCCTTTGCCCACTTTTTGATGGGATTGTTTGATTTTTTCTTGTAAATTTGTTTGAGTTCTTTGTATACTTTGGATATTAGCCCTTTGTCAGATGAGTAGATTGTAAAAATTTTCTCCCATTCTGTAAGTTGCCTGTTCACTCTGATGGTAGTTTCTTTTGCTGTGCAGAAGCTCTTTAGTTTAATTAGATCCCATTTCTCAATTTTGGCTTTTGTTGCCGTTGCTTTTGGTGTTTTAGACATGAAGTCTTTGCCCATGCCTATGTCCTGAATGGTATTGCCTAGGATTTCTTCTAGGGTTTTTATGGTTTTAGGTCTAACATTTAAGTCTTTAATCCATCTTGAATTAATTTTTGTATAAGGTGTAAGGAAGGCATCCAGTTTCAGCTTTTTACATATGGCTAGCCAGTTTTCCCAGCACCATTTATTAAATAGGGAATCCTTTCCCCATTTCTTGTTTTTGTCAGGTTTGTCAAAAATCAGATGGTTGTAGATGTGTGGTATTATTTCTGAGGGCTCTGTTCTGTTCCATTGGTCTATATCTCTGTTTTGGTACGAGTACCATGCTGTTTTGGTTACTGTAGCCTTGTAGTATAGTTTGAAGTCAGGCAGCATGATGCCTCCAGCTTTGTTCTTTTGGCTTAGGATTGTCTTGGCAATGCAAGCTCTTTTTTGGTTCCATATGAACTTTACAGTAGTTTTCTCCAATTCTGTGTAGAAAGTCATTGGTAGTTTGATAGGGATGCAATTGAGTCTATAAATTACCTTGGGCAGTATGGCCATTTTTACAATATTGATTCTTCCTATCCATGAGCATGGAATGTTCTTCCATTTGTTTGTGTCCTCTTTTATTTCGTTGAGCAGTGGTTTGTAGTTCTCCTTGAAGAGGTCCTTCACATCTCTTGTAAGTTAGATTTCTAGGTATTTTATTCTCTTTGAAGCAATTGTGAATGGGAGTTCACTCATGATTTGGCTCTCTGTTTGTCTGTTATTGGTGTATAGGGATCCTTGTGATTTTTGCACATTGATTTTGTATTCTGAGACTTTGTTGAAGTTGCTTATCAGCTTAAGGAGATTTGGGGCTGAGACGATGGAGTTTTCTAAATATACAATCATGTCATCTGCAAAGAGGGACAATTTGACTTCCTCTTTTCCTAATTGAATACACTTTATTTCTTTCTCTTGCCTGATTGCCCTGACCAGAACTTCCAACACTATGTTGAATAGGAGTGGTGAGAGAGGGCATCCCTGTCTTGTGCCAGTTTTGAAAGGGAATGCTTCCAGTTTTTGTCCATTCAGTATGATATTGGCTGCGGGTCTGTCATAAATAGCTCTTATTATTTTGAGATAGGTCCCATCAATACCTAGTTTATTGAGAGTTTTTAGCATGAAGGGCTGTTGAATTTTGTCAAAGACCTTTCTGCATCTATTGAGATAATCATGTGGTTTTTGTGTTTGGTTCTGTTTATATGAAGGATTACATTTATTCATTTGTGTATGTTGAACCAGCTTTACATTCCAGGGATGAAGCCAACTTGATGGTGGTGGATAAGCTTTTTGAAGTGCTGCTGGATTTTGTTTGCCAGTATTTTATTGAGGATTTTTGCATCGATGTTCATCAGGAATATTGGTCTAAAATTCTCTTTTTTTGTTGTGTCTCTGCCAGGCTTTGGTATCAGGATGATGCTGGCCTCATAAGATGAGTTAGGGAGGATTCCCTCTTTTTCTATTGATTGGAATAGTTTCAGAAGGAATGGTACCAGCTCCTCTGAATCTCTGGTAGAATTCAGCTGTGAATCCGTCTGGTCCTGGACTTTTTCTGGTTGGTAGGCTATTAATTATTGCCTCAATTTCAGAGCCTGTTATTGCTCTATTCTGGGATACAATTTCTTCCTGGTTTGGTCTTGGGAGGGTGTATGTGTCCAGGAATTTATTCATTTCTTCTAGATTTTCTAGTTTATTTGCATAGAGGTATTTATAGTATTCTCTGATGGTAGTTTGTATTTCTGTGGGATTGGTGATGATATCCCCTTTATCATTTTTTATTGCATCTATTTGATTCTTCTCTCCTTTCTTCTTTATTAGTCTTGCTAGCAGTCTATCAATTTTGTTGAACTTTTCAAAAACCAGCCCCTGGATTCATCGGTTTTTTTGAAGGGTTTTTTGTATCTCTATTTCCTTCAGTTCTGCTCTGATCTTAGTTATTTCTTGCCTTCTGCTAGCTTTTGAATGTGTTTGCTCTTGCTTCTCTAGTTCTTTTCATTGTGATGTTAGGGTGTCAATTTTAGATCTTTCCTGCTTTCTCTTGTGGGCATTTAGTGCTATAACTTTCCCTCTACACATTGCTTTAAATGTGTCCCAGAGATTTTGGTATGTTGTGTCTTTGTTCTCATTGGTTTCAAAGAACATCTTTATTTCTGCCTTCATTTCATTATGTACCCAGTAGTTATTCAGGAGCAGGTTGTTCAGTTTCCATGTAGTTGAGCAGTTTTGAATGAGTTTCTTAATCCTAAGTTCTAGTTTGATTGCACTGTGGTCTGAGAGACAGTTTGTTATAATTTCTGTTCTTTTACATCTGCTGAGGAGTGCTTTACTTCCAACTATGTGGTCAATTTTGGAATAAGTGCAATGTGGTGCTGAGAAGAATGTATATTCTGTTGATTTGGTGTGGAGAGTTCTGTAGATGTCTATTAGGTCCTCTTGGTGCAGAGCTGAGTTTAATTCCTGGATATCCTTGTTAATGTTCTGTCTCGTGGATCTGTCTAATGTTGACAGTGGGGTGTTAAAATCTCCCATTATTATTGTTTGGGAGTCTAAGTCTCTTTGTAGGTCTCTAAGGACTTGCTTTATGAATCTGGGTGCTCCTGTATTGGGTGCATATATATTTAGGATAGTTAGCTTTTCTTGTTGAATTGATCCCTTTACCATTATGTAATGGCCTCCTTTGTCTCTTTTGACTTTGTTGGTTTGAAGTCTGTTTTATCAGAGACTAGGATTGCAACCCCTGCCTTTTTTTTTGTTTTGTTTTCCATTTGCTTGGTAGATCTTCCTCCATCCCTTTATTTTGAGCCTATGTGTGTCTCTGCATGTGAGATGGGTCTTTTGAATACAGCACACTGATGGGTCTTGACTCTTTATCCAATTTGCCACTGTGTGTCTTTTAATTGGAGCATTTAGCCCATATACATTTAAGGTTAATATTGTTATTTGTGAATTTGATCCTGTCATTATGATGTTAGCTGGTTATTTTGCTCGTTAGTTGATGCAGTTTGTTCCTAGCCTCGATGGTCTTTACAATTTGGCATGTTTTTGCAGTGGCTGGTACTGGTTGTTACTTTCCATGTTTAGTGCTTCCTTCAGGAGCTTTTGTAAGGCAGGCCTGATGGTGACAAAATCTCTCAGCATTTGCTTGTCTGTAAAGGATTTTATTTCTCCTTCACTTATGAAGCTTAGTTTGGCTGGATATGAAATTCTGGGTTGAAAATTCTTTTTTTTAAGAATGTTGAATATTGGCCCCCACTCTCTTCTGGCTTGTAGAGTTTCTGCTGAGAGATCAGCTGTTAGTCTGATGGGCTTCCTGTTGTGGTAACCCCACCTTTCTCTCTGGCTGCCCTCAACATTTTTTCCTTCATTTCAACTTTGGTGAATCTGACAATTATGTGTCTTGGAGTTGCTCTTCTCGAGGAGTATCTTTGTGGTGTTCTCTGTATGTCCTGAATTTGAATGTTGGCCTGCCTTGCTAGGTTGGGGAAGTTCTCCTGGATAATATCCTGAAAAGTATTTCCAACTTGGTTCCTTTCTCCCCCTCACTTTCAGGTACACCAATCAGATGTAGATTTGGTCTTTTCACATAGTACCATATTTCTTCGAGGCTTTGTTTATTTCTTTTTACTCTTTTTTCCCTAAACTTCTCTTCTTGCTTCATTTCATTCATTTGATTTTCAATCACTGATACCCTTTCTTCCATTTGATCAAATCGGCTACTCAAGCTTGTGCATGTGTCATGTAGTTCTTGTGCCATGGTTTTCTGCTCCATCAGGTCATTTAAGGTCTTTTCTATGCTGTTTATTCTAGTTAGCCATTTATCTAATCTTTTTTTCAAGGTTTTTAGCTTCTTTGCGATGTATTCGAACATCCTCCTTTAGCTCGGAGAAGTTTGTTATTACCAATCGTCTGAAGCCTTCTTCTCTTAACTCGTCAAAGTCATTCTCTGTCCAGCTTTGTTCCATTGCTGGTGAGGAGCTGTGTTCCTTTTGGGGAAGAGAGGCGCTCAGAGCTCCTGTTTCTGAAAGGAGAGCTTTATATAGCCTAACACAGCTATATACAGTACTCTAACACAGACCCAAAATCCAGGTTCTAGGGGAACATTTTTTCAGCATAAATCAAAGATGTGAACAAGGACTTGAGCAAAAGTGAAATACAAGACTTGAAAAGGTAGCCACAAATGTTCTCCATAACACTACTCACAGCTGCTTCCATTTTGACACAGAGAACAGAAAGTCCTTGAGCACAGTTTTGCAGACTGCTGCGTGCAGCGAGGGTAACCTGGCAGAGTGGCTGAAAGTGTAGGGTTTGTGTTTGGGATGATCTAGTCTTCAATTCTGCTCCACCATGACTTGTTACTAATCAAGTTACTTCACCTTGCTAAGCTTTAACTTCCTTATGTGTTAAATTGGGGATTAGTCGACAGTCACTACCACAGGGCATTATAAACACCAAATGTGATAATTCATGGAAAAGCATTTAGCTCAGTAACTGGCACTCAGGAAGCCCTCAATATTTGTTAGCTATCACATTTTTCTTTGGGCGGTTATTAGATATTGTGACATCTTTTTAAATTGCTATAATAACCTTAAATATGTTAATTTTTAATTCTATAATTTTTTTGTTTTTCTTCATTATTAAAGCAATATGTACATGATGCTAAACAGTTTAAAGTGAAACATCAAAATCTCCTTCTTCCCTGTAACCCAACCTATTCCCTAGAGGTAACTCCCTTTAATTCTTCCTGTGATAGAACTTCTGAAGTTTCCTCTCTAACTCTAAATGATATACTTATACCATTTTTCTTTTTTTTGATTAGTTGCTATTTTTATCAAAGCAGTACCAAAAGCTTAGAACACGAACTTGTTGCCTTTCCTGCGCACCTGCCCTGTTCTGTTGTACAGAGATGATTACTTTTAAACTCTTTCACCTGATTTTAAAAATATTTATCTCCACATGTTATGACTTGATTCAAAGACTTTAGCTTTGTCTTATTGGCTTCATTTAAGAGAGATGAGATTCTGGCTCATTTATCCTAACTCCCAACCCATTTTTCTGGTATAGCATCTTTATTTTTATTTAAATCTACCTTCAGGGTTTTTAACTATTTTAATAGTGTAAATATTATTCACTGCTGATGATGCAGAGTGGTATGATTACATTTTCTTTTCTGTAGACATTTACTTTTCCAAGTTTCCAAGTGCCTCATCTTTTCAATTTACGTAGGTTTTCTTCTCATTTGCCTAAGACGCTCCTTATTCCTGTACTCTCTGAAGATGTATCAATACAATTCTTCACACAATCTACCTGTCAGTTAAGAAGTTAACTAGCTGTGCGTGTGTGTGTGTGTGTGTGTGTGTGTGTGTGTGTGTGTCTGAGAAACTGCTTCTGGACTCCTTTTAACTTTCTTTAAGCCAGGCTGGCTGCTCTGAAGGTATCTGGGGATTTTCCTTTGCCATAATCCAGATAATTTCTTTCTCCTCTTTGCTTATTGAATCTCCTCCTTTGTGGGTCTCTTATCTGTCTTGTTCCTGGGTTATTCGCTTCTTTTAAAGTAGAGCACCTGTTGCTTCCCAAGAAAGGGAGGTATGTGGTTTTGAGAATTTCATAAATTGAAAATTCTACCCTTACTTTGATTAGTAGTCTGTTTGGGTATAGGCTTACAGATTTGAATTATTTTTACTCAGAATTTTGAAGATTTTTTCTTTCATTGCACTCCTGTTTCAAAACCAGCTGAGAAGTCCAATGCTATTTTTAATTGTTGAATCTTGGGTTAGGATGTATTTTTTTTTATACTTGAAAGTTTTTGAGGTCTTCGTTGTGTTCTTGGTGTTCTAAAGATTCATGATTATAAAGCTTCTGTTTCATTATTTTGAACATACAGAGGGCCTTTTCTTTCCAGAGACTCAGATCCTTTGAATATGGGAAGTAATCGTATTGTCATTTAAAAAAAAAAATCTTACATCATTCTTCTTTGCTTGCTCTTTCTATAATGCCTTCTGGTCACATATTGGACATCCTGGATTGATCCACCATTTCCTTATCTTTTCTGTCCCATTCTCTCTTTTTCTTAATGTTATACTTTCTGGAAGAATTCCTTGACTTTGCATTTCAGTCCTTCTATTGATTTTTTTGTTTGTTTTCCCAGATATTTTTAACACTTAAAAAAATCAGCATAAGCCTGAGGTAAATGGTGAAACTCCGTCTCTACAAAACGCAAAAACAGCAAAATTAGTCGGGCATGGTAGCATATGACTGTGGTCTCAGCTATTGGAGAAGCTGAATTGGGAGGATCGCTTGAGCCCGGGCTGTTGAGGCTACAGTGAGCTGAGGGCGTGCCACTGCACTCCAGCCTGGGTGACAGAGTGAGACCCTGTCTCTCTCTCTCTCTCTCTCTCTATATATATATATATCGATATATATATATCAATGTACTTTCATATTTTCTGTTTGTTCCTTTAAAATATATATATTTAAAGACAAGATCTCACTATGCTAACCAGGCTGGCCTCAAGCTCTCCTGGGCGTAAGGAATTCTCCTGCCTCGGCCTCCTAAGTACCTAGGAACCTGGGAATACAGGTATAAGCCCCCATGCCTGGCTTCCTGGTTTTTCCTTTTTGTAGCTTCCTGTTCTTGTTTCATGGTTGTAAAGTTCTCTCTTACCTTTTTAAGGATATTAACTATAATTGTTTTGAAATAATATTTCACATCCTATGTTGCCTCTGTTTCCTTTAAGTTCCTTTCTTATTTTTTACATTTTAATCATTTTGATATTTATCTTTCATGGTGGAGCCTGTCATTAAAGGTGAGCCTTGGCTGATCATATTTAGGTGTGAGACAATAAAGAGTTGGTTGAAAGCTGCATCAGTATGTGTGTGTTTATGTGCTTGTGTGTGTGTACACACATGTGGAAAGCAGGTCATCTTTTGAGTTGACCCTCAAATGTCAATTCAGAAAAAAATATGAAGGCAAGTTCCTTTTCTGTCTTTCTTTTTTTTTTTTTTTTTTTTTTTTTTGAGACAGAATCTTTCTCTGTTGCCCAGGCTGGAGTGCAGTGACACAATCTCAGCTGCTCATTGCAACCTCAGCCTCCCAGGTTCAAGTGATTCTCCTGCCTCAGCCTCCCAAGTAGCTGGGGATTACAGCAGCTCACCACCATGCCCAGCTAATTTTTGTATTTTTAGTAGAGATGGGGTTTCACCACGTTAGCCAGGCTGCTCTTGAACTCCTGACCTCAAGTGATCCGCCCACCTTAGCCTCCCACGGTGCTGGGATTACAGGCATGAGCAATTTTCAAAGAGGGATCTCTTGTTTTTCTGCCTGGGTGCAGGGACTGCTAGTAATGCTATGGAGCTGGGGGGAAGAAGAGGACTTGTACCTCACCGTTCACTTTGCGACTTTTACTCAATCCCCCTGGCTTGAGTCAGGCATTTGTTCCAACTTCCTCTGTCCCTCACACTCTTGAGTCTGAGACTCTCTGGTAATGTGTTATCTTTTACGGGTATGAGGTACTGATTTGAAAACATTGGTTGGCAATGGAAATATGGGGACCTGACTGCTCTTTTACATGGATTTTAAAGCCATCCCTTTGTCTTTAGACCCCTACCTCATCCCCACCTAACTTGACAGTTGGTGCTTTCAATTCTTAAAGATGTTATTAGTGTGTTCCCAATGGCATGTTAAGCATAAAATTCTCTAAAGATCAGCAAATTGTATTAATTCTATAAAATGACAAGTCCTTTAAGCATCTGGGGAGCCTATTCTCAGCATTTCCTGTAACCTCTACCCCCACCTTAATCATCAGCTCCTCTATCCCTGAACATCTAAGCTTCAAACCTCAGGAGAAGGTACAGTATTTATAAAGCAATCACTAAAACCAGATCTCCTGACCTAGTCTTGTGGAATGTGGGTCTAAGCGTTAGACCCAGACCTCCCTGAGGTAAGACTCAAAGACTCTTTTACCAGATAACAGGAAAAACCATTTTGTGTGGAAACCAAAATGTGTATGGAGTTGAGTGCGTGTTTGTAACCTTCTGTGAGAAGGCAGGGTAATCCTCAGACACTTGAGTGTCACAGACAAGGAAATGAGTAGAAAAGAATTCCTCTTGTTCTTTGGGGGAAGGATTCTTGATCTGGTTCTACTGCAGGCACAGCAGTGGTGTGGGTAGTGGACACGCTGCCTCCAGAAAGCCCCTGACAGACAGCACCTCCCGAGCACTCAGTAGCCCAGCTGAAGACTTTTGGGGAATCCTTACAGCATTTGTCCCTAATGGGGAGCCCCCTCGGCCGAGCTGGGCCAGCCACAGGTAACTTAATCATCAAGACACCTTAACTGCTGCTCCACAAGCCCTGCAAATGGAAAGCTCGAAGACAGACACAGGCAATTTGCTCACACAGAGAATCGCACTTTTCCAATGAACTGCCGTTCCACATGGCAGGACTTTTAAACAATCACTCATTTTGAACAAAATCAAATCTTACATCAAGTCAAAGCAAGATGAATACAAAAATTCTTTCAAAAAGTTACCTGGGGTCCAGAACCTGCCTTGAAGGAGTTGGGGTTTTACCTTCCAAGTACATTCCTTTAAGACCAGGGGTTATCAAATTACTAATTACAAAGGACATTTGAGCAGATTAGAGCTAACAACGCCAGCCACTTGGAACGATGGCTGTATTAGGTTCCTGTCATGTGCATGACTGTAATGTTGCCCATGGCTACAGCAGTCTGAACCTCTCAAAACCCTGTAGCTCCTGCAGGCTGGACCTCCAGCCTCTGAAATAAACATCAGTGATGCTTGAGTCAGTAACAGCGTTCTTCCCAAAAAAGAAGGTCAGGAGCTCAACCTTTGCTTAAGTAAGGTGGATGTACCCCGTTTTACTCTACAAAACTGCTGCTTTCTGGAAAAAGTCAATAGCCATATCATGTTTCCTGTATGGTAACTGATTAAATGCTGTCAAAAACCAGATGGATCCTTTTGGTTCTGATGTTACCTGAGGCGTCATTGAAAAACACATACATTGCCAGGTTTAGGGTAGCAGTGCAGAAGTGGGCAGGGCAGCGCACCTCTGGCTCAGGGCAGTGTCCTGAGACAGTTTCCTGTGGACACTGCCCTGAGCCTACAAGACTGGGTGGGGAAAGGGACTGATTCTCTGTCCTCCCTCGGCAATCTTATAGAAATGTGCCAAAACAAAGGGTTTTATTTTTATTTATTTAGTATTTTTTTTTTTTTTTTGAGATGGAGTCTCACTTTGTTGCCCAGGCTGGAGTGCAGTAGGGTGATCTCGGCTCACTGCAGCCTCCGCTTTCTTGGTTCAAGCGATTCTCCTACCTCAGCCACCCAAGTAGCTGGGATTTCAGGTGTGTGCCACCTTGCCTGGCTAATTTTTGTATTTTTAGTAGAGACAGGGTTTCACTATGTTGACCAGGCTTGTCTTGAACTCTTGACATCAAGTGATCCGCCCACCTTGGCCTCTCAAAGTGCTGGGATTACAGGCATAAGCCACCACACCTGGCCCAAACAAAGTGATTTTTGAAGAGCTTTTTATTTATTGAAGCAGTATTATTTCCACACACGGCATTTCAAAGAGGGAGCCATAAATATTGTATAATTCCTCTAAATACCAAATTACCTTTTTTCAAACAGGAAGAAAAAAGATTTAAAAAAGTGTATCTCATAGTAATTTTTCTGGTGGATAAATCTATATGAAATTGCTGTGAAGGATGAGGTAATCAGAAGGCATTTTATAGGTTTAAAGACACAGGTTAAAATATATTTTTTTATAGGTTAGTCATATTGAATAAAAGGATTTTTAAAAACCATCTATATCACTTCTTAGGCAAGAGATTGTTGATTTTTTCTTTTGGACTGAAGCCATTGGAGGGCAATTTAAATCAAGTTGGTAGAAATTTGCTTTTCTTTAAAATTGGGTTTTTAAAAATGTCCTATCCACTTTGCTAAAGTGGAGTGGCACTTTATTGCGGATTTATTTACATGTTGTTAATGTCTCCTTTTGAAATTTTTTTTAAGAAATAAAATGTCCCAATCTGTTGATGCATTTCAGTCTCCTTTCCCTGAAGGTTCAGAGAAAAATAGGAAGTAGACACATCTAATATTAATGTGTACATTCAAAACGAACAGTCAGCTCTAATTTTAGGCCTATCAACCTTGACAGCTCCTTTTTAATCACTTGGATTTGAACAGATATGCAAATACAGGAATAAGAAGTAAAGAACTCACAATTTAGAAGTCACATCAGTGCTAAAATTGCTTGAGAAGTGCATAGATTTGTAATTTGTTCATTACGCTCTGATTCCAGAAATCTATGGTTTTATTAAAAACGGAAAGCAGAAACCATCTAGAATGTGCCATTCCATATAAATGGTGTGCTTATTTGTAAATGCCCCATCTGAGAAGCCACAGATGTCTCCTACACAGAGATTTCTAAACCTGCCTGTGAATGGAGTGTTCACTCACACTCTGGCACTGAGACTGTGAAGGCTGGTAAGTAAATGAAGCCTTCTAGCATCTTTCTCCGTAATTCCTTGTTGGCCGAGATAGGCCTTTTGGAAGCTCCATAAAGAGTCTTTAATATGTGAACTTCACCGTTTCTTCACTCCCAGATCAAAGTTAGTCAAGTACTGTGTACTAGTTGAGTAATAATATAGTTTGACCTTGACACAAATGGAGGATGGGATGTAAGAGTCCAAAATGTATACCTCCTGGGAGTCAAATGAAACTCAGTATTCTACAGTCATGTGTGACGTTAACACAGAAATGACAGAACGTTTAGCCCGGTGAGCCCTATATCTTATTTTCTAGAGGAAGCAGGACAGTGGGTGGCTGGGCGCAGTCTCACGGCGCTTCATGAAACGCCTCTCCTTGAGCTCCTGATGCCAGATTGGGTGCCGCTGCGAGTCATCCATCTTCCAGGCTAGTAAACCCTGTATGATCAATTCCTCTGCAGAGCATGGTCATAAAATTTTTCAGCGGTAACTGCAGAATTCTCATGTCACGAAACATCAGGAACTCATGCATTATGATCAATGTTTAATCAAAGACAAGAATTAAAATATACAGCAAAGGCATGCCATGGAGGGAGAGACACTGCTGAAATGCCTGTGCCCACCAGACACAAAGCAGGTCCAGCTGGGTGGCTAATGGTCCTGGCCATGTTCTTTGTGCGGCTTCTATGCAATGACTTCAGGCTTCGCTGGACACATCCTCCGCCCCGCTCCCACCCCACTCCACCCAGCTGGCCCTCATCCTATGAAAACTCCACATTAGCACTAATTTCTCTCTGCTGGAATTCTCTGACAATCGTGCTTGAACACACCAGGCAGGGAGACCTAAGCCACCTACTCGAGAGCCAGTGCTAGGTGCTAGGTGTCTCAGATGCTAGGTGCTAGGTGTCTCAGATGCTAGGTGTCTCAGAGACAGTGGCCCATGGAGGGTGCTCTGCGTTGGCCCCGAATTCCGGGGCAGAGAAGTGGCAGTATTCTCTCTGCAACCTTTGAAGCTAGAAGTTTAGGATTGGGATGGCAGCCACCCACTCTGGAAGGAGTTCCAGGGCAGTTGACGCCTCATTAGTGCTCAGCTTAGTCATAGAAGAACCCTGAAGAGAACTGGAATGCATCATTATTTATATGGCCCATAGAAGGGAGACGCATGTCACTTGTTTGGTGCCAGTTCTTCTTCATATTTTATGAATAATGCTATAATAAGGGGAAAATTAAAACAATAGTGTGTCGCGAAGCACTCTGACTTAGGAGGGAATTCAGGAAGAAGGGAAGTCTTGCTTTAAAGGCCAAAACCTGAAAATATCCAGGGCACTGATGAATGCTGCCTATTTCAGAATTTCTCCCCATCTCCCCTGTGCTGTATTTTCTAAGCCCTGGATTCGGGCCCCTCCTGCACATTCCGCGCGGCTGTGATGGGTGTGCTCCTGTGATTTGAATTGGCTGTCTTCACTCCCATTTTCCAACATGAGCCAATAGTAGTTGTAAGTTCTTGATGGAGTTATTTTGGCAGTCGAGAGGCTGACAAGTCATTTTTTTCCACTGTCATCTAACACTTGCTTTCTCTTTTCTTTTTTTCTGCTTTCCCCTTCCCTAGGACTCCTGCACACACACAGGTGTACTCGTGACAGGGTCCTCTGGTGTGGCATGTTCTTTTTAGCACACAATTCGATGGCTTCATCTAATTCTTACTCAACAGGTAACTCCCTGCATCGTTGGCATTATATTTTATATGGGCGAAAGACTGCCATTGTTCCCTGATACCTCTCAGAGATGTTGTATCCTTTTTATAAAGAATGAAAACACTTTTACAGAGAATTGCCTGAATCAGTATTTTTGGAAGACTTGTGGGCTATCATTATAAAAAATGGTCAGACGTACTCTCTCTATATATTAGTATTTCAAAGTTAATGAGCCAATCATTTGAATTCCATTCTTGAGGTAAGTGTTTTTTTCTTTTTTTAAGAAAGAAATGTATATTTAAGCATTATCTACCACTACCAAATGTTCTCTGGGCCTTTAATTTGCATCTCAGGGGCACTGGCATGTTGACAAAATTATGGTAAACAGTATTTTTAAATGCCAGGTAATGTACTTTTGATATTAATGTTTACATTAATATCAAAATTGAAAAAATATATAAAGTACCATTTAAAAATGCCATATTTGGTAAAACTTAAATATATACATACACATCAGTTTATAAGAATATATGTATAAACACATACCTATATACAGGCATACATTTGCACATACACAAATATATACGTACGCATAGTTTTTTTTAAAAAAGTTATGTCTTTTGCTTGGCATTTCCATTTTTTTGTTTCACAAGATCTCAGTCATCTGTCACTTTGCCGGAGTGGATTGGTTTCTTAGTGGGCTCCTAGGGGGTTATTACATTTTATTTGCTGGTATTGAAACCCTGACTTATTATTTCTTGAGGATGGGTTTGAATGTAAATTAAAAATATTAAATAGCCATAGGAAAAATGACTCACATCCTCTGCAGATTTCAATATGTGCTTTTAGTTATTTTGTTTGATCTCTAATTCCTTTAACTTACATGTTTTAACTCATCCTACCAAGAATTAGATTTCGTCTAAAAATAAAATTTCTGTGAATGTTTATAGCTAATTGAGCTGTGCCTTTCCCTGCCTCCGAGTTATACTCTCCAGTGTGAATGTTTTTGCTTCTGAGTAAATGTCAGCAAACAAACATCTTGTGTTGAAATGAAATAAAGCCTCCTAAAAGCATACACTATTCAGTATTGTGTTTAAGTCTGTAATCTTTCTTAACGTTTTTTACTCTGTGCATCTAATTTCTAGCATATTTTAGTTTGATTTAGGGGTTTGTGGAATCTTTGTGATATTTATTTACTTAGCAAATAAACTTATTATTATAAACTAAATTAATATTGTATTGATTACAATCTTTTAAAATTAATATTGTTAAATTATTTTCAATTGAACTTTGATCATGATCACTTACTATGATAATCAAAATATAGCCCATAGGTCTTTTTATTTTATAATATTAGAGCTATTTTTGCTTAAAATATGGACTGGGAAAATGTCATTGAGCTTATGTATGGGGGAGGGCCATTGCCTGGATACTCCACAACAAGGTTCTTCTATCCAAAAATGGCATCACCTCTTACTGGGTAGGTAGCTCTGAGGAATATCTTTAGCTTGTGAGGTGAGAAGCATGGGGACAGCTGGGGCTGACAGATGCACATCGTCAGCACCAAGCTGCACATGCTGCAGCCCAGCCACTTTCATGTCTATGATTAAAATTTACGAAATGGAGAAAAATACTCACGGAAGTGAACTGTTCAAGTACAATGCATTTAAAGCAATTACTCCTTGAGACTAGTGCGAATAGATATTAATGTGTAGATGAAGCCCCAATAATGAAAATAGGCCAGGTGCAGTGGCTCACACCTGTAATCCCAGCACTTTGGGAGGCCAAGGTGGGTGGATTGCCTGAGTTCAGGAGTTCGAGACCAGACTGACCAAAATGGTGAAATCCTGTCTCTACTAAAAATACAAAAAGTAGCTGGGTGTGGTGACACATGCCTATAATCCCAGCTACTCGGGAGGCTGAGGCAGGAGAATCACTTGAACCAAGGAGGCGGAGGTTGCAGTCAGCTGAGATCGCACCACTGTACTCCAGCCGGGGCAACAGAGTGAGACTCTGTCTCAGAAAATAATAATAATAATCAAAATAATTTAGTTCTGAAAAAGCAATGAACAGCCGGTGGAACAGAACAGCAAGTTACTAAAAGAATCAACTAAAAAGGTAATTTACAATATAATACAGATAAGCTCTTCCAATAAACAGGGGAAAGAAGGATAATTTATGAAAATGCACAACAAAATTATAGACTGGCCTTTCTTTCTTTCTAAAGGCCAGTCTAAGTAAGGGAGCATGAGTGGGGGTGGGAAGAGAGATCTGTTTACTTCTTACATCATAAGCAATTCCAGGCCAGTTGAGGAGTAAAGCAAAATAAAATGAAATCAAGCCCTAAGAAACCAAAAAGAAAAAATATTACACACGAATTTATTTAAAATCTGGCAGTATGGAAAGGCTTTTAAGCAAAACACTAAATGCAAAAGCCATAAAAGAAAATTGAAACATTTTATTACTTATAAAATTAACATTTTCACATGGAAAAGAAAAATCTTAACTAAAGTCAAACGACAAGTGACAAACTGAGAAGCAGTATTTGTGACCTATATGGCAAATAAAGAGCTAATTTTCTTAATCTACAAAAAGCTTATAAAATAAAGACAGACAAACAGCCCACTAGGAAATCAAGCAAAGTAATTAAACATGAGTTTCATGGCAAAAAAAGTCTACTGACTAATTAACCTAAGAAAATCTTATGCATAGTTAAAGAAATGCAAATAAATATAATGATATACCATTTTTTTTTTCATCTAACTGGCTGAGAATTTGACAGCATCCACTGCTAGCCTAAATGTGAAATTTAAAACCGCAGCTACTGTTGGTCAGAATATAACTTAGGACAACAATTTTTATAGGGCTATATTCTAATATTTTAAAATAAAAAAATTATAAACCAAGAGATCTGCTTTCAGCAATGAGAAAGTCCCTTGTTTCAGACTTAAGAGCTACAGTTAGATATAGTCACATAACAGCTACAAGCATAGCAGTTACAGTATACATACATAACTGTTACAAAACATTTCTTAAACAACTATTTGAATACACTAGAAAGTGACCAAAAGAAGGCAGAAAGTGGAAAGGGTTGATCTTTGAAATAAAGGAAATACATTGGGTGAGATTTGCCTTTATACAGCCTTTTCCTTGAAGTTTTGTGCTGTGGGGTAGCTGGCGATGAAGCAGGAATCCACAGACTTAATTGGTGTGAGTATTCAAATGATAGAATTCAGGCTTGCCCCTGCGGCTGGAATGTAAGGGTGGGAGGGAAGAGGATATCCTGAAAAAGAGGGAGCTGCAGAGGGAGGAAACCCAAAATCTGAATATGAACCCCACTCAAATTCTTGGCGAACATCTGAAATACCCATGCATAAGAAGGAGACCTGAGAGAAAGCAACAGATGGGAGATGGAAAAAAGACGAGTGGAGATTTTAGCTTCAGCTCACCCCAGGGAAGTCTACAGTTTAATTCAGCCAAGTTTATTGCATGCTAGGAAAAATATCAAAAATCTTCAAAGCAACAAAACAGAATCCAGAGTCTCTGCTATTATCATCCACTTATTTGTTCAGCATATAATGAAAAGTTGCTAGACATGGGAAGAAACAGGCAAACATGACCCATAGTGAAGAGGAAGGAAAGACAATAGAAACTGATTCTCTCAAGTGACCCAGATGTTGGGTAACTCCAACATAATAATCATAATAAACCAGAGTCCCAAACAATCATTTAATCATTTAGAAAAATGTAACCACCAACTTCAAAATTTTAAAAATTTTCTATTCTTTTGTAAAGATGTATATGTGTACAATGCTACATATATTTTCAGATAGATGGAAAATATAAAGTATTACTTTTCCTTATTACCTAGTTGAGATGTCTTTCTCTAGGAGGACATTAAGTATGTAAAAATATATAAAGAACTCTGACAACTCAATATGTAGGCAAATAACCCAGTTTAAAACTTAAGCTCTTGTCTTCCAGCCATACCCACTCTGCTTTCTCTGCTTCGTGATGCTGGGGCTGGGACCCAACAAACCCCATGTTTGTTTCGCCAGCTGCTCCCTGTGGGGAACTGCCAATAGAGGGCGCTAGCGGGAGGCTGCAAGGCTGAGAGATGGAGGCGGGACTCTGCTTTCTGTTCCTATCAGCATCAGTTTGTTCCAGGAGAAGCAGTTGATTCGTTTTCAGTTCTTCCACCAACGTCCCCAGAATCAGCCCCACCGTGTCACCTCTAGGTTTACCTGCCCTACCAGCCAAGCAGCCCCTCCTGCTTAAAAATCTGGGTCCCAGTCTCACAGAGACCTTCCTCCAAGCTTCTAAGCTTTGATAATTCCGCTTCTTTCTGTTCTCCACACTCTATACCTTCATGTTTACTTTTCGTCTTTTCAGTTCTATAATACCTGGTTAATAATTCTTTATGTTAAATTCACTTGTTAAAATAACTGCAGTGCCGTCTGCAGGTCCAGCTCCTGACTGGACCCTGACTGCCAGGCCATCTGGATCACAGGTCAAATTCTTCCATTTTCATTTCCGCCCTCAGTCTACTTGCCATTTTAATAAGCACCAAGGAGCAAGGTGTCTTTTGACTTCTCTTGGTTTAGTCTCCAGTTGGCAAAGGAGTAAAACAACGTGGTTTCGGGGGTGAGGAATTGAACGCTCATCCCCGAGGGGAGCGATTCTGTGGCTGTCTCTGCCTTCACCAGGGTTTCAAATATGAGAATTCTCTCAATCCAGAGGGCAGTTTTAAGGGGCTATTCTGAACCTGGTTAGAATTAAATCTCAGACTCACCAGGGCATTATCATGCTACCTCTTCAATAGTTCCAGTAGTCTGGACTGAGGTTGGACTAAATAACAAAAATGATAACTAATTATTTCCGATTCTGCCTGGCCTCCTCGGTTACTCCCTCACCCCATCCCACCATGTGCTGTCCTGCCTCTTTGAATTAGCTTTCATAAAGCACTGGGGATTTTTTTTTTTTTTTTGAGACAAGTTCTTACTCCCATGCCCAGGCTGGAGTGCAGTGTTGCCAACATGGCTCACTGTAACCTTGACTTCCCAGGTTCAGGTGAACCTCCCACCTCAGCCTCCCAAGGAGCTTGGGCTACAGGTGTGCACCACCATGCCTGGCTAATTTTTTTTTTTTTTGAAAGATGGGGTTTCACCACATTGCACAGGATGGTCTCAAACTCCTGGGCTCAAGCGACTCAGCCTGACTCGGCCTCCCAAAGTGCTGGGATTACAAGCACAAGCCACCGTGCCTGGCCCACTGGGTATCTTTTCAAACTGCAATTCTGATCACTTTGTTCTCCTCCTTCAGACTTTAGGTTGTTTCTATTTACACTTAAGACAAAACTACAGATCTATGCCATATACAAAAGGCCCTGCCTGGTTGGCTCCTGGCCCTGCTACTGCCATGTCACCTGCCAGCCACTATTGCTCCCTTCCCCAGCCCCAGACATGCTGCTGACCTTCCAGCTCCTTAAACTACACCAGGTCCTCCACTCATGAAACCCATCAGCCTTGAATGTTCTGCTCCCAGGATTTACCCGCCCACTCCTACTCATTCTTCAGGTCTCAACTTAAAAGTCACTCCTCAGAGCAGCATTCACGACCCCCACCTTCTGGAAACAGTCCCTCTGTGACCCCCATAGCAACTTGTCTTTCCCTTTGATAACCTGTATTGCAATTTGCAATGATTTATTTATTTGTGTGGTTATTATTTGTGGAAGATATCTGTCTTCTTCAGGTGACTGTAAGCACCCCACCAGGACAGGGACCAGGTAAGTTCTGTTCTTCACTATATTCCCAATACTCAGTGTGGGCCCTGGTGTGTGTTCAGAGGCCTGGTAAGTATTGAGTGAATGAATGAATGAATGAAGGCATGCATGAGGCAGATGTAGACCCCCTAGAATAATCTACAAATGGCCCCTCTGCCCAGGACTTCCAGGTTTTAAGAACTGACCAAGATTCAATGTCACAACAGGGTATTCTGAGTGGAGACAGAAGTGGGCGTCAGGGCCTCGCTCTCCCCATGGACTCTACTCAGCCCCGTCCTCGAGGCTCTCGTCAGTTCAGTTGTTTCTGGTGTCGATTTCCCTGAGCAAGACGACGTCATGGTTCATGCCATGGCCTTGATGTGTCCTTCCCGATGTCGCTAGCAATCAGTTTGTTTCCTGATTACCTTTATCCACCATGAATAATTATTAATGTTATTATTAGACCTAAAATGTGACGAATAAACAGTCCTCTTAAAAGGCCTCTTACGTGGTGTATAAAGATCCTCAAGGTGCTGTTGACATTAGGTTGACAAGGCTTGGAGCTTTCCATGGACTGACTTTCAGGATTGGAGAGGGAGGAGGCTCTTTAAATGTATTTTCTAAGACCTTGTCTCTACAAGGTGAATAGTGATAAGTTCTGTCATCTAATTTTATATCAGTGCTCATCATGTGCTGATCAAGGGGTCAAGCAGTTTCCACATTAATACCTCATTTAATCTTTGTTATAACCCAGCTGCATGTACGTGATGATGTTCTTGGCATTTCATAGGTGAGGAAGCGAGCTGAATACAGCGAGATGACTTGCTCCAGGACTCTCAGAAAATAAGTGGCAGAGCCAGCCAGGGAAAGCATAGTCCAGAACCCCCCTCCCCAAAACAATTTTATGTGTTGAAGTTAAGAAAGAATTTTCTATTCCCTGAAACTATGGAAACCCATTACAACAAGATCCAGGCATGATTAGGAAGCCTCAGCAAGGTGCTGGCTATGGCTCTGTTAAGCACGTTTCGGAATGGGGGCTGTTGGAAGCATCAAGACCACACCTGCATCTCCAGTAGCAAAGACCTCCCCACTTTCCCACAGCGGGGAATTCCGCAGACAGGACCCTTACTTGGCCCAGTAGGCAAAGCAATCATTTTCATCTATTTTACTCCTCAGAAGTGGTTAAATTACATAACATTAAAAATGCAATTCTTCATTTAGAGCTCAGATTTTATGATCTATCCCTATAGGAGACCAGAAAACCTCAATTAAAAATAGGTCATTGCCTAGAAGGGGGGAAATGTGCAAAGCAAGTAATTATAAATTTATCCTAAAAGGTAAAATTTATTTATTTAAAAGAGCATGAATATCGATGATGGTACAATTAGTGAAATGCTCCAGGAGCTAATTTTAATATCAGGGAAGGTAGATTAGTTATTTTCAAATTGTGAGGATATTAGGGAAAAAGCGAGAGTAAGGAATCACAGGGCTCAACATGACGTTAAAGAAACCCCAGCCCAATGCACTTGTGTCCATTGGGCACACACCTATGCACTTTTTACCTATGCACTCCTTACCACAGAGCTCTGCTGCCACGAGATGATTCTAATGTTTATCAAGTAACAATGGGTTAAAAATGGCAGAACTGGGGGACTGTCTGGGATTCAATTTCACTTAGCTCATGGCCTGTGTTCAATTCCACTTTCCCTTAAAGGGGAAGGATCCTGGAATCGTTGTTCTTTTACGATGTGATGAAAGTGTCAAGCTAGGTTTTTGTACTGTTTTGTGAAGCATTTTTCTAGAAGCAACCATGTACTCCTCATCCTGAAAAATCCAGCAATTTGTTGAAGGCAGATATAAAACAGAGAAGTTGAAGCCAGAAGATCCAAAGAGGCCAAAGAAAAATAAATCATTTTTAGCCCAAATGTTACTGACAGCCTTAGTAGATAAAATGTATTCTATGAGCATTTTTATTTGCAAGAAAGCCACAAAGTATTTTATATATTTTAGTTAAAAAAGAAAGGTTGATCTAATATATTACATAAATAAAAGCCAATATTTTTAAACTTTCTACTTTCTGTACTTAAAAACAGTGGTCTCACCTACCATTATTCAGAGTGATTCTTGGGTACGGATAAACAAATTAAGTGGGTTTTGTTTATTTGTTTGCTTTTAGTGTATATTACAATGATCAGTAGTCTGAGTCCAAAACCAAATACATAAAAACTCCAAACTAGATATCCACTCTTCTCATTAGATTTTTTAGTGTGGAAAATAAATATGTTCTCATTTGAATCACATTTCATGTGATGCATTTTTTCCCTTCATTTTCAATTCTTTGTCAAAACTATGTATTACAGAGTCATTTAAAACAGACTTGAGCTGGGCAATGACCAAATAAATTCATTTTGAAGAGAGAAGATGTATTCTGCTGTGCATTTTGGAATTATACCTTTTAGTCATATTTTCCCTACATGCTGCATAACTAGTAACAAGCCACAAGATGGATTGTACTCTTGGGCATTTTTGAAGGGAAAAAAGTCAAGGACATTATTTGCTAGAAAAATGTATTTACATGAGGCAGAATCTATTTGTGTTGTTCCATGGAAACTTCTTTCTCACTAGAGTCTCTCCCCCAAAATCACTTTGCAGGAGCTGTGCCTTCCACCTTCTTCCCACCTTCCCCCATGCCTGGAATGAGCCACGGGGCCATGGTGGTGCTTAATAGCTCTCAGTGGCAACTCCATTAGTAAAGGACTGAAACACTGGATACAGGACCTCACACAAGAGGGTTTTCCGGTTCCATCTCTCCTGGATTAAGCTGCCTCAGACCTGAGTGCAGCAAGTGAATTCCAAGAGAGAGAAGGAAGCTTAATTTTCAGGCCCACTGAATCTCTGGCCTCTTTATAAGACCCACCAGCCCTCAGTAGAGCTTTCTGACAGGTTAGGAGAATTTTTTTGCACATATGGTGGCCTCCTGTCTAGTGGATCATGATAAGGTTTTGAGGGGGATTCTGGTCGTCTACACGGGCAGTGTTCTGTCACTGACAACTCGGGCTAGCTTTCAAGTAATTAAGATTTCAACAAATGCCAAACATAGGAAAAAGGGGAAAAATTCCAATTTTCAGGTATATGAATTTTAACAGGGTTGGTGTACAGGAACAAGGGGAGCAGTGAGGTGGATTAACCCCTAGAAGGTTGAAACTAGAAGGGCTTCAGAGAGTATCTACAGCTTCTGCCCCATTTTATGGGCAAGGAAATCCAGTTGCTGTGGGGAAGTAACTGGATGGTTATGTATCATACCTTAGCGTGTTGTTCTTTTGGACTGTATACCAGTCTTATTCAACACTGAATATAAAGGCTTGAACCTCCTACAAGTTATAGAGACTAGATGCGGCAAGGGGATCTGGAGGCATCGCAACAGCGATTGCAAGCTTAACTGCCGAACAAAATCTGGTGTATTAAGGAGTAAATTGAGCCAGGCATAAGGTGACTCTTCATCTCAATATTGGGGAGACAATAGGGAGTGGTGAGGATTTGGTAAGCTGGAGCGCTCATGTCCTATCCAAAGGGGACAGCTGCCACCCAGCGCCAGCCATCATTACTCTATAGGAGGGCAGGCCCAGGGTGGCAGTTCTTCCTGCTTTTCAAAAGAAGCCAGAAGGCATATATTTGTGTGAAATTATAGTTGACTCTTTTTTATATATATACCGAGTCTCACTACATCGCCCAGGCTGGAGTACAGTGGTGCAATCATGGCTCACTGCAACCTCCGCCTCCCAGCTCAAGCAATTCTCCTGCCTCAGCCTCCCAAGTAGCTACCACATCTGGCTAATTTTTGTATTTTTAGTAGAGATGGGGTTGCGTCATGTTGGCCAGGCTGGTCTCAAACTCCTGACCTCAAGAGATCCGCCTGCCTTGGCCTCCCAAAGTGTTGGGATTACAGGCGTGAGCCACTGCGCCCAGCCTATAATTGACTCTTAAAGAGCGTGAGTCCACTCATACTTGGATTTCCTTCTGCCGCTGCCACCCCTGAGACAGCGAGACCAACCCCTCCTCTTCCTCCTCTTCTTCAGCATATGCAACTTGAAGACCACAAGGATGAAGAGTTTTATGATGATCCACTTCCACTGAATGAATAGTAGATATATTTTCTCTTCCTTATGATTTTCTGAACATTTCTTTTCTCTAGCTTACTTTATTGTAAGAATACAGTATATAATACATATAATAACAAAATATGTGTTAACTGACTATGTTATTGATAAGGCTTCCAGTCAATAGTAAGCTATTAGTAGTTAAGCTTTTGGGGAGTCAAAAGTAATATGCAAAGTTTTGACTGCGTGAGTAGGGGTAGGATGCAGTGTCCCTAATCCCTCTGTTGTTCAAGGATCAATTGTGTTTTGAATTTAAAATGTGGTCCCTATCGTGAGGGTCAAACAAAACACCTCTGCAGGCTAAGTTAGCTTGTGAACTATAGTTGGAGACTTCTGGTTTAGAGAATGAACTGGACTTGCATTCCAGAAACCCTGTCTCCTCCAGGCCTGCCAGGCTGTGGACTGACCAACTCTTCAAGCACAGAGATCTTCATCTTAGCCCGCTGGCTACCATGAGTCGCATCTTGAGAGAGGAGTCATAGCCTCTTGACACTGAGAAGAAGCTTGCTCTGCTGTTCTTTCTTTAAGCCAAGGCTGTCCAAGCTATGCCACAGGCTCTAAGAAAGCCTCCCTATCATCTTGGCATGGCTTAGCCCAGAGAGGTTTCCATCCATTTGTGCTGTTGGACAGGGCAGAATTAGAGCCCCAGTCCTGGACACAGAGCAGGGGTGCAAGAGGAGCTATTGCTGGGTGACTACATGTTTTATGTGTCCCTGGTATCCTTATACTTTTGGATAAAAATGTTTGCATATTATGCTAAGAAAAAATGTAGAATGCTGCCCTGCTTCCAGGGAAAGAAGGAACATTTTAGTCCTTTTTTTAATGACTCTCAAATAATGAAATGCCATAGGGTTTCTTAAATTATAAAATATGTTTACACGTTGCACAGATTTACAATTATTTTTCTACCCTCCAGATAAAAACAAACAAAACGATAAATACTAAAATAGTCACATCCAGTTGTTATCAATGCATGAAACTCAACTTTTTACATTTTTGACTCTTCCCTTGTTTTCTTCTTTTCCCTGCGTGTTTTTTTCCCTCTTCAGCTACTTCATATTCTAGCAATTCCACCTTGAGAACTTGAACTGGTGCTCAATGGACCTTGCAATGGGACGTTTTCCTTATCCCTAACCCAAGAGCCTTCTTTAATGGGTTAAGCCTTTGTTTACTTTTTCAAAGAGACTGAAAATATGTTGAGAGCCCTGGGCTTTAATTCCACAGGTGCCGTCATCCACCACGTGTGAGACTAGGAGATTCCCTACCCTTTCTGGGATCCATTTTCTCTGTGTAAAATGGATCGGTAGAAATATGCTGCAGTGCAAGCTAATATGAAAATGTAGGCGGGGAGTACAACTGTGCAGGCAAAGAATTTGCTGCTGCAGCCTCAGTGGGAATAGTGTCTGGAGCATGTATTTGCTGATTATATGAATAAATTGGAAAAACAGTTCAATAGGTGCATATTGAACAGATCGTCTGGAAGCACATTTATATAGGAAAGGTAGAATATTACATTTAGGATTTTATCACCATAACTTTTAAACTAAATTACAGCCTAGTTCCTCTGGTTTATTCTCCAGGCCATTTTATCCTCTTCATGACTTTCTTATGGAGCCTGCTACAAATTATCTATATTTTCCCAATTTTTTTTCTAAAACAATTTTACTTCATCTTCAACTGAAACTTCAAATAGACAAGAATTGCACTTACATCCTACAATTTACAAGCAATTATTTTTTGTCTCAGTTACAAATATTTATTCATGTATAAAATGACTTATGTAATCATGATAAGTATTTTGTGTTTTTACCTATGAAGTCAATGTTTAGCAACAAAATGCCTTTTAAGCTTTCTTTTCTCTTTCAGAAATTTTAATGTCAGCAGAGTATCTCTCGCAGGTTATCTCTTTAGGGTTAATACACCATATCCAAAACAGTCTCCTGTTAGTGGATATTTAGATGTTTCTCATATTTTAACCCCTTGGACCTGACTATAAATGCCAAGAGGGCAAAATAATCTTACTTACCATGTGTAACTGTTAAGTTTCAATGCGAACCAAAAGCAAGTCAGGTGCGGTGGCTCACACCTGTAATCCCAGCACTTTGGGAGGCAGAGGTGGGTGGATCACTTGAGGTCAGGAGTTTGAGACCAGCCTGCTCAACATGGTGAAACCTTGTTTCTACTAAAAATATAAAAACTAGCCATGTGTGGTGGTAGGCTCCTGCAATCCCAGCTACTCAGGAGGCTGAGGCAGGAGAATCGCTTGAACCTGAGAGGCGAAGGTCACAGTGAGCCAAGGTCATGCCACTGCACTCCAGCCTGGGCAATAGAATGAGACTGTGTCTCAAAAAAATAAAAATAAAATAATAATAATAATAATTTAGAAAGCAACCCGAAAGCACTCTAGGTATTTTAAACAGAAAGGAGCTTAATACAGGAATTTGGTGCTCACAAAGTTGTCATAAAGGCTAAAGGCTAAAGACAGGGGAATCAGAAGACTATCAGGAACTACTGTTGTTCAAGAAGAGAACACTCCATGAAGCTGGGTTAGAAAGCTGCTGCTGCCACTGCTACCCCACCTCTTAAGACCTGCGACCCTATAGCCTGGCCTAACAATGGAATGGCCCAAAAGTGGAACTAAGAATGGCCTCCACCCACCTTCTGCTTTCCAAGTTTCACATGTGTGCATCTAACTTTTGGGACCTAATTTGCACCAAGATTCCTAGCTGCTGGGGACTTTTAAAAATGTTCGTTCTTACTTTTCCAGCCTCTGTAGTAAAGAAAGGCACACTGGAAGGAGGTAGGCATGGATGCTGAAAGTCCACTCACTGCATCCATCAACGATTCTATCTCTGGCACCAAGAACAGTGCTTGGCATATGTAACATGAGTATATTAGCAGCTAGGTCTCTGCTGGGAAGGTGCATAGAGTCTATCTAGGAAATGGGTGCGAAACAATCTAAATGCCATAAGACCAACAAAACAATTTCTTGAGCAGTACAGCAGACGTGACAATTATTTGATTAGGAAGACAGAAACGCATTTTGTTGAGGGCTACTATTAATCATTTATAACACCAAAACATAATTAGAGGTGAATGCAGACAAATTTTTGGCTTATCTGTCTGCCTGCCTTATGTGGCATTAAGGCAGAAAGCTATCAAAAGGCCAACCATTTGTTGATGGATTTTTGTTATCCCTGTTGTCCCAACTAATGTTTTTGGAAGATAACCTTACATACCAACTTCCTCTAATAGGACTCAGTCCCAATTATGTGTACAATTTATATAGCTTGGGATCATCAAAACATTGTGTAGAATTTAGTGCTGCTGTTACACACACTGGACTCTCAAAGACCAAGATAAGACCACTAGATAATCTCCTGTCAGAAAAGTTTTTTTCTCTCTCTTTGTTACATGGGCACTGTGTTACATGGGCACAAGGTGAAGGAGAGGAGAGTACTGAATATGGAGGAAGCTGGAGGAAATGTTTTAACAGCCTAGTTTATGGAACCTTTGTGAACACTTACCTAACGTTGGCCTTGGGCAGGACTTGACTGAGCCGCGTGATTGGTAAATTGTAACATTCTTCATGAAATGGTCCTATGTGTTACTCTAGCTGTTCGTCAACACAGGAAGGACTATTTGACACATGGTGGGATTTTAGCAGCTGGAAAAAGATGAGCAAGTATCAAGGCAAGAAAGTTCATGGTCTATTCATGAATGGTGCTAAGTTCACTGGGGTTTTAAAATAAAGATTGTTTGAGAAGGTGCTATAAATTGAATTGCATTTCCCCCTAAAAGTCCTAACCCTCAGTACCTCAGAATGCCACCTTATTTGGAAATAGGGTCATTACAGATGTAATTAGAATGATATCACACCTCAGGAGGGAGGACCCCTAATCCAATATGACTGGTGTCCATGTGAAATGGGGGATATTTAAACACAGACACACACACGGGGAGAACATCATGTCAACGTGAAGCTGGCCCCCTACAAGCCAAGGAGAGAGGCCTGGAACAGATCCTTCCCTCTGAAGGATCAACGCTACTGACCCTCTGATCTTGCACTCCTAGTATCTAGAACTGTGAGACAATGAATTACTATGATTTAAGGCATCAAGTTTGTGGCAGCCTTGGCAAAAAAATACAGGAGGGGTGTAATAGGATAGGTGGTTGAGAAAGGCAATCTGGGGCCATATCAAGAAATTTGGATATTTTGTATAGAAATGACATGTAGAGAGGAGAAAAGACAAGACTGGTAGCTTCGGGGTAGAAAAGAGAAGGGTAGGCCTTGTGTTCCAGGAAGATGGCAGGGGGAGACCCGATTGGCATGGGCAGGATGGAAGGCTGGGAGCCCTGTGGGCTTTCCTGTGGTCCAGGCAGGAGATGCAAGACCTGGGCAGAGGAGGGTCAGTGGGACAGGAGACTTGGTTGCTGATGAACTTGAGTGTGCTGGCGGGGAGGTGGTGAACCAGGCTCAGAGGTCCCAGCCTGGCCAGAGCAAGGAGGAGAGGTTGTTGGGGCTTCATTTGGAATTCAGAATTTTGTGAAAAAGAAAAAAAAAAACTCTCCATATGGGAAGTTCTCAGATGGTTGTAAGTTTGGAACAGACCCTCAAGGCAACGCTGGAGGTGTCTGTTCCAGAGTTGGCAGCTTTGGGGTGAAGCTGAAGCTGCCACTGTGGACAAAAGCACCAAGTGGGAAATGCAGTGAGGGAGGAGAGTGCAGAGTCTGCGTTTAAACAGGTCCCTCGGGAGAGATGCTCAGAAGTGATATGAGTGGGCCCATCCCATGCATACTTTTATGCTCTTACCACGTGTTGCCAAATGGCTTTCCCAAAGGACGGTACCAATTTACAATGCCACAAACTAGCACTGGACAAGTAGATCTTTTCCCATTGGATTTTAAAATCAGTTTGTGGTCGCTACTTCAAGCCATCCTGATTTGCTGGGATAAAACTTG
Source organism: Homo sapiens (assembly GCF_000001405.40). Lineage (NCBI taxonomy): Eukaryota > Metazoa > Chordata > Mammalia > Primates > Hominidae > Homo > Homo sapiens. The sequence continues at coordinate 127,683,991 of NC_000010.11, read as the reverse complement.
CTTCATCGAGATAAATAAGTCTTTGAATACATGACTTAATTTCCTTTACCAGGACGGTGCTGTGGCTCGGTTTTCGTTGTTGCTGTTGTTGTTTTTGTGTACACCGTCAGCATCACCATCACTATCACCAACGACACCACTGTCATGTTCGCTGGAGAGCTGGGGCTCACCCAGTGTTCTGTGGCAGGTTGCCGGGGAAGCTGTCAGCCCATGGGAGTGGTGAAAGTTTCTGTATCTGTTCCCTATCCTTCCCAGCCTCTGGTTTATTCAGGGACCCTCTGTGATAAGGAACCTGGAGCCAGGCTGGTTGCACAAGAAACTGGAGTGAGGTTGGCTGGGGCTTCAAAAAAAAAGGGAGCAGAAGCTGAGGCAGCCAAGGAAAAGAAGTCCAGGCAGTAAGGACCCTGAGGTAATGATAATGCCCAGAGCACAGCTTCCCTGACACCACACTTCTGTTCCACTAGAGTGCCCCTCGCAGACAACCAAGCATGAAAGGATAATTCCATGGTTTCGCACTCTCTTAGAATATTACCTGTGATTACCAGCCTAAAGCACTATCCATCAGGTCGGTGGTCCTGGATTGTTTTCCTAAGAATACAGCACACAGCCCAAGCATGGTCCAGAGGCCCTGTTACAGGTGCACTTGGAGGAAGAGGCTGAGGCTTGAGTGGGAAGGGACAGCACAGCCCAGCCTCACCGAGGGAGGCGTTCTGAGAATGATGGGACTGGCATGCTGCTTGTTCTCTGATGCTGTGCCTCCTTCACAGCAGTTGTAGACCTAATTCATTGCCAGGCACAGACAAATGCCCCCACCGTCGTAAACACTGCCTAATGCACTCACCTCTACCAGGACAGCAATTATGTCCACAGAGAACAATTTGTAGGGTGAAATTTTTCACTTGCTGTGAGGTTTCTATTAGTCTTCACCAAGTGCAGTTATTATGATGTAAATGCTATGTTTTAATTAGTTTCTGTGTATCTGTTTACCCAATTAGCAGCATTTTTCCAGGAGCATGACTGGTGGAGTTCAGCTAATGATGTGCATATGCGCACGTGGAGCGAGGAAGAGGATTGACAGTCACACCCATGTGGCCAATAAAACATTTGACAAGCAATCTTCTGTTTTCAATAACATGAAACATTTTAAGGGAAGAGAAACAGGGAGGAAAATAGATCTATTTTTATAGAGCAGGAGATGCAAAGAAACACCATATGAGAAGGCCAAGTATGTGTTCAATAAAATTATCATTATAGGTGATTTCAATTATTCCAAACTAATTGGCAATCTCTAAGGAATTCTGCACCACAGCCTCCCTAAGAAAGAGACACACAGAGAGCATGACTATCTTCTGATTCAGAAACTCCTCAGAGCAAAATTCCATATTTCTCTCTGCCAACCAAGATGGTGCCTGCAAATTAGAATTAGCCAAGACACCAAGGTCAAATAGGGCTGCAGATTTATTACAAAGATGACAGGAGATGTAATTTAAAACCAGTATTCCTCTCTGCTGCTGAGAAAGTGGCTTCCATTGAATGGTGCTTGCTGGCTGACTTTAGATTTGGTGGAAGCCTTCCAATCGCCTCCAAAGGTACCCAGGCACTTCCTGGAACCTCGCCTCCTTAAGTAAGGCCATCTTTTGAGTAATACATCATTGGCGTGTCCTGTGCAGATTATTACACTAATATATCATTAGAGCAACAACTTGCTCTGGTGATGGATGGCTAATAGAGTCTGAGAGGTGCCATTCTGTCCATGATGGACTGCTCCCTTATTCTGATATATACTCACCGTACTGCCCATGGGTCTTTTGTGAAGGGGAAGGGACAGGCTGCTGAGTGGGTTTTGTTTACAGAAGCACAAATGAAGCTCTTTCCAGTGGAGGTTCCTTGTAGATCATCCCAGATGAAATCATATAAATCCTGCACCCAGCAAGAGTCTGAAAAGCCAGGATCTTGGGTAAGCAATATTGAATGTTTGAAAGACAGTCACCTCTGTAGGAGATAGATGCCTCGGCTATTGGAGCAACAATGGATTCTCTTTGATTTTCAGTGAATGTGTTACTCTTGGTATCCCATATACCCATATACCCATTTTCAAATAGAGTTCTAGTAGCCCTATTTTCTAACAGATGAGCACTACTCTTAGGTAAGCAGGACATTCTGCAAAGTCCAACGCCATCAGTCATAAGCAGGGCTTGAATTTCTGCCTTGCTTAGCTGTAGATTACAGGCACATCCTGGGGTTTAGAAAGAGGGGTGCCATATTCATTTGTGGGTGCCATTTATACCACATCAAGTCTCTTGCTTTCAATAATCATCCAGCATGCCATTTAATAAATCAACCAATGTTTCCCCAAATCCATGCAATTCTTTTAAAAGGGGCTGGTAGTGCAAGGTCAAACTTGGGGCATCTTTCTCCCCACTTTGGATGTCGCTCTATAGCTGTAGTTTAAGAGTATTTCAAGGGGTATTTTAATATATTGGCCTGCACATTTTGAATCACCTCTAAAATGCTTAAGAGCAACAGTAGCCTCCTGGTATAGAGTGTTTTAAATTCTAAAAGGACAGTCACATCATTATGCAATGTGGATGGCTCTCCTGCACATCCACCTATCACATAGATCGGGTCAGTATTACAACCTCCGTTACAGGGAAGGAGCTGACGCCACGCCCCTTTGGGCAAAGCCAGCACTGGACATACGCCTCCATGGCACCAAGCCCCGCCTCTGCCCATTGTACCACCTGCCTGCCCCTTTCACCAATGAATCATTTCAGTATCCCTGAAACCTTTAACAATCCTTCAAAGCAAAATCCCTGGGAGAATCAGCCACAGCTTTGTGAAATAAAATAATGTGTAGGGCACGTGCTGGAGTTAGTGGAGTTATTTTAGCTGAAGTTAAAATGTCTAAAGCGAAGTAACCAGGGACCTCAAAGCACCTGAAGGAACTCAAAGCTGCTGAAACCACAATTGGAGTGAGATACATGCGGATTTAAAATCCCTATTGTATCCAGCTAAAAATATATTCTTTTTTCACTTAGAAATATTCTTGAAACTTGACAGGCTGACATCATCCTGCTCTGCCCCTTATGGATAAATAATGCCCAAGTCTTGGACACCACAGGCTCTGCTTCTGTTTAATTAAGGTGTGTTAAGGGTTGACTGATCCTTCCTCCAGCTGGCTTCCCTGGATCAGATCCTGCCTGGGGCCATTCTCCCCTGCTAAGCATCACCGACCAGGTATAGCTCATGGTACTCCAGGCTTACCACTAAACTGTCCTAGTTACCCACGGGAAGTGAGGGCCCTTCCACCCTCATACATGACTGTTCAGTGTCACTCCAGCTACCATCTGGTCCTCACCTAACTGGAAGAAAGCAGACTCACTGGGCTCAGCATCCATGTTTCTCTCCTTTCTCTCCTGGCCTCAGGCACAGTGGTTGCTTATGTAGAGGAGGCAAAAATAATTGTTCCTTTACCCTTCATAGTTCTTAGCTGGGACCCCCATAACAATACCAGATTAATAAGAGAAAAACAAGGAGACATTTATTAGTGTGTATACCTCATGTATGCATGGCAGATACCCAAGGAATAAACAGTAAATCTCAAAGAGGTAGCCTAGATCTCTGGCTTATACAGCATCTTCAACTAAAACAAAAAAAGAAGGGTGTAAGGGAGGCAAGTGATGGGAAACTCAAGGTAGATAAATACCACTTAGTAAACTTTGTTACTGAGAGTCCTTGGATGCTGCCCTCAGACTGATAAGGGTGTCAGGTTTCTGGTGAGTGATCAGTCTTTGTCCTTCTATGATAAGAGGGGAGAAGGGAAATCTTTAAAGTTATGTCCCACCTTTAAGCAAATAGTGGGGAGGACAAACAGCTTTTTTTGTGTCTGCTTCACAGGTGCCTGCAGCTCAAAGCAATCCTGCCAAAGTGGCGTATTCTGGGGGGTCATATTCTGCTGCCTTCACTTAATCTAGGAGGAGCCAGTGTCAGTGCCCACAAAGGCAAGCCCACTGTCCTGGAATGATTGTGGAATCACAGTGGGTTCAGGCAGTCATTTACATTTATCCAACAATTCAACTTCAATCCTTGGAACAAAGTTAATTTTACACCTTTTTTTTCTGAGACAGGGTGTCCCTCTGTTGGCCAGCGGTGAAATCACACCTCACTTCAGCCTCAAACTCCTGGGCTCAAGTGATACTCCTGCCTCAGCCTCCTGAGTAGCTGGAACTACAGATGCGTGCCACTATGCTCAGCTAATTTTTTTAAACTTTTTTTTTTCTTTTTTACAAATGGAGTCTCACTATGTTGCCCAGGCTGGTTTTGAACTCCTGGGCTCAAAAGATCCTCCTGACTAGGCCCACCCAAAGTGCTGGGATTACAGGTGTAAGCCATGGCATCTGGCCTAATTTTACACTCTTTAAAAAGTATTACAAATACATAGTCGAAAATTACAGTGTAATAATGAACTTTTAAAAACGCAGCAATGTCCCCATCTCCTCCCAGAGGTGAGCTCTTAGAACCGGTTCTGTTTTAGTTATTTCTAAGGTTACCGTCATAGCCCTCGGTAATATGCATATACCTTCATTTCTTGGCATATCAACGTTAAATATCTTCTCCACTGTTAGGTTTTTAGTCCGAAATTCTTTTGTCATTTATAACGATTACAACAGAGATCAAAATATGCACCATTCACTTATTACAATCCACCCTTGATATGGCTTAGTTGTGTCCCTACCCAAACTTCATCTTGAATTGAACTCCCATAATTCCCCGGTGTTGTGGAAGGGACCTGGTGGGAGATAATGTGAATCATGGGGGAGGTTCCCCCATACTGTTCTCGTGATAGTGAGTAAGTCTCACAAGATCTGATAGTTTTATCAGGGGGCTCCGCTTTTGCATCTTCCTTATTTTCTCTTGCCACTGCCATGTGAGAAAGCCTTTCGCCTCCCACCGTGATTCTGAGGCCTCCCCAGCAATGTGGAACTGTAAGTCCAATTAAGAGGGCTTCTTCCCAGCCCTGGGTATGTCTTCATCAGCAGCGTGAACGCGGACTAATACAACCTGTATTTGGTACTTTAAACACTTTCTGGATACTGCAGGGACTGTACTGCTCCATCTCTCCCGTCCCATCCCTTGTGCGTTTGTCATCGATTTTTCTTCTGCATATGCTCTAAATGCCAGGAGACATTGTTTTGAATGTTGCCTTAAACAGGCCATATTAATTTATATTTACTCACATGTTCCTTTCTGAAGCTCTCCCTCCTTTCCTGCAGTTCTTCGCTTCCATCCAATGTGACTTTCCTTCAGCCTGGAGAAATTCCTTTGGTATGTTTTTAGTATGGTTCTGTTGGTAATAAAATTCCCTCCGTTTTTATTTGTCTGAAAATGTCCATACTTTGCCCTCATTTTTTCTTTAATCCTTAAAGCTTCTCTTTTGATTTTTTTTTAAATTGAGTATTTCTTAGGTATAGTTATGTGCACAAATCTTAAGTGTATAGCTCGATACATTTCTAATATGTCACCAAGATCCAGAATAAAACATAGAACGTTTGTAGTGCCCCAAAACGCTCCCTCAAGCCTCTTACAGTTGCTAGTCCTTCAAAGGAAACTACCATTCGATTATCACCCTAGGCTACTTTTGTCTGGTTTTGAACTTCATAGAAAAGGAATCCAGAATATGTAGTCTTTTCTGTCTGGCGTCTCTCCCTCCACGTTATGTCTGTGGCATCCGTCCATGCTGTGGCCTGAAGCCATGAGCCATTCCTTTTTATGGCTGTGCAGTATTCCGTAGAGTAGCTTCTATGCCACAATCTATGTATCTATTTTACTCCGGATGGGCACTTGGGTTCTTTCCAGTTTTAACTATTATGAATAATGTGGCTATAAACATATTCATACATGTCGTTTGTTGAACATCTGCACTAATTTCTCCAGCAGTGAGATTGCTGGGTTACAGGGTTGACGTATCTTTAGCTTTGGTGAATACTGCCAAAGAATTTATTTATTTATTTATTATTTATTATTTTTTGAGACGGAGTCTTGCTCTGTTGCCCAGGCTGGAGTGCAGTGTTTTATTATAATTCAATAAGACTAGAAATAATAACAGAACTTAAAAAGACCTTACCACCTGGAAAGTAAGAAGCCTTCTCTTAAATGATTCCTGAATAAAACTGTAAATACAGAAATTACAAAATTTTTGAAAAATAATGTTAATGAAAACGCTGCATATCTGTTTGTATGAAACACATTTAAAATAGTTATTAAAGGGAAATGTACAGACTTAACTACTTACATTTTAAAATAAAAGGATAAAAATAATTAAATTTCTAACCCAAAAAAACTAAAAAATGAGAATAAGGCAATCCATAGAAAGAATATGGAAGAAAACAATAGGATAAAAGTAGAAATTGATGAGATAGAAAAGAAAAATATATATATCTAATTAATAAATCAAAATACTGTTTTTTATTAACAAAACCTTCTGCCACATGAGGAAGCAGCAACAGGGCACCATCTTGGAAGCTGAGAAAAGCCCTCACCAGACACCAATGCCAGTGCCTTAACTGGGACTCCCCAGTTTCCAGAACTGTGAGGAATTTCTATCCTTTGTAAATAACCAGTCTCAGGTATTTTGTTACAACAACACAGACTAAGACAATGGCTATCCAGTTGACATAACATTGTTTATTGAAAAGACTCCTTTTCTCCTGCTGAATTGCTGGGGGACCTTCGTAGTAATGGATTTAAATGTACATGCATGTGGATCTGTTTCTGGACTCTGTTCCATTTCATTCCACTGTCTGTCTGTCCTTGCACCAATATTACTCTGGTATAGCTTTGTTAGGTTTTAAATCTATACTATGCTGTCCTTTTCTTACATTGTCTACTTGTTAGGTTTTGAATCTATACTATGTTAAAAGAGTTTGTGTAAAATTAATACTTTTTCCTTCATAAGTGTTTGGAAGAATTCAACAGTAAATCCATCTAGACCAAGTGTTTTCTTTGTGGAAAGTTTTAAATTATAAATCCAATTCCTTTATTAAATATAAGGCTGTTTGAATTTTATACTTCTTCTTTTGTCAGTTTTGATAAGTCTTATTTTTCAAGAAATTTGTGTATATGTTCAAAGTTGTCAAATTTGTTGGCATAAATTTATTTATAACATTATCTTATCTTTTAAAGACCTATAGTAACCCTAGTGACTATTTTATTTTTTATTTTTATTTTTTATTCTTAACTCTTTTTTTGAGGCAGGCTCTTACTCTGTCACCCAGGCTGGAGTGCAATAGTGTAATCTTGGCTCACTGCAGCCTCTGCCTCCTGGGCTCAAGCCATCCTCCCATCTCAGCTTACTGAGTAGCTGGAACTACAGGCACGTGCCACCACACCCAGCTAATTTTTGTATTTTTTGTAGAGATGGGGTTTTGGCATGTTGCCCAGGCTAGTCTCGAACTCCTGGGCTCAAGCAATCTGCCTGCCTCAGCCTCCAAAGTGCTGGGATTACAGGCGTGAGCCACTATGCCTGGCCAACATTTTTTTAATTCCTGGTATTGAAAACAGGTCTTTCTTTTTTCACCCTGACCAAACTTTCTAGAGGTTTATAAATTTTATTAATTTTTTTCAAAGAATCAACTTTTAGCTTTGTTGATGCTCTCTTTTATGTATTTGATTTCAATTTTATTGATAAAAAACTTTATTATTTCTTCTCCTCTAATTTATGTGGGCTTAATTTGCTGTACATTTTCTAGCTTCTTGAAAGCAAAGTTTATATTCTTGATTTTTAGTCTTTTTTTCTTTTTTATCATGTGCATTTAGAGGTAGAATTTTTTTCATGCAACAGTTTGAAGTATATTGTACAAATTTTGATATGTTGTCATTTCATTATAATTTAGATCAAAATATTTTCTAATTTCCATTGCAACTTCCTCTTCAACAATGGCTAATGTGGAAGTGGGGTTGCTTAATTTCCATCTCTCTAGAGATTTTCATAGGTATATTTCATTATCAGTTTTTATTTTAATAATTCTGCTGTGGTCATAGAACACACTTTGTATGATTTCAATCTATTGAAATTTATGCAGACCTGCCTTCTTTCCCAACATATGCTTCATTTTGGTAAACATTCTCTGTGCACATGAAAATGATGCCTATTTTGTAGTTGTATTCTATACACATCAATTAGGTCAAGCTGTTTAGTTAAGTTATTCAAATATTCTATATCTTTATTGGTTCGTTTGCTTTTACCTGCTGAGGGGGGAGGTATGCTAAAGTCTTTACCTACAATTGTTTATGTGCCTAATGCTCTTCTTTAGTTCTGTTACATTTTGCTTTATCTCTTTTGAAGATGTCTTATTTGGTGCATACAAATGTAAGATTTTTGTAACATCCTGTTAAATTGGTAATTTTATCATAGACGATGTCCCTTTTTATTTCCAGAAATATTTTTTGCCTTAAAATTTTACTTTGCCTGATATTAGTATAGCGACATTAGATCTCCTTAAGATAATATTTTCATGGCGTATCATTATTTATAATTTAACTTTCGAACTTTTTGTGTCTTTACATTTAAAGTGTGTCTCTTATAAAAATACATTATTTGCTTTTTAAATTAAAAATCCAGTCTGATTGTTTTTGTCCTTTAATTTAAAATTTTAGCTGATTCATATGTAATGTAATCATTAATATAGTTGGGCTTAAATGGACCGTGATGCTTGCTTACTCTGTATTTTTTTTTTTGTTCTTTAGTACTTTGTTCCTCTTTTCTTTGCTTCTTTTAGATTAATTAAATATTTTTTACTATTCCATTGCCTCCTCTTTTGGTTTATTAGTTATATGTATATATGTATATACATATATATATTAGTTTTACATATATATTAGTTATATATATATTAGTTATATATATATGTGGTTACCCTAGAAAATACAAGAAGCGTCTTTGACCTATTTACATCATCTCTTAAATTAGTGCTTTTACTACATCCCTAACAATGAAAAGCCTTATAAAAATTTAACTCTTTTTTTTTCTCATTTTTTGTGAAACTTTTATAATACATTTTACTTCTACATAAGTTTTAAACCCTGCAGACATTACTATTGTTGTTGTTTTGAAGAAACACCTTTTAAACTTTGTGATAATGTTTATATCTTCTAGCACATCCGTGCTTTCCTGTTAAATCATTTTTCTTCAGCTGAAGGCTTTATTATATTTCTTAAGGGTAGTTCTGGTAATTGCTCTCAGCTTTTACTTGTGTGAAAACACTTTTACTTGGTCTTTATTTTTAAAAATCAATTTTTATTCAAATGTCATGTATATACCACAAAATAAACAGATTTTTTAGTATAGAGGCTGATAAACATATATACCCATTTAAATATCACACCAAAGAAGATATAAAATATCTTCAATACTCTAGAAAGTTCTCTCCTGCCATTTTGCTCACCTCTAGGCAAGGAATGATCTGAATTCTCTCACAATCTTTTAATTTTGCCTCTTCTAGAACTTTATGTGCCTGTATTTGCCTGGCTTCTTTCACCCACACTATTGCATTTATCAGTAATATGTTCCTTTTTTGCTGAATCATATTCCATTGTATAAATAAACACAACTTGTTTAACCATTGGATGTTTGGGTTATTTTTAACTTTTGCTCTTATGAATAAAGCTCCTCTGAATATTTTTGTACAGGTCTTTTGTGGACATGCCTTAATTTCCCCTGAGTAGTTTGGAAAGTGTATGTTAACTTTTTAAGAAACAGCTGGACTGTTTTCCAAAGTGTTTGTACAATTTTACATGACCATGATCAGTTTATGAGAGTTCTAGTTGTTCCACATCCTCACTAAAAATGGTATTGTTAGTAATATTCATTTTAATCATTCTAGGGAATGTATAGTAAATCATACTGTAGTTTTCATTTGAATTTCCCTGGTGGGTAAAATAATGTTGAGCATCTTTTTATGTGCTTATTGACCCTTCATATATTTTCTTTTTTTCTTTTTTCTTTTTTTTTTTTTGAGACAGTGTCTCGCTTGTCGCCCAGGCTGGAGTGCAAAGGCGCAGTCTCAGTTCACTGCAACTTCCACCTCCTGGTTCAAGCGATTCTCCTGCCTCAGCCTCTCAAGTAGCTGGGATTACAGGCACCCACTACCACGCCTGGCTAATTTTTGTGTTTTTAATAGAGATGGGGTTTCACCACGTGGGCCAGGCTGGTCTCGAACTCCTGATCTCGTGATTCACATGTCTTGACCTCGCAAAGTGCTGGGATTACAGGCATGAGCCACAGCGCCCGGTTCACATATTTGCTGTGTGATATGTTGTTTTAAATATTTTGCCCATGTTAATGAAGTGGTTTTGTAATTACTGAATTATAAGAGTTCTTTTTATATTCTGGCTACAGAAACATTATCAGATATATGTTTCACAAATATTTGCTCTAATTCTGTGACTTTTCTTTTTATTTTCTGAAATGTGTGTGTGTGTGTGTGTGTGTGTGTGTGTGTGTGCGTGTAAATATATTTTTAGACAGTCTCACTCTATCACCCAGGCTGGAGTGCAGTGGCGCAATCTCGGCTCACTGCAACCTCCACCTCCCAGGTTTGAGTGATTCTCATGCCTCAGCCACCCAAGTAGCTGGGATTACAGGTGTGTGCCACCACACCTGGCTAATTTTTGTATTTTTAGTAGAGATGGGGTTTCACCATGTTGGCCAGGCTGGTCTCAAACTCCTGACCTCAGGTAGTCCGCACCCCTCGGCCTCTCAAAGTGCTGGGATTACAGGCGTAAGCCACCGAACCTGCCTGAATAATATATTTTAAAGAAAAGAATCTCAATTTTTGATGAAGTCCAGTTTATCAGGTTTTTGATAATTTGTGCATTTTCATCTATTTGACCCATGGTCATAATGAGATTCTATTCGGTGGTGTTCTTCTGCAGGTTTTACAGCTTCAACCCTTATGTTTAGGTCTATGGTAAAATTTGAGGTACTATTTGTGAATGAGGTAAGGGTAGGGGTTCATGTTTTTGCATATGGCTATCCCTTTGTTTCAGCACCATTTTTGAAAAAAATTATCCTTTTCTCATATTGAATTTCCTTGGAATTTTTATCAAAAAATCAACTGAACATGCCTTTGGGTCTGTTTCTGGATTCTTTATTTCATTGATCCATATGTCTATATTCATAGCAATTTCACTTTGTCATGAATATTGTAGCTTTACAGTAATGCTTGATAACAAGTTTTTCACTTTTGTTCTTTTTCAAAATTTTTTTAGTTATTCTAGGTTATCTGTATGTTGATTTAAAATGTAAAATCAGTTTGTCATGTGGAATTTTTTTCTATATACTGTTGGATTCAAATTGTTAATATCTTATCATTTTCCAATCTACATTGATGAGTTACATCGATCAATTGTTTTTCTTGTAAAGTCCTTGTCAGCTTTGAGTGTCAGAGTTATGCTAGCTCTGTAAACTGAATTAGGGTATTTTCCTCCCTCTTGTATTTTCTCATAGAATTTATGTAATATTAGCATTATATATAATTCTATATATAATATATATGCAACTTTTATTATATAAGCACTATAATATATATACATATATTTGTGACAGGATCTCAGTCTGTCACCCAGATTGGAGTACAGTGGCACTGTAATGGTTCACTGTATCCTTGATATCCTGGGCTCAAGCAGTATTCCCATCTCAGTCTCCCAAATTGTTGGGATTACAGGTGTGAGCCACCACACCTGGCCCCCTTAATACTTTATTAAGTGTTTAACATAATTCACCAATGAAGCCATTTTAGCCTGGAGTTTTCTTTGTAGAAAGATTTTTGGTTATAAATTCAATTTATTCGATGGACGTAGAACTATTTATGTATTAAAATATTTTTCTTGTTTCAATTTTGGTAATTTGTTTTCGAAGAATGTGCCCATTTCATCTAATTGTAAAATTTATTGCTATAAAATTGTTTGTAAAATAACCTTAATGTAGGTAATTATTTTTGTCTATAGTAATGGCCTCTTTTATATTTCTATATTTCACTTTTTTTTTCCTCTCTTTAAATGTCTTTAAAGGTTTGGTAATAGTCCCCTATGAAACCGTCTGATCTTGGTGTTTCTTTGTGAAATAGTTCCTTGTTAACTTTATATTGCTTCCACAAATATTAATCTGATTAAGTCTTTTTCTTTAATAGGATCAATTTTGGCAAACTGTGTTTTTCAAGTAAGTTAGGGATTTCATCTGGGTTTCCAGCTCATTTATTTAGAGTCTGATGAATATGTGAATTTAACTGTTTTCCAGTCCCAGTGGTTGCCTCCGTTAGTTATTTCTTATTTTATGAAGTCATTTCTCCTTTTTTGATTATATTAGCTAGTGGCTTTGCAGTTTGTTAATAAAAAACAGTATTTTGATTTATTAATTAGATTTTTTTTTCTTTTCTACCTCATCAATTTCTACTTTTATCCTTATTGTTTTCTTCCATATTCCTTCTATGGATTGCTTTAGTCTCATTTTTTAGTTTTTTGGGGTTAGAAATTTAATTATTTTCATCCTTTTATTTTAAAATATAAGTATTTAAGTCTGTACGTTTCCCTTTAATAACTATTTTAAATGTGTTTCATACAAACAGATATGCACTGTTTTCATTAACATTATTTTTCAAAAATTTTGTAATTTCTGTATTTACAGTTTTACTCGGGAATTATTTAAGAGAAGGCTTCTTACTTTCCAGGTGGTAAGGTCTTTTTAAGTTCCATTCTTATTTCTAGTCTTGTTGAATTATAATAAAACAGTATTGCTTGTAATATTACTATTTTTTAGAAAATTTACTTAATCTGTCTTTGTAAGTTAACATATGATTACTCTTTGTGAATTGCATCAGTGTGCTCAGGCTGCCATAACTAAATATCACAAACTGAGGGGCTTAAACACAATTCTGGAGGCTGGAAGTCCAAGATCATTGTGCCAGCATGGTGGGTTTCTGGTAAGGGCTCTCTTCCTGGCTTGTAGATGGCAGCCTTCTGCCTGCGTCCTCACATGGCTTTTCCGCTGTGCATGCACACTGAGTTGGTGTCTCTTCTTATAAGGACACTGATTGTATGCATCAGAGCTCCACCCTTATGGCCTTATTTCATGTAACTTTATTTCCATCATGGTCCTGTCTTCAAATACAGCCACACTGGGGGTTAGGGCTTCAACACATGAGTTGGAGTGTGGGAGAAGAAGGCACACACATTCAGTCCATAACACAAGTATCCCCTTGGCACTTGAGAAGTACCATACACCACCCCCTGCATCCTCAGGAGTTACGGTCCAAGACCCCCAATGGATGCTTGAAACCACAGATAGTACCGAATCCTGTATACGGTTTGCTGTATAGTATCAGAGGCAATCTGTCCTTCCATATTCCATGCCCTGGTGCCTCTTTTGCACTTTAAAAAATGTTATTTCTATTGGGCATCTTCTTCCAGTAGAGCTCACTTCAATGCTTTAGATGGTATCCTTTCTCCTTAATCAACTTCAGCTCTGCTGGAAGCGTGGCAGCAGCTTCTTCATTAGCAGATGCAGCCTCTCCAGTAATTTTTATATTTTTCAGTCCACACCTGAATCTGTGTAGTTATTCCTTACTTGCAATAAATGGCTTGGTGTCACTCTTTGCAAGGGATCTCTTGCTGAAGTCTTGATATAGGCTCAGTACTTTCTGGCGCAACACATGGTCATCATCAGTTGGAATTTTCATGTTTTCCACCCGCAAATGTAATGCCTTTTCCGTCTTAATTAACCTATCACACACTGCAACTTTTGTGATTTGAGGTGTGACAGCAAAACTGGGATAATTTTTTTCCTTACAATTTAACCAATAGAAGACTCATTCTTACTGGAGATCTTAGCAACTTCTGCATAGGATTTTTTTTTTTCTTTTCTTACTAAGTTGAGAACTTTCACCTTTTGCCTTAAAGGAAGCACATTATGGCTTCTCTTTGGCAAGTCTGAATTGCCATCATCACTACTTTTGCATTTGAGGCCAGTATTAAGGACAATAAGAGTTAGTTGAACACAAACACTACCATCCCATCACAGCCGATCTGATAGTCCAGATGGCTATGAAGTGACCAATGGGCAGGTGGCATAGACATCAAGGGTACGCTGGACAAAAGGATGATTCACGTCCCGGGTGGGATGCAGCGGGACAGCGTGAGATTTCGTCTCACTACCAAGAACAGCATTCAATTTTAAACTCACATATTGTTAATTTCTGGAATTTTCCATTTCATAAGTTCAGACCTCCATTGACCTTGGATAACTGAAATTGCAATGAATCCAAAGATGAGAGGGGCCTATCGAATCCTCTGTTTTATTGTATAAAATTTGATATAGCGAGAGAGAAAAAGAGAGGATACAGCTCACCATATTGTGTTTAAGTATTATACATCCTTACTAAATTTATTTTGTCCCCTTGATCTAACTTGCACTAAGAGTGATATTGTAAAGACTCCACTTATTGGTGTGTTTGTTTCTGTCCCCTAATACCGCCTGTAGGATACACTTTATAAAAGTGGAGATTCTGGATATTAGCCCTTTGTCAGATGGGCAGATTGCAAAAATTTTCTCTCATTCTGTAGGTTGCCTGTTCACTGTGATGGTAGTTTCTTTTGCTGTGCAGAAGCTCTTTAGTTTAATTAGGTCCCATTTGTCTATTTTGGCTTTTGTTGCCATTGCTTTTGGTGTTTTAGTCATGAAGAATCTACAAAGAACTTAAGTTTACAAGAAGAAAACAAACAGCCCCATCAAAAACTAGACAAAGGATATGAACAGACACTTCTTAAAAGAAGATATTTACGCAACCAACAGACACATGAAAAAATGCTCACCATCACTGGCCATCAGAGAAATGCAAATCAAAACCACAATGAGATACCATCTCACGCCAGTTAGAATGGCGATCATTAAAAAGTCAGGAAACGACAGATGCTGGAGAGGATGTGGAGAAATAGGAACGCTTTTACACTGTTGGTGGGAGTGTAAATTAGTTCAACCATTGTGGAAGACAGTGTGGCAATTCCTCAAGGATCTAGAACCAGAAATACCATTTGACCCAGCCATCCCATTACTGGGTATATACCCAAAGGATTATAAATCATGCTACCATAAAGACACATGCACACATATGTTTATTGCAGCACTATTCACAATAGCAAAGACTTGGAGCCAACCCAAATGTCCATCAATGATAGACTGGATTCAGAAAATGTGGCACATATACAGCATGGAATACTATGCAGCCATAAAAAAGAATGAGTTCATGTCCTTTGCGGGGACATGGATAAAGCTGGAAACCATCATTCTCAGCAAACTATCACAAGGGCAGAAAACCAAACACCTCATGTTCTCACTCATAGGTGGGAATTGAACAATGAGAACACTTGGACACAGGGCGGGAACATCACACCCCGGGGCCTGTCACGGGTGGGGGGCTGGGGGAGGGATAGCATTAGGAGAAATACCTAATGTAAATGACAAGTTGATGGGTGCAGGAAACCAACATGGGACATGTATACTTATGTAACAAACCTGCACGTTGTGCACATGTACCCTAGAACTTAAAGTACAATAATAAAAAAATAAATAAAAATAATAAAAATATATACACTCTAAAAACGTGGAAGTGCTTGCTCTACCTTTTTCATCCACAGGCATTCGTGTTTTTTGTCTTTATTATTAATTACGGTATTTTTTAACACTCAGAAGTATCCTTTGTCATATTTCACTTTCTTTTTAGCTTGAATTCTACTTTTTTCTAAGATCAGAAATACAAGCCCTGATTTCTTATTTCTTCCATTTGACTAGTATTCTTTTGACTGTCCCTTCATTTCAGCCTTCTTAAATAACAGGGTTCTACATGTGCTTTGAGAGGTATCCTTTATATACATTATAATGTTGGGTCTTTCTTTGTGAGAAAAGTATCTTTTGCTTTAACAGGTGGGTTAAATCCATTCACATTTACTAATATTACTGATATGTTCGGTCTCACCTTTGTCATACTCTGTTATAATTGCTATATGTATTATGTAATATTTGCTGTATTTTTGTCTCCACAGGATGTGTTTTAATTGCTTTTTTCTTTTGGTATTTAGAAGAGTCTCTTTTTGTTTGAATGCTTGCTTTAATGTACTTAGTTCCCTGGATTTTTACAATTTAACTTTGCTGTCTGGTTATTCTTTTTTAGTGGTATCCTTGACTCCCACTTAGTACCCACACAATTAAAAATGAGCTTGTTCTACTTTCTCTTGCCCTGTTCCTTGTGTCCTTATTTTTAACTGCATTATTTCTGTCTCCTCCTATCGTATAACATCTGGATATTACTTTTCCACCTAGTTTTAGTGTTACATCTATAATTAAATGCACACAGTCAATTCTTTTGCTGCTGTTTTCCCCAGCGTTCTCTGAGTTGTTGCATGTTTAAAATTTTTCCTGTGGCTTTGATATTTGAAGGACAGCATGACTGAAAAATCACAATTTGGGCTTATAATTTATTTCCTTAAGTTTCTTGACAATGCTATTCAATTTTGCTTCTCTTTGCCTATTACTATTTAGAAGCCTGTTGCTAGTTAAATTCTCTTGCCCTTGTAAGCAATTTGATATTTTTTTGAACAGCATTTGAATATTTTTCTTTATCTTTAAAATCTAACAATTTTATTTAAATAGGTAGGTATCAGAATTCATCATTTTGGGTCAATTATCCCAGGTAGCCTGGGAGCTCTTTCCTATACAACGTAGGGTCTTTTCTTTCCAGAAAGTTTAACTGGAATATAGTTTTAAATATTAGTTCTCTTTCAATATTTGGTTTCCAAATTCAGGGACCCCAATAGTATGTATGTTGGACTTCCTTTGCCTGTCTTCCATTTCAATCACTTTCCCTCTAAACATTTCTCTTCCTCCCCTTTTTTCTCTTTTTTAATCTCAATTTTTTTTCCTCTCAGCTTTCAAATTTTCTTTTCCTATATACTCCTTATTAAATTTTCATTCATATACGTTCTCTCTTAGGCACCATGAACCTGAGATATTATTTTTGATATGATGTTTGTCTTTTTTAATATTTATTTTCTAAGTTTAGCCAACCCTTGTTTTACATCTTCCTGTTTTAAATCTTAGAAAATTTATTTTTCATTATGTTTTTTACATCCCCCAATACTGGTTTAATGATACTTAATTTAGTTTAGAATTTTTTCTTACATTTTTTCCTCTGCTTTATGGCTATTCAGGGCAGAGAAGAGGAAACTTCCTATCAGGTGATATACTTTGATTTTTTGTTGTTGTTTGCTTCTTAGAGGAGCTTTAGAGATGAAGATTCCTTATGTTCCCATTATACATGTACATGGTTGGTGGCTTGGGATAATTTACAAGACCATTCTCTTCTTATGTGTAGTGCAGTTTTTTCAATGAATGGCTTCTTTTTGGGGAGAGGGTGTGCATACTTTGATTTTATTTTTATTTCATTTAGTCTTGCAGAGCCCTAAATTTTCTTTCTTGTTTATTTTTCCTTCCTCATCCAGTCTCCAAAGTCTCTTTATATTCTTTTTCCTTCAGAAACATTATTATTTTTTTCAAACTGCCCATAGAAGTCCCATGCCCACTTTTAGTGTGTTTCCTCTGGTCAGCACTCTTATCTACAAGGATTCTTTTTCAGTATTATCACACTTACAGTGAACTCTTTATTTCTGAGGGATTTATCTCACTTCACCTTGTTCAATCTTATGCAGCTTTTCCAGAACCTCTACCAGTTCTCTTAGCAAAGGTTTGTAGTAGAAATTCAAGAAATAATCTGCTGTTTATTTTTTGAATTTTGATGTTTATTTTTCATGTAATTAGAAGTATTCAGTATTCTCTATTTTTTTAATTTTGCAGAAAGCATAAGATTTATGTGATTTTATTTGCTCTTTTTGTAATTTGGTAATGTTTCTGGGGTATGTGTGGAGAGATTCTTATTTAGGTAGTCTCTATTACCTTGGCTACCGGGAAATGTCCTCAGTGAAATTTTAATTCCCATGTATTCCCTCTTTAGCTTTTGTTTGTTCATGCAAGACTGCTGCAGAAGGGGAAAAGTTTATATATATATACGTATATATATGTGTATATATATACGTAAATATATATGTATATATGTGTGTATATATATGTGTATATATGTATATATATGTGTATATATGTGTATATATATATAAAATAAGTGAAGATATATTTTTCAAAATTTGATTCTGTAACATAGTAAAAACATTTGATTGTAAGACACAAAACTTGTATAAACAAAAGTCATTTAACATATAACATAAATTCAATGTTTAATACAATTAAGATAGCAGAAAATATTGTGTATCTTTCTCTTGAAAAAAACTCATAATCAGATGCTTCATTCATATTTCTGTGTTTTGTGACATTTTAAATTCTAGACTGCATGTGAATTCTCTCTAAAGTAGTTAAACTAGGTCTCAATACAAGCTTTGTTAATATAATATTTATCATGCTGTCTAGAGAGAGGTAACAGCAGTGGAAACAAAAAGGAATAAATAGGATTAAACTATACAATCTGTAGGGTTTAACCTTGCTGATTTTTTTTTCAGTGTTACATGCTCATAAATAATTTCTTAACAGTGACTAGAATTTGGTTTATATAATATAATTACATTGCATAATGAGTCTTTCCCATTATGCAGTAATAAAGACAACTGGGAATGTACTTTGGAGAAAGTGCTGAAGTTTAATAAATATTTAAATTATGGATTCAACAAATACAAAATAAGTTTGAACCATATTGTTTATGTACTCAAGTAATTATTCTCCTATTTTCTTCTAATATCCCATTGTTACTATAAATTTTATGCCTTATTAATCTTCCTTGACATCTTCCTACAGTGTAACATTACTATTAAACACACACAAGTTTCCATGTACTCATAGACATTCACACACAAACAGGCACCTCATGGGAATCATTACAAGCATTGATAGTGAGTAGTAATAAAATTAATGTACAATAGAGATAACAGACAAGTTTCTAACCATATAATGGACTATTTTCTAGCTTTATTCTAAATACATGAATTAGGAAAATTAAACATGGAGGAAATCCTTGTACATATAAAATATATGAATAAAAGCTGAAGTGATAGGTTTTGCATGAATCTTTGAGTTTGGCAGTAATTCAGATTAAAATGATTTTGAACAACACCTGGCAGCCTGAAGGTTTCTGTGGCATTTCTTTCTAGCCACAGAGAAGTCTTGATTAAATGCATCTTCCCTATGGACCCCATAATTCCTTGTGAGATGTGTGATTAGTATAATGACACCCGAGGAAGGAGGTTAACCTTATTGACTGAAAGGCACTATCTATATGTGACATTTATTCTCTAACCATGAATAACCAAGTGTTGACTAAAGGATCAATTCACCTGATATTAAATCATACCTTTTCCTGAAATATTCAGAAAATGTATAGGCACAGGGAGGCAGAAAGGAAATGTTTAGCTGCACATCTTTTCGGTGATACTTTGGATTTTTTAAAGTGCCTTTATGTACACTTTCAAATGCTCTGCCTGGACTTATGTAAAATAGGCATTTTCATCCCCTATTTGATAGATGGGGAATCTGAAACTAAGTGACTTGCTAGGATCACTTGGCAGCCTAAGATAACTGGGCTTGGGGAATTCATCTTCTGTCCCCTCAACCAGCATTCTCTCAACTATCACCCTCAGCTTCATTGCTTGCAAATTGATGCAGCACTCTCTACTTAGCATGTATTTAGGAAGTTAGGACTAAAGTATTACAACAAAGGCATCTTTATTCACTTAGCTTCTAAATTGTTTATACTTCATAGAGATTGTGAAATGAAGAGCAGAAAACAGTGAGTGAAGGAATGGAAGTAATTATTGATCATCCAACTATGGAAGAGACATTTAATCCTCACGTAAACCCAGAATGTCAGATTGGAGTTACCCTCATTTTGTGATGGAGCTGCAATTTGGATGCTCCATTAAAGAACCAAAAGTCCTTGAAATTCTGAGCTTCTAAAACCATGCCCAGTGCATTTCCTTCCAAACTGCTTTCTGGACCAAATTTCACCTCTGCTCGTAAGTCTTGATCAGATCAATATGAACCCAATGCTCACACTTTCTGACACATTCATCTAAATCATTTTTATATTTTTCCACTATGGAAAATCTATCTTTAAAACAGGGGAAAAGTATATTTCCCAAGTCAAAATAGTGCACACCGAAAGTCATATTTTTTTGTCATGTGTAATAGACACTTATTATTTTCACCCAAGGAAGAGTCAGACTTGATTTCTGCAAAAGAAGGGTCAGTAATAAGAAGTTGATGAGTTTCAAATCTGTAGTCAGATTTCTTTAAGCAACGTCAGTGCTGAAAGATCTGGTCTGTGGTCTGAAACCCAGTGTACAGGAGAATGCTTGCATGCGCGCACACACACACACACACACTCATGAATACACACACATGCACTCACACAAGTGAATGAGGATAAAGAGACTCATGGCAAAAAAAAAAGACTCAGTGTTAAAGCATTTTTACACTGACTTACACTATAATGTAGGCTTTAATGTCAGTATTTCAGAGAAAATATTCAGGGAAGTAAAGATATTTATTGTTATTTCTTTTACACTATACCAGGAAATGTGCACTGGAAGTTAAGGCCCAATTTCTGGATTCATAGCTTACTCATAGGAATATGTTTTAGACAGATATTTTACACAGAGTATAACCCTTGATTTATCAGAATAGAATTTATGCATTTTTCAGAGACAGCAATTTGGTATTTGAAAATTCAGGGCCAAGTACGTTAGACAAGTCACATTATTGCTGGCTGTGTTATAATGGCAGCTATAATTAATATTTTTAAGTGGATCTCTCCAGAATGTTTTGGAGTAATATTTTGATCTAAGTTTACAAATATAAAAATCCTGTTTTCTCTACTGGTCTAAAAGCAAAGATAATTCAGGGGCAGAGACACATTTTCTTTGTGTATGCAGCATACTCATCTCACAAAAGATATATATGCTTCTTGATATCCATTAAGTTTACCTTTTTGGAATAGTAGGGCTTTCAATTTATACATAGGCCATAAAATAGCTTTGCCAGCATTCTATGTACTTAGGTTAAAACTGAATCACTAAAATTTTGGAGTTGTGGCTGAAATTCTTTTAATCAAGAAAATTGTCTGTGGAAAACCCTAATAAATGGTGCTGGGAAAACTGGCTAGCCGTATGTAGAAAGCTGAAACTGGATGCCTTCCTTACACCTTATACAAAAATTAATTCAAGATGGATTAAAGACTTACACGTTAGACCTAAAACCATAAAAACCCTAGAAGAAAACCTAGGCATTACCATTCAGGACATAGGCATGGGCAAGCACTTCATGTCTAAAACACCAAAAGCAATGGCAACAAAAGCCAAAATTGACAAATGGGATCTAATTAAACTAAAGAGCTTCTGCACAGCAAAAGAAACTACCATCAGAGTGAACAGGCAACCTACAAAATGGGAGAAAATTTTCGCAACCTACTCATCTGACGAAGGGCTGATATCCAGAATCTACAATGAACTCAAACAAATTTACAAGAAAAAAACAAACAACCCCATCAAGAAGTGGGCAAAGGACATGAACAGACACTTCTCAAAAGAAGACATTTATGCAGCCAAAAAAACACATGAAAAAATGCTCACCATCACTGGCCATCAGAGAAATGCAAATCAAAACCACAATGAGATACCATCTCACACCAGTTAGAATGGCAATCATTAAAAAGTCAGGAAACAACAGGTGCTGGAGAGGATGTGGAGAAATAGGAACACTTTTACACTGTTGGTGGGACTCTAAACTAGTTCAACCCTTGTGGAAGTCAGTGTGGCAATTCCTCAGGGATCTAGAACTAGAAATACCATTTGACCCAGCCATCCCATTACTGGGTATATACCCGAAGGATTATAAATCATGCTGCTATAAAGACACATGCACACATATGTTTATTGTGGCACTATTCACAATAGCAAAGACTTGGAACCAACCCAACAATGATAGACTGGATTAAGAAAATGTGGCGCATATACACCATGGAATACTATGCAGCCATAAAAAAGGATGAGTTCGTGTCCTTTGTAGGGACATGGATGAAATTGGAAATCATCATTCTCAGTAAACTATCGCAAGAACAAAAAACCAACCACCACATATTCTCACTCATAGGTGGGAAATGAACAATGAGAACACATGGACACAGGAAGGGGAACATCACACTCTGGGGACTGTTGTGGGGTTGGGGAAGGGGGAGGGATAGCTTTAGGAGATATATCTAATGCTAAATGACGAGTTAATGGGTGCAGCACACCAGCATGGCACATGTATACATATGTAACTAACCTGCACATTGTGCACATGTACCCTAAAACTTAACGTATAATAATAATAAAATAAAATAAAAAAATGTTAATAGGAAAAAATAAATAAATAAAAAATAAAAAAAGAAAAAGAAAAGAATTCATTTCCTGGAGGTTGGACTTTGGCATTCTTGTACATGTGATAAGCTGAAAATGATAGGAAAAAAGTAAGTGGGTAGAAATAGGCCCTTGTGTTATAGCAGGTTGGATAATTTAGACAGTTGATCTTGGTTTTTGTCTTCTACAACTTGATGAAAATTGTGTGTGTGTGCGTTTAATTTTGATGAAATATAATACTTAGATATTTTAAATCTTCCTTAAATGTAGGGTATAAATATGTCTTTTTAAAATCTCCTTTGAATACTATTAGAATTCTGTTAGAATATTTCTACCTTTAAAATTTTATGTTTGATATAACTCAATTTATATCACTGGTCTCTCTAAGTTAGAAACTTTCATTTCTCTGGGATCATTTTTCATCTTTCCTGAATTAATCTTCCAACTGCATTTAGAGACCTGGACTCTGGCATAAATTTTGTCTTCTCTAGTCTCAAAAACCTGCCTTTGGGTCTGAGTATGTTTTAAATCTCCCTCCCTCATTCCCCAGTCGGCCATCCCTAGGGCTTCATTATTATTTTAGCAATGTGAGTTCCACAGGCTGTGAACATTTGAGACTCTAAGCCAGTTGTCTCCAACTGATTTGGCTCATTTACCCACTCCCCCAAAAATTGAAAAACAACCTATCCTCTGAAATAGTTTTAATTCAACACCCAAATGCATTCATCGTATATATAAAAGATGCAAATAGGTATAACTTCCAGAAGATTATAAGTATTCACATTTTAAAATAAAATAATTTTATCATTCTTTTTAATGAACCTAATGGAATCTGATACCATAGTGATTTGATATCCACCATGATACATTTAAGAGGTGTATAAGCTATCTTTTAACATATAGAAATTTTATATTTTTATTTTTTTGTCTAAACTTGCATTATCATTCCACTTCTGCTTAGAATATTCTCTTAGTATGACTGAAAATCTGTTATTGATCAATCTATAATTCTTTTTTTGCAAAAAAAGCATGTATATTTAAATTTAAATTTTAAAAAATTTTATTATGACCGTAAGTCTTCATTAAAATATTGTGGCTAAAGCTACTATTAAAAGTATTATTAATATGAAATTGATCAACACAGCATATATACCTTTTTTATTTTTTTGAGACAGGGTCTCACTTTGTCACCCAGGCTGGACTGTAGTGACACAGACATGGCTCCTGGGCTCAAGCGTTCTCCCACCTCAGCCTCCTGTGTAGCTGGGACCACAGGTGTGTGCCACCATGCCCAGGTAGTTTTTTTTATTTTTTGTTCAGATGGGGGTCTTATCATGTTGCCCAGGCTGGTCTTGAACTCCTGGTCTCAAGCAATCCTCTGCCTCAGCCTCGAAAAGTGCTGGGATTACAGGTGTGAGCCACTGTGCCTGGCCCATATGTAACTTTTAAGTAATTATTAATTATTTACAAAATTTTATTGGAAATATAACTCTTACTAAAATGGATGGGGATTTTCCCATTTGGTTTATATATGCATGAGCAAAGTGTGGCAGAGTTAATCTTACACTTTCAAGTAGATGTAAGTGCTGAGAACACCTGTTAACATAAATACATAGATAAAAGGAGTTTTGTGATAGCAATTCTTTGAAATGCTCCTGGGTTATATGCCAAAAATTATGCCAATTTAAAAATTTTTTTAAATGAATGATCTCTCAGCTGACAGCTCTATTATTTTCTCCTTCAGTTCTGTTAAAAGCAAAGGTTTGGAGCCAGGCGCGGTGGCTCATGTCTGTAATCCCAGCACTTTGGGAGGCCAAGGTGGGTGGATCACTTGAGGTCAGGAGTTTGAGACCAGCCTGGCCAATATAGTGAAACCCCGTCTCTACTAAAAATACAAAAATTAGCCGGGCATGGTGGCATGCACCTGTAATCCCAGCTACTCAGGAGGCTGAGGCAGGAGAATTGCTTCAAGCCAGGAGGTGGAGGTTGCAGTGAGTGGAGATTTTACCACTGCACTCCAGCCTGGGAGGCAGAGCAAGACTGTCTCAAAAAAAAAAAAAAAAAAAAAGCAAAGATTTGGAAAACATCTGAATTGAAAAAGAAATTGGAACCCAATCACCCAATCATTAAAGTCATTCACTTTCTCAACAGCAATATGGACTTTTCCAGTCATTCCTCATGTGGGGCTGGCTTCACACCCCAGAGCAATATACCAAAGTAAGAGATGCGTCTTTTTTTTTCTGTTAGATAAAGAAGGGGAAAAGAAAGGAGAACCTCCATTTTCAAGACCTATTTTAGGAAAGGGTAAATGTGGGATTGACGTTTTCTTAAAACCATAATTGGTTGTATATTCCTTGAGAACCCCGGGGGTCTAATAACCCCGTCTGAAGATGGCCAAGCCAAGGGAAGGTGGGGATGCTCTGAGGTTCAAAAGCTTCAGCGTGTAAGCGAAAGGACTGGATTTGGGCCAGGAAGAGCTGGTTAGATAAGTCTGTGGCCAAGTCCCCTCTTCCCCTTATCTTGTATTCCTCATTAATATTCAGATTTGGTAAGTCTGGGAGGCAGCCCAGGAATCTGCAGTTGACAGCACCCCCGGGTGATTTAGATGCAGGGAGGTCACGGATAAGTCACCCTTTGAGGAACTCTGGAGCACGGGAAAACAGATGGACTTTGGAATCACCTGGTCCCAGCCCGGAATCTTCACTCTCTGTCTAGTAGCTGTGTGGATCTTAGGCCCACAGCTGGACCTCTCTAAGCCTCATTGTCTTCATGATTTATCATTTTGAGAATTTAGTGAAATAATGTAAGTAAAGCTGTTACAGTGTCTGGGCATTTAGCAAATCCTTGATAAGTGTTATTTTACTTCTCATTTTCTTCCCTAGTCTTCCAATCTCTTTTATTTCTTTACTTGAGGCAGGGAATATGTGACTTATATTTATCCTCTAGTTCTTAGCATTCAGTGACTTAAGAGAAATTTCTGAATAAAAGTTGATAAAAATGAGAATGATAAACAAAATAGAGTTAAAAATCAGCTTAGAAAGTTCCTTCTATATTGATAGAGGTCTTTCCATCAATATTGAGGGGAACAGCATTAAATGCATCCAGTTGTTCACACAATTTACCTAATAAAACTAGTATCCATACTCTATTTCTCCACCTTGTCTCCAAGGATAGAAGGATATAAAGGTTTGATATACCACATCTTTCAGGTTCTCAACTTTTCCAGTCTTAAGAAAGCAGTAAGTGCCTTTCAATAGGCTCTTATGAACTCTCAGTGAATACCCATCATATTATACACCATGGTCCAGGCACATGAGCTACCAAGGAGTACCAGGTGCTCTTCCTGTCTTGGGAACAATATGGCTTACCCTCCTCTAAGTCACTATACTCTGCCCCTCCTGGGTGATTCAAGTTGTCTTTAAGTAGCTGACTGTAGCATCTCATCCAAGAATAATGTCGAGGTCACCTTTCTTCCACCATCTGAAGATCTGAAATTCACCATACTTGCTCAGAGATGAAGCAGTGGTGTCACAGTGGGGGACAGCACAGGCTGTACAGTTGAGCTACCTATATTCAAATCCAATTGCTACTTCTTTCCAGTCGAGTTCCTGCCTGAGTCTGCATTCTCCCAAAAGCAGGGCCTGAGACAAAGGCTTGCATCAAGGAGCTTGTTTGGGAAGTGATCCCTGGAAGCAGGAGTAAGAGAACAAGGGAGCAAGGAGTACAGCTGCTTTATGGAGTTGGCCACTGGTGGGATAGCCAATGTTCTGTCTTGCAGGGACTTTCAGAGGCACCCTACAAATGATGTTTCCTAGTCACTCACCTGTGCTCAAAACTCAGGAGCACCTCCGGGAATGCTAATTCCTCACACCTGTGGTGTGTGCAGCTGAGGGCACCAGTAGGTTATGGACTGCAATCCACACTGTGGGGCTGGAGTCCTGCAGGCAGCAAGAGGTAATATGAGCACTCAGAAACCACACCTCCACCAAGATCCTGGTACCTAAATGACCTCAGTCCAAGACTTGATGTCTTAGAACACCTTAGTGTTCTCTTTTAAAAAGTCTGTTTCCATCTTGACTTTCAGTTCCTCTGACCAGTCTTCATTCTACTCATTTCCATCAGAAGATTTTGACAAAGAGAGGAGGAGTGTGGGACCTTCATGGCCGCAGTTGCAAAGTCAGCACTGAGGGGCTGGTCATTTTGCTTCCTGCTTGTCTCTTTGCTTTCTTTGTAACTCTAGAAGCTCTTTGTTGACCTTAACATTGAGTAGGAGCCAGTGTTTCCTTCCACTCTTTATTGTTCCTTTCAGTCTTAGCTCAAGAGTCACCTTCTTACTGAGAATAAGTCTGTCACAATTAAAATTGCAATCCACACCTCTCACCACCCCTTCCTCTCTTCTACTTAAAAAATTAGTACTTAGCATCTTCTAACATACTTCAATTTACTCATTATATTTATAGTTCATTTTAAGCTCCACAACATCAGGGACTTTGACTTTTGGGCTCACTAAGGTATTCCAAACAGCAAAACAGTTTCTGCCACTTAGTAGATGCTCAATAAATATTTGTTGATTGAATGAATACATTGTGAATGGTTCAGGCATATTCCTTGGTAAATAAAAGCAGGGACTGACGTTCAGGAAGAATGTTGGAATTTTTGACAGACTGCAGCTCAATCAATGTATTCACTCTAATCAATGAAGAAGGCTTTACTTGAATGAATAGCTTATCTTGAGAATAAAAGCTTGAAGAGAGACTTAGCTAATATTATTTTATGACCATTCACCATTAGAAAAACATAAGAGAGTTAGTGTGGATTACTAGCTCCCTTCCCCATCCAGAATTAAAGAGGCTAAGAAAGGAGGACTAATCTCTATGGCTTTGGAGAAGGGAAAAAAAGCCCATGAGGACCCCCAGAGACCAGATGGAGTTGTGGCCTGTTGTGGGGAGAAAACAGCAATGAGGCTGAGGAGGAGCAGGTAGTGGGCTGGGAGGAAGGGGGGAGCTAAATGGGGCAAGAGCTGGTTAGTTGTGCTATTTTCTCTTTGCTGCACTGCCCTAGGTTGGTCATTGTCTTCCCCATCACCAGTGTGAGACAGAAAAACAGCAGTGACAACCTAGCACTACAGGGTCAAGGGTGAGAGACTGATATTGGAATAGCAGGAGCCCTCCTGCCGGAGGCAGGGGCATTCCGGATGGCCCTTCACCCTTTGCACACTGGGTGATTAAAATGAAGAAGGAATGTCTCTCTAAAGAGAGTAGAAATGGGCTGGAGGCAAAGAGAGGCCATGAGTGTTAGAGTCCCCTATAAAGGAACAGCAAATAGGGCATCAAGTTCGGGTTGTGTCTTCATGGGCTCTAGTCCCTGGGTAGACTAGGGACTAGTTTCCTCCCTTCTTTAACTCACCAGCAGCAGGGCAAGCTATAATCTTGGCCTCATACTCCAGGATAAATATTACCTCTTTTAAAAGCTGATATTCCCAAGGGGGAAATGATTCCAAAGGCAAAGTTAACCAAATGCCTGAGGATACCATCAAATTAAAGAGAAAAGAAAAACTGAACAACATGTACTGGACGAACAAGAACAAATGGGGCAGAGCGATCAAGACTTTAAAATAAATGCAACAAGAGTTGAAGAGGATATTGGTAACATGAAGCAGGAGCAAGAAGAACTAAATGGAAATACTCTTTGTAGAAAATGTAATAGTTGAAATGAATAAGAAAACACAAGAATAAATGAAAGAGTGGGTGCAGTCAAATAATAGATCAGTGATCTAGAAATTCAAATTGAGAAAATTCCCCAAGGCATCAGGAAATAATAAAAAGATGAAAAAATACAATAGAAAAATTGAGATGCAAAGAATAGTGTAGATATATATGTAAAAAGAGCATATATATGATGAAAAGAGGGCATATATATATATATATGATGTCCCAGAAAAAAAAGAGAAAAACAGAAAGAAAATTTGTATTTTGAAATGAGTAAAAATTTTGCAGAAGCAAAAACTTAAAGATCTCAGATTGCAAAGGCTGATAGAATCTAGACTTTATGAATAAGAACAAATCCCACACACATGCAATTTAAGACCATCAAAGACAAATTTAAAAACCTAAGAGCTTCTGTGTAGAAAGAGCTCATGGCCCTCAGGCTAACAAGGATCAGATTGACACTCAATTTCCCATCAGCAGTCTTGGAAACAAGAACTTACTTCATAGGCAGCTAAGTTATAAGTTATATAACTGCGAGGACACTGTAAATATATTCTAAGACATAGAAAGCTGAGAAAGCTTATTTCTCAAAGATTTTCTTTAAAAACACTCTTGATGGATGTCATCCAGTAAGAAGATAAATAAATTCAGGAGCATGTCATGAACCTTGTGGGAAATATGGGTGAATAAATAACAAGGTAAAATAAATAACCAGATAAATATTATTGAGATCTAAATGTTAAGAAACAAAAAAAAAGAAGGAAAGGAAGAAAGGAAGGAACAGATGAAGGGAGGGAGGAAGAAAAAGAGAAAAGAAATCATATTCAATTCCTTCAGAAATAAAAATCTAGAAGACACTAAATTTCAAAAATTCTTTCGTTGAGTTGAACTTGGATTTAGAAATGATTAAGTTAATTAAATTTTCTGATTTCTTTAAAAGTGTCTACAAAACACTCTTTCTTAGTGCTTTTGATCAAAGTTTAGCTTTTTAACCAGAACATTCAAGAAGAGCTTCTGGGAAGTTGGCCAAGTGTATTGATACTTGCTTTTACCTTTCAATATGTGAATTATCTTCACGTTTGTCCAGGCTACAGTGCTGAGGAGAGGAGTGGTAGAGGGAAGGAGGTGAGGTGATAAGTCTATCAGTCTTCAGAGGCATCTACATAGTAATATGATTACAAGGCTGGCCCTGCAGAGACTAGACTGATTGTCCGTTTTCCCTTGGCTCATTTGATTTCTGGCCACACTGTGTTGACTGAGAAGCTGTGTATGGGCTCAGTCCCAGCACCTCCATGCAGAGTGTGGCTCTTGGAGGTGCTGAGCAGGGCGTGGCTTCTGGGACTAATTAACAGCCTCTCTGTCAGAGTTAATGAAGGCACTCCAGCCACAGAGAATATGACTGGCAGATCAGCCTAACACAAAACGAGGCCTTTGACGTCATCAGTATGCAATGCACAGTGCACTAGGCTACAAGTCAGCCATCCAGGTCTTAGTCTTGCCTGGCCTGGTGTGAATGTTGGGTAAACTGTTGTAACCAGCCCAGGTCTTAGTGTAGACATTTGCTAAATGAAGGCATTGGACAGATCGAGCTCCAGGATCCCTTCTAGCTTTAATATTCTTGGGCTCCACTAACTGAAGAAGAGATCTGGGTTTAGACTACATTGGACTACATTAGACTATAAAAGAACTACACTAACTTTGGGATGAGACAAATATGATCTCCCATCTTTGATGTGTCCTATGAACTCAAATAATAAAAGCTACCATTTGCTGAGCTCCTACTATGCACTCTGTACTTGACATTCACCATTCTGTTTAACGTTAACATCAACTTTACAAAATAAATGGCAAGGTGCAGTGGCTCATGCCTGTAATCCCAGCACTTTGGGTGGCCAAGGTGGGAGAATCTCTTAAGGCCAGGAGTTCAAGACAAAAATAGATGGCAATCTGCTCATTTTTCAAAGGGGAATTGTAAAGTTTGAAATGGGAATGAGGATGGCAGGTGTCAGAAAAAGGACTTGAACTCTAGGCCCAGTCAATGACAATGGCCCTGATTTTCCCCTGCAAGCAACTTGCACTTTCCCCTGCCTGATGTAGACTATGTGCTGCTGCGTAAAAAGCCACCTCAAAACTCAATGGCTTATGACTTCTATGAGTAAGGAATCCAGGAGTGAATCTGTGGACTCTTCTGACTTGGGATCTTCCATGTGATTCAGTTAGAGGTTGGCTGGGACCGCAGTCATCTGACGGCCTGACCAGGGCTGGAGGAGGTGTGCTCCCATGGGCAGCAATCTGGTGCTGGCTGTTGGTGGGAGGCCTCAGTCCTTTCCCCATGGGCCTCTCCACAGGGCTGCTGAGTGCCTTCACAGCATGGCCTCTGTCTTCCCTCAGAACAAGGGATCTAAGAGCAAGAAAGCCAGGCAGAAGGCATATTCACAATGACCTATCCTTGAAAATTACATAGTATCACTTCCACCACATTCTACTTAGTAAATGTGAGGCATGAAGTTTGGTCCACATTCAAGGAGAGAAAAATTAGACTCCAGCATTTAAATTAGGGGGGGTGTCAAAAGAATAAATATATATTTTTTAATTCAATATTTTTCTAGTATTTTTTAAATTGTGGTTAAACAAACCCCACATAACATAAAACTGACCATCTTAACTATTTTTGAGTGTATAATTCAATAGTGTTAAGTATATTCCCATTGTTGTATAATAGATTTCCAGAATTTTTTCATCTTACAAAACTGAAACTCTGCAAGTGAGCACAGGTAGACTCAATTAACAAAAGCTAAGAAACAGAGGGTGGCATTGTTGTTTCACTCACTTTTATGACTCCAATGTGACAACAGGGTGTGATCCATGCAAGAGCTCAGAAAACATGTGCTAAGTGAATAGTAAAAGTCAGACAGAAAGGAGATGAGAGGTGCTGAATCCAGAAAGCTGAAACTGTATCTCACATCTCACTCACACTGCATCCCTTCCTCACCCCAGCATGCAGCAAAGGGGCCCACGTGGTCCTTTGTAAATATTGGAAGCAATTAACTAGATGATGTTAGCCATGGCCACTTGAATCCTTTGGTCTTAAAATCTTTGATATGGTTTGACTGTGTCCCCAACCAAATCTCATCTTGAATTGGAGCTCCCATAATTCCCAAGTGTTGTGGGAGGAACCCCACAGGAGATAATTGAATCATGGGGGCAGTTCCCCCATACTGTTCTCTTGGTAGTGAATAAGTCTCACGAGATCTGATGGTTTTATAAGGGGTTTCCCTTCACTTGGCTCTCATTCTCTCTTGCCTCCCACTACGTAAGAATCCCTTGCTCTTCAGCCATGATTGTGAGGCCTCCCCAGGCATGTGGAACTGTGAGTCCATTAAACCTCTTTCCTTTATAAATTACCCAGTTTATAAAAAACCGAAGTATGTGTCTATTAGCAGCCTGAGAACCGACTAATACAATATTTTTTTTAAAAACTGTATGTAAACAACAACCAAATAATGTATGAAAAAAGGGCAGATTTAGCTTCAAATATAAGATGCCAGAGTTTATGACTTGATGTGCAAACTTAGTATCCATTATAATATATTTTGCCATGTTCTATGTACTTGCCCCTAAACAAAATTGAGATTCAAAGCTGCAGTTTTAAACAATAGCCATATTTTCAGGTTACCAAAAGAAGAATCAGAGATCAGTGTTTACAACTGGTGTAAAATGGATATTCCCTCATATGTGCATATTTCATGTAAAGGTTTTGTAAGTATTCTGTCTCTGTGATTCAGAGTTATTTATTTCCAGGGTTTACATTTGAAAGTAACGTTTCTATCTACTGTAAGGTAGATTTATATCTAGAGAAGTATATTTTTCACAGGGTTCATTTATTAGGCTGTAATGTATTATATAATGCACACAGAGAGAGAGAAAGAGAGAGACTGATTTTTGGTAAAAGCTTAAAAACAACCAAAAATATCCTTTTAAATGTCTCCATTTTTCTCAAATATTTTTGAGTTTATCATCTAGTTTTAAAAAATTCAGATAAACAGTAGACAGTTCATGGTACTTTAAACCTGTCAGTTGACCATAAAATAAATTGTATTTAGTAAATTTCAAATTGCTTATTTTGTATGTTTGTAAGTGATACATTGTTTCAGTGAAAACAATTATTCTTAACAAAACGAGCAGACCAAACATTCCATATGAGCACATTGGATTAGATTGTTAGAACCAGCTCCACAACAGTCATACCCAGTCATGTAACATGGGACATTCCCATCATGAAGATAAAGCACATCCTCCAGGTCCTAAAGCCTCAATGGGGTGTGCATTTGACAGCATCCCACACCAGTGATTCCCAGCGTGCTAACATCCCGAGGAAGAAAACAACAGGTTCCGAACTCAGGTATCTCAGGAGCCTGCTAAGGGCTGCTTTTGCTTCTAGAATAAGAGCTTCTAAGTGTTATTATAATTATTTTTATGCATAAACTCCCCAACCTCATATTTCAAACACTTTTTTAAAGGCATTCAGTAAGGAAAGGAAATAAATATGAGGATTATTTAACACTCTTTAAGTGGTACTAAAATATAGTCCCTTAAGCATTTAATACAGCAAGCAATTTAGCATGGAATGAATAGAACAGCCTGAAAAAAAAAAGTGGGACATTTTTTGACAAGGTGAGCATTCCCATGCCCCAAAGAAAGGTTATATAAAACAAAAGCTTCTAAAAATGTGAAGTGCAGTCAATCCACTTGGGTCGTACTTGTCTCACTTGACGCTGTGTCCTATAAATTTCTAAAATATCAGAGAAAATGATGGGTTTTGGTTTGATATAGGTCAGTTTTCTATTCTCTCTCTCCCTCTCTCCTTTCCTAAACATACTACATATTTTTCAAAATAAAAGTAATATAAGCATATTTAATTAAAAATTGAAAATACTGAAAACCACCCAAAGTCATATGACCCTAACAAAAGACCTAACCCAACTTTGGAATATTTCTCTCACTTCTTTCCCTTGTTGCCTAGATTAAAACAAACCAACAATCAAACAAACACACACACTCTTAATTATAAGTTTTCAGGATTGCATAAGAGTTTATTCAGGCCGGCTGCGGTGGCTCACACCTATAATCCCAGTACTTTGGGAGGCCAAGGTGGGTGGATCACTTAAGACCAGGAGTTCAAGACCAGCCTGGCCAACATGGTGAAACCCTGTCTCTCCTAAAAACACAAAAATTAGCCAGGTGGGGTGGTGCACGCCTGTAGTCCCAGATACTTGGGAGGCTGAGATGGGAGAATCACTTGAAGCCGGGAGGCAGAGGTTACAGTGAGCCGAGATCGCGCCACCGCACTCCTGGGCGACAGAGTGAGCCTAGGCGACAGAGTGAGACCCTGTCTCAAAAAAAAAAAAAATTATTCAATTCTCCCCACACTGCTCAGCCTATAAATTATTTTTAGTTTTTCTAAATTATGAATAATGCTGTATTGTATATCTTTATGGACACAGGTTCTCTTCCTCTCTCCCCCTCATCCATATTTAGAATTGTTACTTTGGGCTAAATTTCAAGTAGAATTATAGAGTCAAGGAGTATGAACATTTAAAATTAAAACAATGCATGAGTATGCTCATGGCACCTCACCCTCACCAGCAGAAGAAAATATAAGTGTCCCCTTATTTTAATGGTGCTAAATGGAGCCCATTCATTTAGTATACTTTTATTAATTATCTGCTAGCAACCATGGTTGCTGTCCTTGAGGGACTTACTATCTAATATGCTGGAGACAGGAAGCTTCTAGAAGGGTATCGGGGTGGCCTCCTGGTAATTCAGGTGTGAGCCTCCCTTCTCCCCTCCAAGGGAACCCTTCCCAAACCCGCAGGGCTGAGTAGGGAGCTCTGGCTTGTTTTCTGTCTCAAGGCTGCCCCCTACTGAATGGTCAGCTTGTGGATTTTCTCACTGTTCCCAGATCTATTGAGGAAGAGGAAGGGGAACGGAGCACCAACTCCTGTAGTCAGAAGAGGACATAGATTCTCCCGGCTGTATTCCTTTGCAGTGTTGCAGCAGTCCAGCTGCCTGCGCAGCACACAAACTCACCTATGAGCGGGTGCATCCCTCTCCAAACCAGTTCCTCATTTTTTAGAATAATCCAGTGCAGATGCAGTTTGAGAAGGAGTTGGCTTCCTTTCCTTGGCCCCACTGTTCTATAGAGCGGTGTTTGCTTCTTTCCTGACTTTCCCACCAGCTGCCTAAGCAAAGAAGGTAAGGGACAGTGCTGCACAGATGTGGAAGGAGGATGAAGTTGATCCAAATTTATTGACATGAGGTTACTGAACACAGATTCTGCATTTCATGTTGCAGTTCAGGGAAGTAGAAGAGGCTCTAAAAGTTTGTTTGCTTGGTTGGCTGAAGTGTGGACCAGAACCGGCCCACAGTGAGTGAGTTAGAAGTGCAGGAGCTGTCTTGAGTTAGTGTGGAGGAAGGAATTCAAAGGCTTAGAGAGACTGGAATACTAGCATGGACTTGTCACTTAAGTTCTATTCACACCGGGAGGATCCAGAAAACACACCTCTCACCACAAGTATAAGAAATAAATTTGTGAGGGGAGCCCTGGCATCTTTGCAGAGCTCTGTGATCGCTCTTCTCTGCAGGCCAGACCTCACAGCAGAAACTGCAGTCACTGAGCTGGGAAACTCACACAAGGGAGTAATTGGATCCTGGGTGGCAGGAGCACTCAACCCCAAAAGGCAGGTGGGCGTAGTGACTATAGGGGATAGCAGCATTCCAGCAGCAGTCAGAATACAGCAGTCTGACTAGAGCAGACCTTTGGCATTGGCAAATTGATCCACCATGGTGATCCTAAATGAAATAGATATAGGAAGCCTACTAAATTCCTACTTGATCTGTATAAACAGAAAAGTTCTAGGTCAAGTGAATAAACGTCTAATTCAAATCATAAAAAACAGAGTCATGGCCCCTCAATTAATCCCCAGACTTGAGCCAGTTTACAGACCCAAAACCCCTTGAATAAAAAGGAGGCTGTGTCCCTTGGAGGAAGGACCCAGGTACACTGCCAAAAACTGATACTGTTCAACTTTGGCCTTTTACCAGGGTAGCTGTGCATTGGGGAAGAGGAAATAGACAGGTTTATCAGAGGCTGCCGGACACGGGTTCTGAACTGACATTAATTCCAGGAGATCCAAAAAGTCACTGTGGCCCA
Organism: Homo sapiens; assembly: GCF_000001405.40. Classification (NCBI taxonomy): domain Eukaryota; kingdom Metazoa; phylum Chordata; class Mammalia; order Primates; family Hominidae; genus Homo; species Homo sapiens. The sequence continues at coordinate 127,648,570 of NC_000010.11, read as the reverse complement.
CCAGTCAGAGTAGGGGCTCATGGAGGGCAGGTGATTGATGGAGTTTTAGCTCAGATTTGTCTCAAAGGGGACCCATTGGGTCCTCAAACCCATCCTGTGCTCGTGTCTCCAGTTCAAGAATACATAATTGAGACTGAGACACCCAACAGCTGGCAGAATTCCCACAGCATGGGCTTGGAAATCACTGTGGGCTTTGGGTGACCTTGGGCAAGTTCCCTAACTTCTCTTAGCTTGTCATCTGTAAGATGAGTACACCCATCAGGTCCACCTCACCAGTGTGTTGTGAGGAGCAGGTGCATTAAGATATGGATAGCTTTCAGCCAAGACTTGTTTCAACCACCCACGTCCCCCATGGAGCCTTCTGAAACGAATCCTAAACATATCCTTGTATCCATAAAAATGCCAGCATGTGTCACTAAAAACTAAACTATCTCCTTAAAATATATGACCACAGTACCATTATCATCTTTTAAAAATTAATAATAATTCCTTAATATCAAATATCCAAAGTTTGAATTTATTAATTGGTTCATAATTATTTTAAAGTTTTTTGTTTGAATCAAGATTTGTGGAGGGACCATAGATAGCAGTTCATTGATAAATCTCTTAATTCATAAGTCTCTCTCTCTCTTCTATGCAACTTATTTGTTGAAGAAACAGAATCATTTGCCCTGCAGACCTTCCCTCAGTCTAGATTGTGATGACTGCATCCCCATTTCATAGTTTAATATTTCCTGTGTCCATTGTATTCCCTGAAAAGGTATGGTTAGGGCTAGAGGCCTAGTCAGATTATGGTTCAGTTTAAAATATGTATATATAGTCCATGTTTTACTACCAACTGAATCATTTTTTATGCTTATATTATCTCAAATTTGGCCAGTGGGAGTTCCTTGAGGCTGATTCTTGTGCCATTATTTTCTCTCAGTTTTATTGAGGTGTAATACATGTATGATAAAATGCATCCATTGTAAGTGCACAATGTGATGAGATTTAGCAGATGTATCTACCTATAAAGCCACTGCCATAATCAAGATATAGAATATTTCCATCAGGAGCAAACTTTTCCTTCTGTTCCTTTGAAATCCATTTCTCCTCCCTCCTCTGCCCCCAGGCAACCACTGATCTCGTTTCTGTAGCATGGATTTGTTTGATTTTTCTTGAACTTTTTATACATTGAGTAATATAGTAATATTCTTTTGTGTCTGGTTTCTTTCGCTGCATGTAATGCTTTTGAGATTCACCATATTGTTCCATGTAACAATGGTTTATTCCTTTTTATTGCTCTGTGGTATTACATTGTATAGATATGTCACAGTTGGTTCATCCATTTGTCCATGGATGGGTACTTGGGTGCTTTCCACTTTTTGCCTATTACGAATAAATCTTCTAGGAACACTTGTGTACAAGTTTTATGTGGATATATGTTTTCACTTCTCTTGGGTAAATACCTACGTTCAAAATGGTTATGTTATAGAGTTTGTTTAACTTTTTAGGAAACAGCCCAACAGTTTTCCAAAGTGGCTATACAAATATATATTCCCACCAGCAATATATGACATTCCAGTTGCTACACATCCTTTCCAGCACTTGGTTTTCAGTGTTTTGAATTTTAGCGATGCTACAGGTGTGTACTGGCATCTCATTTCCCTGATGACTATTCCTACCAAGCTTCTTTTCAAGTCCTTATCTTCTTTGGTAAAATATGTGCTCAAAGCTTTTGCTCATTTTATTTAGGATTTATTTATGTCTTTATTGTTAAATTTTAAGAGTTCTGAATATATTTTAAATACTTGTATTTAACAGATATATATATGTATATATGTAATATGTGTAACATTATATATAATGTATATTTTATAATGTGTATATATATGTCTATCTGTCAAAAGAGTTGTATTCTCTTTTTCTTTACTGCGCTCTCTCTCTCTCTATATATATATATATATAGTATTCAGTAAGTAATATTTTCTCCCATTATATGATTTGACTTGTTGTTTTCTTAGAAATGTCTTAGATACTAAAAATTTTTAAATTTGATAATGGTCAATTTGTAACATTTTTCTTTATTTTCTTTATTTCTAAATTTTTGTGACCTAGCTAAGAAATATTTTCCTAAACCAAGGCCACAAAACTCCCCCTGTGTTTTCTTCTAGAAGTTTTAGATTTTATATTTAAATCTCTGACTCATTTCAAGTTCAGTTTCATAAGCGGTCTGAGTAGAGTTGATGCTCATTTTTTTTCTATACGGATATCCCATAGTTACAGCACCATTTGCTGAAAAGATTTTCCTTTCCCCCCAAAATTGCCTTGGTAACTGTCAGGAATCTACAGACCACACAGGTGAGGGTTTGCGTCTGGCCCTATTGGTTTCCATTGATCTGTGTGTCTATCCCTTTGCCAATGTCAAACTGTTCTTACAACTGTAACTTTATAGTAAGTACCCTATCATGTACTTTAACTTTCCAACTTTGTTATTCTTTTAAAAATTGCTTTGGTAATTCTAGCTCATTTCCATATAAATTTTATAAACAGCTTTTTCTCAAAAAAATTTAAAAAAAAACAGGTCTGCTGGAATTTCGATAGGGATGACACTGACTCTATAAACTATGTCCTAGAGAAGTAACATCTTAATAATAGTAAATCTCCCTAGCTGAACTAGGTTTATCTCTCCATTTCTTTAGGTCTTCTTTAATTTCTCCCAGCAATGTTTTGTAGTTTTCAATGAAAAGGTTTTGCATATATTTTCTTAAATTTATTCCTAAGTATATTTTCCTTTTGATTCCTCCATAAATAGAATGATGTTTCAAATTTTCTTTTTAGTCCTTTTCTGTATCCTTTTAGCATGCTCCCTTACTTTAAATGTTTGATTGATAGTTTTTCTGACAGAGTGAGAGGTACTTTTCCTGTCCCAGGCCTGGAATGAAATTATCTTTTTCTGAGAGTAACTCTGGTTTCTCTTTAGTGGAGAATGGCATTTTGACTCTAGAATATGTCCCACTAATGTGTACAGCGCATGTGTTGAGTTCAAAAGTCAATTGAAGTCATATCTGTGTGGTTATTTTACTCTTTTAATACAATGCCGGGTTTATTTGATTCCATTTATTTCCAATTTTAAGGTTTGATTTTGTCTATTGATTTAATTTCAGTTTTTTAATATTGACAGCTCAGAAGCCCAATTATATGCTCTTAAAGAAGTCTCGCTTCCCCATGACTTCCACTATTTCTCATACAGGGATTATTTTTATTAGCCTCTGCGTTTTCCTTCTGAAAGTGTTTCTTTTTGCAGTTATGGCTTCCTATTTCCCCACCTTTCTTTTACAACTTTAGCACCATACATACACTGTTCTGCATCTTGCTTTTATCACTTAAAAATATATCCTGGTGATTATTAGATATAAGTATATAGTCATCCCTCAATATCTATGGAGAATTAGTTCCAGGACCTCACATGGACACCAAAGTCTGTGGGTGCTCAAGTCTGTGATATAAAACAGCTTAGTATTCGCATATAACCTATACACTTTCTTCCATGATTACTTACAATGCCTAATGTAAGTGCTATGTAAGTAGTTGTTATGCTGTATAGTTTAGAGAATAATTATAAGAAAAGGTCTGTAAGTGTTCAGAATGGATGTAATTTAAAACTATATATATATATATATATACAGTTTTTTTTAATCCATGGTTGGTTTTATCTATGGATACAGATCCAGATCTAGAAGGCCAACTGTATAGGTGACTTTCTCATTCATTTCTACAGCTATATAATACTTCTTTGGATGGGTATACTGGGAGGTTTTCAACCAGCATCTTGCTGAGGAACCTCTGTGTTGTCTTACATCTGTAGCTATTACAAAGAATGCCATGATGAATAACTTTAGGTATAGGATGTTTTGCATTTGTAGACATATCTCTTCAAGGTAGATTCCTACAAGAGGGATTGTTGAGACACAGGTAAATGTGTATATAATTTTGTTAGATATTGCCTAATGTACTTAATAGGCTTTCCACAATTTTGTACTTCCATTAGCAATATGTAAAAATGTCTATTTCCCAATAGCCTCACCAAGAAAAACAATGATCCCTTTAGATATACCTAGAATATCTCCTGGGACCACCACATTTTTCAAGGTACACAGAGTAAAGCCTGAAGATACAAGTTGTGGTTAAAATAAATTGATGTGGATTATTCAATGAGAGAGTGTCGTGTCTGGTCTGTTTGTGCTGCTGTAACAAAATACCCAAGGCTGAGTAATTTATAAACAATAGAAATGTATTTCTCACAGTTCTGGAGGATGGGAAGTCCAAGATCAAGGTGCTAATAGGATTGGTGTCTGGTGAGGGCTGCTCCCCATTTCCAAGAAAGCACATTTTGGCTGCATCACTCTGAGAGGAGGAACACTGTGTCCTCACATGGTGGGAGGAACAGAAGGGCAAGAGGATGCTCCTCTCAACTTCAAGCCGTATTACAAGGGTGCTAATCCCATTCATGAGAGCTTCACGCTCATGACTTAATCACCTCCCAAAGGCCATACCTCTTAATACAGTTGCATTGGGGATTAAGTTTCAATATAATTTTTGGAGGGGACACCATCCTTCGAACCATAACTGGTGGTTAAAACCTATCCTATTTAAATCATATAATTAAGTACTTGTTATTTTCACATAAATGATCACTATAACTCAAAAAATATTTCATATTTTCAACCTCCTGGTAATAAAAAGTAAAATAAGCTAGCTGTTGGGTAGATTAGGTTTGGGTAATATATCATTTTCACTTTAATTAAATGTGTAGAAAAGTTTAATCACGAAGTATATTGAAGTTAGTGGCATTATTGCTACTTTTATATCTGATATTTATTTAATTATGCCCAAAAGCCAAATACCAGACTTTGACACATGAGCATATAAATGCATTTACCAAAGGATGCCATGCCTTTTTCTCTTCCTGCTGTAACTGACTTGTAATTTTAGTTACACGTTAGTTAATTATTATATATAATTTCTTATAATTTTAGTTATATATATTGTATTAATATAAATTAAGTAATGAGATGTGGCGTGTTGACTTATCTTTTTTAAAAAATTAATACACAGATTATTCCTTTTAGATGTATTTTAGGTATAGGATGTTTTGCATTTGTGGACATATCTCTTCAAGGTAGATTCCTACAAGAGGGATTGTTGAGACACAGGTAAATGCATATGTAATTTTGTTAGATATTGCCTAATATACTTAATAGGCTTTCCACAATTTTATACTTCCATTAGCAATATGTAAAAATGTCTATTTCCCAATAGCTTCACCAAGAAAAACAATGATTTCTTTAGATATACCTAGAATATTTCCTGGGACCTGGAATATACCTAGAATATACCTGGAATATACCTAGAATATTTCCTGGCAAGGTTAATGCCATTTTAACCTTAACAGATTTTAATTGTCTACTTTGTACAATGCATTCTGTAATTTATTTCTTGGTGATTTAAAAAATATTCTTAGTATGCTATTATGAGTTGAGTTTTATCAACCCCGCCCCCTTCAAAAGGAAGAAATGTTGAAGTCCTAACCCCTAGTACTTCAGAATATCACTTTATTTGAAAATAGGGTCATTGCAGAAATAATTAGTTAAGATGAAGTTGTACTGGAGTAGGATGGACTCCTAATTAAACATAATGGCTGTCCTTGTAAGAAACAGGCCTGCAAAGACAGAGAGGCCCAGGGAAAATACTACGTGATGATGGAGACAGAGTTTGGAGTTATGCAGCTATAAGCCAAAGAAGTTCAAAGATCTCCAGCAAGCTACCAGTAGCTAGGAAAAGGTAGGTATTCTCGACAGGTTTCAGAGGGAGCCTGGCCTACCAACACCTTGACCTTGAGGTGGCGTTCCAGCCTCCAGAACAGTGAGACAATAAACTTTTGTTGCTTTAAGCAACCCAGTTTGCGGTGCTTTATTTCAGCAGCCCAAGGAAGCTCGCACATGTGTGAAATAACGTATTTTTAATTACAAACTGAAATGTAAAGTTAGGTATTTGTGATAGAAAGCAAATCTCATTTAGCCAATGTATTTGACAGTGAACATTGACTTCACTATTTAGGATGTAGAAAGGGCTTTGTCCATAAAATTTAATGAGTTCAGTCAGCAGCTCAATTTGATTAAGGATATTTAAAGCACGTAGTAAAAAGTATTTTTATCAGTAATGTTATCTTATCAAAAGCATATTGATATATTTTAATTTTCCCATCCCTTCTAAATGTATCTTGTTAAACAAATTGCCTCTAAATGAAAGAGTAGGAGTATACTTAATAGTGATTTCATAATTTTTATTATACATTTTTGCTGTGTTTCCCAAAATTTGAGAAAGTTGTAAATCCTTTGCAGATCAAATGGTACCAATGATTTTGCTTACAACAAAACTGACAGAAGATTGGAAGTAGTTGATAGCCAATTAATCATTAAAATTCTATTTTATGAGAATTCACTGTGATTTATGACATGTAACTAATTAGTATTATTCACTTATGAGTATCGGCTCATTATTAGTATCTACTCTTTTATGTGAAGATTTCTCAGTGCCTATGACCATGAAAATAAGACTCAGGAATAGACTCGGTGTGATTTCCGTCTCATTCTAGCAATAAGTCATATTCATGAACAGCCATGTGAAGTAATTTGATAAAGCTGCATTCATCTCATTAAGACATATATTTCCAATAAAGTTGTCTTTATCGTCAATAATTATATATTCCATTAAAAGTTAATTAGTAACATATTTGCTTGTTTTTATATTTATTTATAGAGACAGAGTCTTGCTCTGTTGCCTAGGCTGGAGGGCAGTGGTACAATCATAGCTCACTGCAGCCTTCAATCCCTGGGTTCAGGCAATTCTCCCGCCTCAGATTCTTGAGTAGCTGGAACTACAGGTGTGCACCACCATGCCCTGACAATTATTTTTAAATTTTTTTGTTGAGATGGGGGTCTCACTATGTTGCCGAGGCTGGTCTTGAACTCCTGGGTTCAAGCTACTCTCCCACATAGGTCTCCCAAATTGTTGGGTTTACAGGCATGAGACATGGTGCCTGGCCAACATGGGTTTTTTTTTTTTGTAAAATATACACAAACACTTGAAATTATACCTTAAGCTAGCAAAAATGTTAGAGCCCATGATTTCAGAAAATTTAAAAGATTTAAACAATTCAATTTATATACATCTTTGTTATATGAACTAATGATGAGGTGAACAATAAAGTCTTTAATTCATAAAAGAATATTTGGATAAAAGTAAAAAGACAGTAATTCAAGGAGTAAAAAAAGTTATGACTGTTCTAATTTTAGAGGAAGGCTTACTCTTGGATCTTCTAAGTGAGTGACGGTGGGCAGTTACTGTGGAATTTTGATTCCTTTGGAGACATTTAAATGCAGACATTTTTAATGTTAATATTTGAAATATGCTGGAAGTTATTTTCTTTTCAAGTATTTAAATATAATTTAAAATGTTAGAAAGTAGCTTAAAATGTACAAAGAGGGTACCTGGTCTCTGAAAATCATTTTAGGAGATAGGCCCTATCACTTTAATCCACTTTTGCTGAGCTCTTCAGGCAGCCTAAGTGATACCACAATCCAATGATCATCTCTTTATGATTGATTAATTGATTTTTACCCTTAGCACAGGGTCATTGATTTATAAAATGTATTGATTTTCCCCAATTTCTTATTTGACTAATTAGAGGGTTTCCATTGTTGTGGTTGTTGTTGTTGTTGTTGTTTAACTTTCTCTGAAATTGTCTCAGTTTCCTCTGGAGTAGATTTTCTATTTATTTTCAAATTCCTCTTTCATGATGCTGATCTTCCTTCTACTCATGGAGCCCCCTCCTTTCTCATTGTTATTTAGGATAATAGGCTGGAGATGATGTGGGGGTTGCGGTGGGTTTCTTCCACAGAATTGGCAGAGGGCCAGGGTCACAGAGCTTGGGCACCTAACTAGCCATTCTATGAGCAGCAGGAGAATAACTCTAAGAATAAGAGGGTTAAATGAAGAAACCTGAATGCTTGGATGAGAATTGCAATTAAAGGTAAGCATTATTGAAGAACAGTTCCTTAGCTTAAAAAAACAAAATGAAAGAAAGAGGCTGGTTATATGACAGTTGAAAATGCCCATGATGTCCCAGACAAAATGAGTGAAAAAATGATCACAGTTTTGAATGAAATAAGTAAAGGAAAAGCCCTAAAAGCACCTAGATTGATGTATTAGTCTGTTCTCATGCTGCTAATAAAGATATACTCGAGACTGGGTAATTTATAAAGGGAAGAGGTTTAATGGACTCACAGTTCCACGTGGCTGGGGAGGCCTCACAATCATGGCAGAAGGTGAAAGGCATGTCTCACATGGCAGCAGGCAAGACAGAATGAGAGCCAAGGGAAAGGGGTTTCCCCTTATAAAACCATCAGCTCTCGAGACACTTATTCACTACCCGAGAACAGTATGGGGGAAACTGCCCCCATGATTCAATTATCTCTCACTAGGTCCCTCCCACAACACCTGAGAATTACGGCAGCTACAATTCGAGATGAGATTTGGGTGAGGACACAGCCAAACCATATCAATCAATAAGACCGTAAAGACAGAAAACTCAATTGGTCTCAGACTTCTTTGAAAAACTACGATCCAGGAAACAGAAGATTATTGTCCTCAGATTCTCAGGGGAGAAACATTGTAAGGCCAAATTTTATACCCAGCCAAATTCTGATCACGTGTAGAAATAATGCAATGATGTCCTCAGCTGTGCACAGTCTGAGAAAAGGTCTTTACAAATCTACCTTGCTGTATGCTCTCCTGTTAACAGAGAGACATTGTTTCACTAAATGTTCCAGATTGGGGAAGTGATTAAAGGACATCCTGTAGGAAATAAGCCAATAGAGAGCTAACTGTGAATACTGGTAAGCAAACGGTTCGAGACAGACTGTAAATGTAGATAAGCATTTTGGAAACCAGAAAGCTACATCATAAAATATGCACACGATAATAATAATTAATGGTCTCAAACCAAGAATATGGTAAATTCTTCCTTTTACCTGGGGCAAGGAGGAAAAAGAAGAAATAAATTCATTCTTGACTTTATAATGAGAGAAATGCAGGTTTTAAAAGTTCTGCAAATGCTTGAAGATACACTCCAGTAGTATTTTTAAAAAATGATGGAAATCACAGAGGAAAACTAACCAAATACAAAGTTAGCCCATGGAAAAGGAAAGAAACTAAACAAGCCAAAAAAAAACTGGAGTGGAAGTTATTAGCTGTGGCAAAAAGTGAAATCTTTAGTTAATGATAACCACAGTATTCTATGGGTTGTTGGATGTTTCAGAAAACTGGTTTTCACAATGGAAATGAAAGCCCTGGGCCCCACACTGCTTTGCTGAGGTAGGATCTACAAAAGTGGGGACACAAATTTTTGATTGAACTAATACTCTTAGAAGTTCTGTTTGAGAGTCTGGGCGTGGTGGCTCACGCCTGTAATCCCAGCACTTTGGGAGGCTGAGGCAGGCGGATCACGAGGTCAGGGGATCAAGACGATCCTGACTAACACAGGGAAACCCTGTCTCTACTAAAAATACAAAAAACTAGCCAGGTGTGGTGGCAGGTGCCTGTAGTCCCAGCTACTTGGGAGTCTGAGGCAGGAGAATGGCATGAACCCGGGAGGCAGAGCTTGCAGTGAGTCGAGATCATACCACTGCACTCCAGCCTGGGCGACAGAGTGAGACTCCATCTCAAAAAAAAAAAAAAAAAAAAAAAAAGTTCTGTTTGAGAACCTTGCCTTATGTATTCCTAAGAGTTTGGATTGGATATAAGAAAATCCAGCTGCATGCTGCCTGAAGACACACACTGAAAATAAAACTACAATGAAATGTTAAAAATCAAAGGATGAGTGAAAAATTTATTGGGCAAATATAATTGTGAAAGGAAGAAATGGTCGTATTGATCTCAAACAGCAGAATTTAAGGCCCAAACTATTAAATGTGACACGGAGTAATTTGATATCTAAAAAAGGTGTCATTCACAAAGGGAAAAAATTAATAAACCATGTTAATGCAAATGAAAATATATTAAACAAAATATTGACAAATTATTACAAGGGCCCTTAATTTTTCTCTTTCTCTTTCTCTCCCTCTTTCCAGCACTTTTAGATCCTAAAACCAGAAAACATTTACAGAAGTTAAAAGCATATAATATATAATAAAAATGAATAAATGAACAAGTCAATGAATTCTAAAAAGCAAAAATTACAGTTCATACTAGCATTTGTCATTAAAAGATAAATTATTAGAATGTTTTTAGCTAATACCTACTGAATTCCTAAAATGTAGCCAAGGATTAGGTTATCTGTGTATATATATTATTTCCCTCCTTGCCCTCAATTTGCCAGAGAAAAGTATTGTATTTAATTAATAGATTAAGAAACTGTGGGAGGGATTTCACGATGGCTGACTAGAGGCATCTGGTGCTTGCCTCCTTCACAAAGAAGAGCCAAAATAGTGAGCAGATAATCACACTTCAAATAGACCATCCAAGAGAGGATGGTCTATTCCTACCTAAAGGACGGAAAGAGAGAAAAGTGAGGCAGACTGCTTAGCTAGGATCTTCTGGGAGCCTACAGAAGACTCCCTAGTGCAGGGAAAGGGTAAGTGAGAAACTCTACAGTTGTCCAAAGTCCCACCACAGACTCCTGCAATCCTAGCCATGGAGAGGCCCTTGAACCTCGTCAACACTGAGACTAACATAGGGAGCTGTGTGTAGACCATGTGACAGCACTGCTTCAGCAAGGGAGCTCAAGCTAAGTCCCACACTTCACCCCAAGTCCTAAGCAGCTGCAGAACAGCACCATTTTGAAAGCCTAGGCCCCACCAGACTGCACCCTGCCCTGGGGCCCAACAGCCCCTGCATCTCTACATCCCTGGAGCCCCATCTCATTGATATCCCCTGCCCATGGCTGCCACCAGATCTGGCTGCTGCCATCAGGGCCGAAGCATAAGCCACTGGCTGTGACCCAGCCACCCTCAGTAGCAGGGCTGCTGCACATTTTCAGGGACTCCAAGGACAGGCTTCCCTGCTTACAGCTGCCATCACTAGGACCAAATCTCAATCCACCAGCAGTGGAGGCACCATGCATTTACAAGCACCCTAATGATAGGGTACCCCACATGCAGCCGCCACCTGGGGCTGAAGTGTGTGCTCCCCAGCCACCTGCCTATGGCTGCTGCCACTGAAAGCAAACTCGCCCTCTCCAGTAGCAGGGACGCAGTGCAGCCACTGCTGCCCCCACCTGAGCATTCTGCTGGGGACCTGAGGATCACCCTTCTCCTGCCTACCACAGCCAGCAACTGGATGTGCCAATGCAGGGCCTGAAGTCAGGTCTGTTCAGCCTGGCTCTGTCCTTCCAGTGATGGAGCTTGATGTCTGGGGGCCTGGGGATTGCCCAGCCCTTTTCGTCACCATTGGTACCTGAGCAATCCTCTTGGGGGGCCTGAGATTGAACCCACCCAACCTGTTGCTATCACTACAGTTAGCACCCACGAGAACCTGCCACTTATGGGCCTGGTCACTGGCCTAGCCAGCTTATTGCAGCTACTGCCAACAGCAGTGTGGATCACTTGGGAACCAGAGGGGTGTTCCATCACAGCTACTACCATTGCCCACACCACACCCACTGCCCAGGGGCCAAAGGACCTGTCCAACTACATGAACCACCACTGCCACTGCTGGCACCTGAACAAGCCACTTGGAGGCCCAAGAATTGGCTTGTCTGGTCCCACTAACACCAGTGCCAGCATACATAACCCTAGGGCCCAAGGACAGGCATACTCAGTCCACCACTGCCACCACAGCTGCCTGAAGCCTGGCTTACCTAGCATTCTCATCCCCAGGAAAACTTTAGCAACCACAGCCTCCAGTAGCTACCACACCCTAAGCCACTGATGAAATTACAAAAGCACTGATGCTGTTTACCACAGAAGAAATCATATGAAGACTACAATACTGCATGTACCCAGAATCAAATCCAAAGTGTCCCATCCAACTAACATCATAGACACATCATCAGGAAGAACTCTGACCCTATGAAAGCAAATTCAAAAAGTTGGAGAAGCAACTATTTATACCAGATGTGCAGATACCCAACATAAGGACACAAGAAACATCAAAAATTAAGGAAATATGACACTCCAAAGAAACACAACAATTTTCTAGCAACAGATTCCAGTCAAAAAGAAATTTATGAAATCCCAAAGCATTCAAAATAATAATATTAAAGAAGCTCAATGAGATACAAGAGAACACAGATGAAGAATACAAAGAAATCAGAAAAACAATTCAGGATATGACGGAGAAATTTACCGACAAGATAGACATGATCAAAAAAGAACCAAACAGAAATTCTGGAACTGAAGAATTTATTGAATGAAACACAAAATACCATTGAAAGCTTTAACAATAGACTAGATCAAGCATTAAAAAAACAGTTTAGAACTTGAAAATAAGTCTTTTGAAATAACCCAGTCAGACAAAAAAATAAAGAAAAATAATTAAAAAGAATGAACAAAGCCTATGTGACACATGGGACACCATAAAGCAACCAAATATTCAAGTTTTAGGTTTCCCAGAAGGCAAAGAGAAAAATGAAAGGGATAGAAAACCTATTTAACATAATAATAGCTAAGAGCTTCCTAAGTCTAGCAAGAGATTTAGATATCCAGATACAGGAAGTTCAGGGATCCCCAAATAGATACAATTTAAAAATGTCATCTCCATGGTACATGATACAGTTTGGCTCTGTGTCCCCAGTTGAATCTCACATTGAATTATGATCTTCAGTGTTGGAGGAGGGGCCAGGTAGGAGGTAATTAGATAGTGTGGGCAGATTTCCCCCTTGCTGTTCTCTTGATAGTGATTGAGTTCTCATGAGATCTGGTTGTTTAAAAGTGTGTAGCACTTCCTGCTTTGCTCTCTGTCTCCCCTGCTGCCATGTGAAGATGTGCTGGCTCCCCCTTTCATCCTTCTGCCATGATTGTAAGTTTCCTGAGGCCTCCCAGCCATGCTTCCTGTACAGCCTGTGGAACTGTGAGTCAATGAAACCTCTTTTCTTCATAAATCACCCAGTCTTAGGCAGTTCTTTATAGCAGTGTAAGAACAGATTAATACAGAATATTGGCACCAGAGAAGTGGGACATTGCTAAAAAGATACTGGAAAATATGGAAGTGACACTGCAACTGGGTAATGGGCAGAGGTTGGAACAGTTTGCAGGGCTCAAAAGAAGACAGGAAGATAAGGGAAAGTTTGGAACTTCCTAGAGACTTGTTGAGTGGATCAAAATGTTGATTGTGATATGGACAGTATAGTTCAAGCTGAGGTGGAGATGAGGAACTTATTAGGAACTGGAGCAAAGGTCATTTTTGCTGTGCTTTAGCAAAGAGACTGGAGGCATTGTCCTCCTGCTCTAGAGATCTGTGAAAGTGAACTTGAGAGAGATAATTTAGGGTATCTGGCAGAAGAAATTTCTAAGCAGTAAAGCATTCAACATGTGACCTGGCTGCTTCTATTAATAAAAGCCTATGCTCATTTGCATAAATAAATGACTGAAACTAGAACTTATACTTTAAAGGGAAGCAGAGCATTAAAGTTTGGAAAATTTGCAGCCCAACCATGTGGTAGGAAAGTAAAACCCATTTTCTGGGAAGGAATTCAAGGTTGCAGAAATTTGTGAAGAGGAGCTGAATGTTAATAACCAAGACAATGAGGAAAATGCTTCCAGGGCATTTCAGAGACCTTTATGGCAGCCCCTCCCATCACAAGCCCAGAAGCCTAGGAGGGAGAAATGGTTTCGTGGTCTGGGCCTAAGGCCTTGCTGCTCCGTCCAGCCTTGGGACATGGCACCTTGCATTCCAGCTGCTCCAACTCCAGCCGTGGCTGTAAGGGGCCAAGGCACAGCTTGGGCCATTGCTTCAGAGGGTGCAAGCCCCAAGCCTTGGTGGCTTCCATGTGGTGTTGGGCCTAAGACAAGAGTTGAGGTTTGGGAGCTTCCACCTAGGTTTCAAAAGATGTATGGAAATGCCTGGATGTCCAGGCAGAAGTCTGCTGCAGGGGTAGAGTGCTTATGGAGAACTTCTATGAAGGCAGTGCAGAGGAAAAATGTGGGGTTGATCCCCCACACAGAGTTCCCTGTGGGGCACTGCCTAGTGAAGCTGTGAGAGGAGGGTCCCCCAGAGGGTCCCCCAGACCTCAGAATGGTAGATCCACTGACGGCTTGCACTGTGCATCTGGAAAAGCCACAGGCACCCAATGCCAGCCCAGAAAAGCAGCTGCAGGGGCTGTACCCTGCAGAGCCACAAGGGCAGAGCTGTCCACCTCTTGCATCAGTGAGCCCTGGATGTGAAACATGAAGTGAAAGGAGATTATTTTGGAATTTTAAGATTTTCATAACTGCCCTTCTGGGTTTTGGACTTGTATGGGGCCTATAGCCTCTTTGTTTTGGCTTATTTCTCCCTTTTGGAACAGGAGCATTTACTCAATGCCTGTACCCCCATTGTATTTTGGAAATAACTAACTTGTTTTTTATTTTATCAGCTCATAGGCAGAGGGACTTGTCTTGTTTCAGATGAGACATTAAACTTGGACTTCTTAGTTAATGCTGGAATGAGTAAAGACTGTGGAACTGTTGGGAAGACATGATTCATTTTGAAATGTGAGAAAGACATGAGATTTGGGAGAGGATAGGGGTGGAATGATATGGTTTGTCTCTGTGTCCCCACCCACATCTCATGTTGAATTGTAATCCCCAGGGGAGGGACCTGGTGGGGGGTGATTGGATCATGGGGGTGGATTTCCCACTTGCTGTTCTTGTGATAGTGAGTTCTCATGATATCTGGTTTTTTAAAAGTGTGTAGCACTTCCCCCCCTCACTCTCTCTCTCTTGCCACCATGTGAAGATGTGCTTGCTTCCCTTTCATCCTTCCACCATGACTGTAAGTCTCCTGAGGCTTCCCAGCCATGCTTCCTGTACAGCCTGCAGAACTGTGAGTCAATTAAACCTCTTTTATTCACAGATTGCCCAGTCTTAGGTAGTCCTTTATAGCAGTGTGAGAATGGACTAATACAGTATATTATAGTCAAACTGTCAAAAGTCAAAGACAGAGATAATTCTAAATGCAATGAAAGAAAAACGCCTAGTTACTTATAAGGGAACTCCCATCAGAATAACAGCAGATTTCTCAGCAGAAATCATACAAGCCAGGAGAGAATGGGATCATATATTCATAGTACTGAAAGAAAAAAATCCTGTAAGCCAAGGATACAATAACTAGAAAATTATCTTTCATCACTGAAGGAGAAATAAAGGCTATCCCAGACAAGCAAAAGCTAAGGGAATTCATCATCACTAAACTGACCCTACGAGAAATTCTTAAGGGATCCCCATGCCTGGAAGTGAAAAAATGATATCCAAAATCATTAAAACACATGAAAGTATGAAATCCACTGATTGAAAAAACACACAAGTGAGGACACTAATGTTACCACTACCACCAAACCACAGTGATAAACAATAAGAAAGAAAGGAGCAAAGCATATAGAAAACAATCAGAAATCAATTAATAAAATGACAGGAATAAGCCTTCATGTATCAATGATGACCTTGGATATATACAGATTAAACTTTCCACTTAAAAGATATGGCTGAGGCTGGGCATGGTGGCTCACACCTGTAATCCCAGCACTTTGGGAGGCTGAGGCAGGTGGATCATGAGGTCAGGAGTTTGAGACCAGCCTGGCCAACATAGTGAAACCCCATCTCTACTAAAAATACAAAAAAATTAACTGGATGTGGTGACAGGCACCTGTAATTCCAACTACTCAGGAGGCTGAGGCAGGAGAATTGCTTGAACCCGGGAGGAGGTGTCAATAAGCCGAGATCGCTCCATTGGACTCCAGCCTGGGTGACAAGAGTGAAACTCCATCTCAAAAAAAGGATACAGCTAAATTGGTCTTTAAAATCATCCAACAAAATGCTGCCTATAAGAAACTCATCTCACTTGTAAAAACACATATAGACTGAAAGTGAAAGGATAGAAAAATATATCCCCAGCAAACAGAAAGAAAACACAAAAAGTAGCTTTCCTAATATCAGATAAAGCAGACTTTAAGTAAAAACAGTAAAAAGAAAAAAGAAGATCATTCCATAATCATAAAGTTAAATTCAGTCAGATGATATAATAATTTTAAACATATATGCAACCAATACCAGAGCACCTAGATCTATAAAGCAAATATTATTAGATCCAAAGGGAGAAAATGACTCCAATACAATAATAGTTGGGGACTTCAACACCACACTCTCATCATTAGACGGATTATCTAGACAGAAAATTAGCAAGGAAACACTGACTTTAAACTGCACTTTAGACCAAATGGATCTAATAGATATTTACAGAACATTTTATGCAATAGCTACAGAATATACATTGTTCTCATCAGTACATGAAACATTTTTCAGAATAGACCATGTGATAGGACACAAAACAAATTGCAACAAATTTTTAAGAATCAAAATCCTATCAAGTATCTTCACAGACCACACTGGAATAAAACTGGTAATCAATAACAAGAGGGACTTTGGAAATGTACAAATACATGAAAATTAAACAACAAGCTCCTGGATGACTACCAGGTCAAGGAAGAAATCAAGAAGGAAATAAAAAAAAAATTTCTTAAAACAAATGAAAATTGAAACACAACATACCCAAACTTAAGGGATACAGCAAAAGCAGTGCTAAGAGGGAATTTTATAGCAATAAACACCCGCATTGAAATAGTAGAAAGATTTCAAATAAACAATCTGATGATGTACCTCAGGGAACTAGAAAAGCAAGAAAAAACCAAGCCTGAAATTAGTTGAAGGAAAGAAAGAATAAAGATCAGAGCAGACCTAAAGAAAATAAAGACTTTAAAAAAACACAAAGGATCAACAAATCAAAAGAGTTGGTATTTTGAAATGATAAAATAAATCAATAAAATGTTAGCTAGAGTTATCAAGAAAAAAAGAGAAGACCCTAATAACAAAACCAGAAATACAAAGGAGACATTAAAACTGATGACACAAAAATATAAAAGATCATCAGAGACCATTATGAACAACTCTAAACTAACAAAATGGAAAACCTAGAGGAAATAAATAAATTCCTGGATACATACAACCTACCAAGACTGAATCAGGAAGGAATAAAAAACATGAACAGACCAATAATTGAAAAATGAGATTGAATTAGGAATAAAATGTCTCCCCACAAAGAAAAATCTTCACAGCTGAATCCTATAAAACTTACAAATAAAAACTAACATCAATTATTCTCAAACTATTGCAAAAAAAAATTGAAGAGGAAGGAATTTCCCCTAACTCATTCTATGAGACAACACTATCCTGATACCAAAACCAGACAAGGACACAACAAAAGAACACTACAGGTCAATATTCCTAGTGAATATTAATGCTAAAATCCTTAACAAAATACTAGCAAAGTAAATCTAACAGCACATCAAAAAGATAATATGCCATGATAAAGTGGGATTTACCCCAGGGATGCAAAGATGGCTCAACATACACAAATCGATAAACACGATATATCGCATCAACAAAATGAAGGACAAAAACTATTTGATCATCTCAATAGATGCAGAAAAAGTGCTTGGTAAAATTTAGCATGCCTTCTTGATAAAAGCTCTTAACAAACTAAGCATAGAAGAAACATACCTCAACATAATAAAGGCCATATATGAAAAAGCCACAGCTAACATTATACTGAATGTGGAAAAGTCTAAAGCGTTTCCTCTAAGAACTAGAACAAGACAAGGATGCCCAATTTCATCACCCCTTATTAATATAGTACTGAAGGTTCTAGCCAGAACAATCAGGCATGAGAAAGAAATAAAAGGCATCTAATTTGGAAAAGAGGAAGCCAAATTGTCCATATTTGCAGATGACATAATCATATATCTAGAAAAAATAAAAGACTCCACCAAAAAACTTTTAGATCACATAAATAAAGTTGCAGAATACAAAATTAACATACAAAAATTAATAGCTTCTCAATATGCCAAGAATAAACTAGCTGGGAAAGAAATCAGGAAGGCAATTCATTTCCAATAGCTACAAAAAATAACGTAAAATACCCAGCAATAAATATAACCAAAGAGGTGAAAGACCTATGCAAAGAAAACTACAAAACACTGATGAAGGAAACTGAAGAGGACACAAACAAATAGAAAGATATCCCATGCTCGTGTATCAGAAGAATTAATACTGTTAAAATGACCATACTGCCCAAAGCAGTCTACAGATTCAATGCAATCCCTATCAAAATACCAATGTCATTTTTCACAAAAATAGAAAAAACAATTCTAAAATTTGTATGGAACCAAAAAGAGCCCAAATAGCCAAAGCAATACTCGGTGAAAAGAATAAAGCTGGGTGTTGCAGGAAGTCAGGGACCCCGAACAGAGGGACTGGCTGGAGCTGTGGCAGAGGAACATAAACTGTGAAGATTTCACCTTAATATGGACATTTATCAGTTCCCAAATAATACTTTTATAATTTCTTATGCCTGTCTTTACTTTAATCTCTTAATCCTGTTATCTTCATAAGCTGAGGATGTATGTCACTTCAGGACCACTGTGATAATTGTGTTAACTGTACAAATCGATTGTAAAACATGTGTGTTTGAACAATATGAAATCAGTGCACCTTG
The DNA here is from genome assembly GCF_000001405.40 of Homo sapiens. NCBI lineage: Eukaryota > Metazoa > Chordata > Mammalia > Primates > Hominidae > Homo > Homo sapiens. The sequence continues at coordinate 127,629,784 of NC_000010.11, read as the reverse complement.
AAAAAGAACAGAATAACAGAGATTTTTATGGAACAAGGGAAGACAACCATAAGGTCTGACTGCCTGTGGGGTCGGGCAAAAAGAGTCATATTTTTCTTCTTTCAGAGAGCCTATAAACTTTGGAAGTGCAAGTAGGAAAGATATCACTAAATTCTTTTCCTAGCAAGGAATATTAATATTAATGCCCTGGGAAAGGAATGCGTTCCTGTGGGGAGGTCTATAAACAGCCGCTCTGGGAATGTCTGTCTTATGCAGTTGAGATAAGGACTGAGATACACCCTGGTCTCCTGCAGAACCCTCAGGCTTACTAGGGTTGGGGAAACTCCACCCTCGTAAATTTGTGGTCACACTGGTTCTCTGCTGTCAAGCCCTGTTTTCTGTTGTTTAAGATGTTTATCAAGACAATATGTGCACCACTGAACATAGACACTTATCAGTGGTTCTGCTTTTGCCCTTTGCCCTGTGATCTTTGTTGGACCCTTATCAGTGGTACTGCTTTTGCCCTTTGTCCTGTTCCCTCAGAAGCATGTGATCTTTGTTAGACCCTTATCAGTGGTTCTGCTTTTTGCCCTTTGAAGCATGTGATCTTTGTACCTACTCCCTGTTCTTACACCCCCTCCCGTTTTGAAACCCTTAATAAAAACTTGCTGATCAGAGACTCAGGCGGGCATCATGGTCCTACTGATATGTGATGTCACCCCCGGTGGCCCAGCTGTAAAACTCCTCTCTTTGTACTGTCTCTCTTTATTGCTCAGCCAGCCAACACTTATGGAAAATAGAAAGAACCTACGTTGAAATATTGGGGGTGGGTTCTGCCAATAGCTGAGGGCAGAAAACCATGTGAATTCAAATATATTACAAAGCTATAATACTAAAAGCAGCATGGTATTGGTATGAAAACAGACCAAAGGAATCCAGAATAAATCCGTATATTTATAGTCAACAGATCTTCTTCAAAGACACTGAGAGCACCCAGTAGGGAAAGTACACACTCTTCAATAAATGGTGCTGGGAAACTTAATCCATATGCAGAAGAATGAAACTGGACTCCTATCTCTCAACATATGCAAAATGCAACTCAAAATGAACTAAAGACTTAAACATATGACCCAAACATATAAAACTGCTAGGATAAAATATAAAAAACTTTAGGACATTGGTCTAGGCAAAGATTTTATGGCTAAGATCTTAAAAACACAGGCAACAAAAACGAAAATGAGAAATGGGACTGCATTAAACTAAAAAGCTTTTGCTCAGCAAAGAAAACAATTAACAAAATGAAGAGACAACTGGTTGGATGGGAGAAAATATTTGCAAATTATTTATCTGACAAGGGACTAATACTCAGAATACACAAGGAACTCAATTCAATAGTAAACAAAACAAAACAAAGCCAAAAATGAATAATCCCATTAAAAAGTGGGCAAAGAACTTTTTATGTATGTCCCAAAATAGGACATACAAAATATCAACACATATATGAAAAAATGCTCAACATCGCCAATCATCAGGGAAATGCAACTCAAAACCACAGTGAGATACCATCTCACCCCAGTTAGAGTGGCAATTATTAAAAAGACAAGAAATAACAGATTCTGGTGAGGATGCAGTAAATGATATTGATTATACTTTTGGTGGGAATGTAAATTTGTATAGCTACTATGGAAAAGAGTATAGAGATTTCTCAAAAAAACTAAATATAGAACTACCATATAATCCAGAAATGCCACTTCTAAGTATTTATCCAAAGGAAAATAAATCAATATATTAAAGGGATAACTGCACTCCCATGTTTATTGCAGCACTATTTACAATAGCAAAGACATGGGATCAACCTGTGTCCATCAATGGATAAATGGATAAAGAAAATGTGGTATATACACACAATGAAATACTATTCACCATAAAAAGAATGAAATCATGTAATTTACAGCAACATGGATGGAACTGGAGGTCATTATGTTAAGTGAAATAAATCAGGCACAGAAAGACAAATATCTCATGTCCTCACTTATATGTGGGAGCTAAGAAGTTGTGATCTCATGGAAGTAGAAAGTGGAATAACAGATACCAGAGGCTGGGAAGGGTGTATGGCAGGGAGGATGATGAGAGCTTGGTAAATGGGTAAAAACATACAGTTATATAAAAGGAATAAGTTCGAATGTTCAATAACAGTGTGGGGTGACTATAGTAAACAACAATGTATTGTGTATTTCAGAATAGTTAGAAGAGAGGACTTGAAATGTTCCCAACACATAGAAATGATAAATGCCTGAGTTGACCGATACCCCAAATACTCTGACTTGATCATTACACATTCTATGCATGTAGCAAAATATCACATGTATCCCATAAATATACACAGATATTAAATTTTAATTTTAAAAACAGAAACTGTGAGTCAGAGATGTTACATAATTTACCCAAGTTCACTGAGAATAAGAGCAAGAACTCAGAGCCAGATTGGCCCGAGCTTTTCCTTTTGTCACTACAACTCATCCATCCATTCATTCTGTACATGTTTCTTGAGCACATCAATGTGCCAGCTACAGTTCTAGATTCTGGGGTACTGTGGTAAACAAAAATCACATAGTCTTGCCTTAATGGCTCTTACAAGACCCTGAGAGGGACAAACAAAAAATGTGTATAATTAAAATTTGTAATAAGCATAAAAGCAAAGATAACTAGAGGAATGTATCTTCAGATCTGCTGAATGAGGAAGACTCCCCTGGGGTGGTAACTAGAAAATGGAAACTTGAAAGATGAGGAGTTAGCCATACAAACAGCTAGGGAAAGAGTATTCTTACAAGGGGAATTGTATGTGGAAGGACTCTGATGTGAGAAGGAGCTTGCTTTAGGAGCTGAAAGATCAGGACAGCAGGACCTAGTAATCAAGAGGAAAAGATACGGCAGCTGAGCTACAGGTGTGGCTAGGATCTCCATCTTGAGACAGCCCAAAACTACATTGGATTTTCTGAATTTTATTCCAAGCCATTAGAAAGACTTGGGAGAATCTTAGGCAAGGGTATGATGTCAACCAATTTATGTCACTGACTGCTGCTTGAAGCACTAATTAGAGGGAAAGATGAAAGAATGGTTAGAAATCTATTAAGGCAGCATAGCTGAGATATGTTTAATTGGATGGGATGCTGGGAGTACCAATGGAGGAAAATAAATGCATCCAGGATATAAGTTGGGGGTCTCCACAGGAATAAGTGATGAATTGACTGTGAGGAAGGATGAAGAATATGCTGGGATGGCTCTCAGTTTTCTGGCCGGGGCAATTAGATGGATAGAACTGACAGGTTTTTTTTTTTTTTTTTTAAAGAAAAGAAGATATTCTTTGTTGTTTTCCAGACAAATATACATTTCTCTGTTCCAGTCCCCAGAAAATAATGAATACCTTTTAAAAACACTACAGATGAATAAAAAGAAATGAGTTAACAAGCCACAAAAAGACTTGGATAAATCTTTAAATACATTTTGCTTAGTGAAAGAAGTCAGTCTGGAAAGGCTATGTACTGTATGGTGCCAATTACATGGCATTCTGGAAAAGACAAAACTGCAGCAATAATAGAAAGATCAGTGATTGCCAGGGGCTTAGTGGGTAGGGGGGGAAGGATTAAATGGATGAAGCAAAAGAGATTTTTCTAGGGCAATGAAACAATTCTGTATGATACTGTGAGGCATTTGTCATGACTGTGCTTTTGTCAAAATCCATAGAACTTTACAGCACAACAAGTGAGCAGCGATGCAAAGAATTTTAAAAATATAACTTAGGCAGTCAAGGGATCCCAGGATATAATGCAGAATATGACAAGAGAATCTAACTCTTTTAAAATATGTGACACAAACTCATTGAAGAGATTGGAGAGAAAATGTGCTGACCTAAATAACTTTGGACATGAACGGATTCTGTAAGACAAAAGACAAAAACAATTGTGCATAATCATTGTACTCCAGTTGATAAAGTGTCTACCCATGGAGGCACAGGTAAACAAGAGGTATGGTGATACCACAATACGTGTATACTAAAACTGAACAATTAAATAGATGAAGCATAAGATTATGGATGTGGAAGCTAAGTTTCTCACTTTATCTTCAAGTTGACTTACTAATGTTTTCTTCAGTACCAAATTTGCTGACAATCTTGTTCAGTGTACTTTTTATTTTATAAATTGTTTTTTATCTCTTAAGTTTGATTTGAGCTTTTACATGTTTTCCATTTTTCTCATTATGTGCACGGTTTCCTCTACCTTCTTGAATGAATGGAGGATGTTTATAATAGATGTCTTAACATCTATGTTTGGTAATTCTATCATCTCTGTAATTTCAGTGTCTTTTACTATTCATTGATTATTTTTCTGGTTATGAATTGCATTTTCTTGCTTGTTTGCATGCATAGCAATTTTTGCTTGGATGTCAGACTTTATGAATTTTACATTGTAGGGTGCTGAATTTTATTATATTCCTCTTATTTTTGGATTTGATTTGGGGATGCAGTTAAGTTACATGAAATCAATTTGACCCTTTTCAGGCTTGTTTTAAATAGTGACATCTCATTATGTTAAAGGACTTAATTCATCAAGGAGACATAATAATTCTAAATGTGTATAAGCCTAATAACAAAGATTGAAAATACTAGAAATAAAAATAGTAGAACCAAAAGAAGAAATAGGAAAACACACATTTATAACTGGAGAACACAATGGCTTTCTTTCAATAATTGATAGAATAAGTAGATTAAAAAATAGTAGAAAATGGAAAACTTGAAAAACACTATCAAGCAACTCGATCTAAGTGACAATTATAAGGCACACCACCCAAAATATTAGAAAAGAGAAAAGACTTCAGAGCAATTACCTAATATTCCAACTTAAAACACTAGAAAAAAATGAAATTAACTCAAAGTAAATAGCAGGAAAGAAACAATAAAGATAAGAGCAGAAATCAATAATATAGAAAAAGAAAAGAGATACAATAAGCTAGTTGTTGAAAAAGATCAATAAAATTGATAATCCTCTAGTGAGAGTGAGCATGGGGAAAAAAAATCCAGAAGACATAAATTACCTATATCAGGAATGGAAGACAGAACATCACTACAGATCTTACAGACATTAAAAACATAATATGGGAATACTATGAACAACTTTAAGTCAATAAACTTAACAACTTAGATGGAATAGAAAAATTCCTTGAGAAACATAAATCACTAAAACTCCCATAAGAAAAATTAGATTATCTGAATAGCCCTATATTTATTAAAGATATCAAATTTGTGCTTAAAAGAATGCACACACACACACACACACATACATCTCCAGACCAAGATGACATCACTGGTGAATTTTACAAAGCATTTAAGGAAGAAGTAATATAAGTTCTCCACAAACTGTTCCAGAAAATAATATAAGTAAAAAGACTTTCTAACTAACTTTATGAGGCTAGCATTCTTCTCACATCAAAATGAGACTAATATTCCAAGGAAAACAAAACTACAAACCATAGTTCCTCATAAAAATAGATACACACATACACGCACACACACACACACACACACACCCTTAAAATATTGTCAAACAGAACCCACCAACATATTAAAAGAATAATATATCATGGCCAAGTTGAGCTTATCTTAAGATTGCAAAATTAGCCTAACATTTAAATATTATTGAAATTTTCACATTAACAGACTAAAAAGAAAAACCATATGATAATTTCAATAGATGCAGAAAAAATTTGACGAAATTTAACATCAACTTATGATTTTAAAAAATTATTATTAAACCAGAAATAAAAGAAAACTTTCTCAATCTGATAAAGGACATCTATGAAAACCCCATAGCTAACATCAAACTTCAAACTGATTTTTTCCCCTAAGAGCAGCAATAAAGCAAGGATGTCTACTCTCATCATATCTATTTACTCTTGTATTAGCCAGTTCAATAAGGCAACAAATAAACAACAAATGAGCAAGCAAATAATTGTCTTACAGGCTGAAGAGGAAAAAATAAAACTGTCTTCACAGAAATGTGATTTTCTTTGTAGAACATCCTAAGAAATCTGCAAAAAACTATCAGAATTAATGAGATATCAAATTGCAGGTCAATATACAAAATCAACTATGTTTCTTTATGTTAGCATTGAACAGTTAGAAATTTAAAATTAAAATAAAACATCATTTACAACAGTATAACTGTATAAAATGCTCAGGAATATATATAGCAAAATATATAAAGAATTCATGCACTGAAAACTATAACACAGGGCTGACAGAAATTAAAGGAGTTCTAATAAATTGAGAGATATACCATGCTCATGGACCAAGAGACTCAATATTGCTAAGATGTCAATTGTCCTGTAATTGATCTGCAGATACAATGCAATACCAACTAAAATTCAAGCAGGCTTTTTTTTTTAAAGAAATGAACACGTGAATTCTTAAAATATATAAAACAATGTTTATAAAGAAGAACAAAGTTGGAGGGCTTATGATAACTGATATCGAGACTTATTATAAAGCTATAGTAATTTAGACTGTGTGGTATTGTCAGAAGACAGACACATAGATCAGTGAAACAGAATAGAGTTCAGAAAGGGACACATAACATTTGGCAAGGCAATTCAACTGTGGGAAAGATGATCTTTTCAATATATTGTGCTAAAATACTGGATAGCAATATGTAAAAAAAAAACTCTTATACCAGATAACAAAAGTGAACAAAAAATAGATGTGAATGTACCTTAAATTATAAAACATTTTAAAGAATTCTTAATGACCTTTGGTTAGGCAAAAATTTCTTAAATAGAACACAGAAAGTGTAAACTATTAAAAAATGATATTTATTGAAATTTAAAATCTTTGCTCTTCAAATAATACTTTTAAGAAAATGAAAAGGCAAGATACATATTGGAAAAAAAAATTCCAAAATATATATCAGAATATATAAATAATTTTTACAACACAATGATAAGAGGATAGACAATCCAAATTTTAAAATGGACAAAAGATTTGAACACTTCACCACAAAAAATAGTTGAATCACAAATTAGTACATAAGAAGATGATCAACATCGTTAGTTATTATGGAACTTCAAATTAAAACTATTATGAAATATGACTACATATCTACAGAAATTACTAAAATTTTAAAAACCTGAAATTACAAAATGTTTGTGAGGACGTGGGGTAAATGGAACTCTTGTGCATTGCTGGTAGGAATGCAAAATGGCACACTTTGGAAAAGAGTTTGGTAGCTTTTTACAAGTTAAACCTACATCTACCATATGACCCAATCATTCATTGTTAAGTATTCATTTACCAAGAGAAATGAAATTACATGCCCATGCAAAATTTTTTATTTGAATATTCAGACCTACTTTGTTCATAATAGCCAAAAGCTGTGAATAATCCAAGTGTCTATTAACTGATCAATAAAACTGAGCTAAAAACAAAAACAAAAGCACCCTGATACAAAATGGTTCAAAAAATAATAAAAACATTAAAGAGGAAATATCAGGGGGATTTGAAAATTGATCCTAAATACTGAATAATGAGAATAACTTTACCAATTAACACCAGAGTCACTATCTCAAGAAAAATCAAATTTACTTATTTTCAACTAAACTTATTTTATCAGGCAATAAATAAATATGTGCAATAAGTGGCTCTAATAATGAGAAGATATTTTAATTTGCCTATCCATTTTTTATGTAAATGAATGCATGAAAACACTTTGTTCTCTTGAGTAGCTTAAACATTCCCTCTCTAATCTTATTTACATTTTTAATTTGCTTTGCAAATTTTTCGTTACCCAGATAAAATTCAAATGGCTACAAATTAAGAATAGAAATATCTAAATTAATGAGATTTTCCCATGTATCATTTTTAGATTATGTTTTTCATGGGTTTTTAGAGAGAGAGATTTGGTTCCAAAATTCCCCCGGAGCCTGGCAGATTTCGTTGGTCTTAGGTCTGGATGTATCTGCCTTTGCCATATTTATGCCAATGGCTTCATCCATCAATTTGACTGTTTTCCCTGCAGAGCTAAAATTATATGTTATAAAGAAAGGCATAAAATAATATTTTGGTGAGCTCTTCATCAATGTTTTCCAAATAAGGACCTTTCAGATTATATTGTTTAAATATTTATTAATTTCAATAAAATGTTAATTTGTCTTCAAATATATCCCATTCCATTATTCCAGTAATCTTGGATTCTTTTCCAACCTCTCTGTTTCCCCCTCCACTCCTTGCACACATTACAAGTGCAGTTGTCTCATTGATTGAAGACATTTGAGCCCCTCGGGCTTGAAGTGCCAACCACTAACCCTGCCCTCCACCAAGAGTCCCCTAAAATCCCTTGTCCTCCACTCCTAAGAGATTGCATTCCTCTGCTCTTCCTTAATTCTGTCTTCATTCATTTTGCAATTTATTCACTTACTGGAGGCTACTTGAAAGCAGAGTCTGTGCTTAATAAAAGTTTAATGGTTGCTTCAATGAATGAAAGTTGTACCTTGTGATTAACATGTTCATTCAACAACTTTTTATGGAGCTAATGGAATAAGCCTTGAAAAACAAAGTCCCAGCTTCATGGAATATAGGCTGTAGTTGAAGGGAGCAAATAAAAAATAAACAGCTGGGCATGGTGGCTCACACCTATAATCCTAGCACTTCGGGAAGCTGAGGCAGGAGGATCACTTAAGCCTAGGAGTTGGGTGAGCTGTGATAAGCTCCAGGGTGGGCAAAGCAAGTCCCTGTCTCAAAAAAATAAAAGAATGAAATGTCTGGGAATTGAGAAAAACAAGAAAAATAATGACAAAGTCCCTGATTGCCTGGAGCTCATATCCTAGTAGGGGACACAAAACATGAAGCAAATCTTTAAACAAGGTGAGTTCAGTGGCAGGCACAGAAGCCCACTTCAATATCACAGAAGCTAAAAGAGAATTTATTGGATCCTGTAATTGGAAAGTTCAAGGGCAAAATCCGCTTTGGGATTCAGGGTATAAAATGTCATGGGGCCTTTACCTTTCCCTCTTTGACTTGACTATGCCCTGCTTGGCTCATTTCAAATTCTCCCTTCACACCAGTAGCAAGATGTCTCTGAACAAGCCTACATGTCCCTTTCAGATTCCCTTTCAGAGCAAGAGAAATGGCCCTTCCAAGTGGTCCCAGCAGACATCTCCAGGAAAGCTCGCATTGACCAGATCTAGTCATTGGGACCTGACTCCCAACTAATCACTGTGGCTCAGGGGACACGGATTTTCCAGTTTGAGTTATATGCCCACTCCTGGGACTAAGGGAGTGAGTCCAGCTTTGCCTCAAGCAAAAGCATTGGATGAGATTACAATGAAATGGGGGCGGTGGGGGGTGGGAGCTGGGCTCTCCAGGATGGGGAAGCTGGTCAAGCAAAACCATCTAGCACATGGCTTTATTTCCATAGCACTTGCCTGCATCTTAATACTGATAATAGACTCTCTCATGTCCTCCCATCACCCACTACAAGAGGAAAAAAAGGAACAGAGGAAAGAGGACAATTAAGCAGGCGGGATCTAAGTGCTCAATGAGTTTTTAATTCTTGCTTTGGGGAGTGTAATGTGTCTGTATGCTGGGACCTCATCCATTGCTAAGTCTTGTAAATGTCCTATTCAGAGGAAAGATAGGGCTCCAGGGGTTCTCCCCCAGGGTGTTTTTGCCCAGGATCAGTGGACGAATGCCAAGGACATGTTCCAACACTGAGGTGCTAGTTCTTCAGGTTGCATGTATTATTGACTGAAGGTTCTTCCTTACTAAGCCCTGTTAAAGAAGGAGCAGATTGTTTATATCTTTCAAAAGCAAAGCCACGGCTTCCCAGCTGTACAGAATGGGGTCATCTCAGAGGGTTTTGCCAGGGAAAACCAGCAGGCTGGTACAGCCTGACATTAACTTCCCCCACAGTTAGCCACCAAAAAGGCTGTGTTCCCATGCACGCTGACACAAAATCCACATGATGCAGCTGCTCATCAAACAGCTGCCCCATCACCATGCTGGGAAAAACATCCTTGATGCGTCTACTAACAGCCTGTGCCAGAGCTCACAAGAGCAGATTAGATGCTGCAAAGGGGGGGCTGGATCCAAAGCTATAATTTGAGCCAGGATCTTGTTACACTTACATGCAGCTGTTGCATTCAGAAATACAATATATTTCTTCCTCTTCTAAATAGGCTCTGTTCATCTCAACTGCTTCATTTGCTGGCTTTTTTCTACAACTTTGGCAGTTGGGTATAATAACGTAACTGTTGAACTATCTGCTGTTAACAACCTTCTTTTTGTGGCATTCTTTTCATGTTACAGGCACTTGTGAAGAAAGAAATGTTTCCCCTTCCCGTCGTTTTGTCAATCATGATATCCTTTTTAGTGGCATTTCATTTTTCTTCGCATGGCTTAAAATTCCCAACAAAGAGAATGGAACTACCTGCGATGCTAAAAGGCCTCCATGACTTTATAACATGACCCACTCTTTTCATTATGATGGTGTTTAAGGGAAATGAAAGTACTTCAGTCTTTAAGTGCTATGACTGTCTGATGTACTGATACCATTCCCAGTGCTGTAGATATTTTGCCTTTGTAACAGTGAATTAATTCGAATGATTATTTTTTTCTTGTAATAAAAATTATTTTCAGGATCTGAACTCTGGAGTAATTACAATGTGTCACTTATTTTCAGCAGGGAGAGCCATACAATTCAATGATTGTTTATTAAGCACCTGCTATGTGCAAGCCTCTATGTCTCATGCTGGGGAGGATTCAACGATGACTTGCTCCGCCTCTGACCTTAAGGAGAGTGCTACCCAATAAGAGAGTCAGACAGGAACAGAGCCACTCCTAAAGCAAAGCAGAACATTCTGTGAGTGATTGATCATAGAGATTTAGCTGCACCCATGGAGTTGGACATCTGGGAGGCTCAACAGAGGAGCAGCATCAAGTAAGCCTTAGAGAATGAGCAGATTTAGGCCAGGAGTGGTGGCTTATGCCTGTAATCCCAGAACTTTGGGAGGCCAAGGAGTGGGGATCACCTGAGGTCAGGAGTTCGAGACCAGCCTGGCCAACATGGCGATACCTCATCTCTGCTAAAAATACAAAAGTCATCCAGGTGTGGTGGTGGGCGCCTGTAACCCCAGCTACTCAGGAAGCTGAGGTGGGAGATTCGCTTGAACCCAGGAGGCAGAGGTTGCAGTGAGTCAAGATCGTGCCACTGCACTCCAGCCTGGGTGACAGAGCAAGACTCTGTCTCAGAAAAAAAAAGAATGAGCAGATTTAGATTGGCTTTATTTTGTTGAAGAACAGAATGGATGAGCAGAGGCTTCACAGCATCGAGTTGCCTGTGTTTTTAAGGACTGCTGAGTTGGGTAGGTGCAGCAAATAGGGATAGGGCCAGCTCGTGGGAGAACCTGAAGTGCCAGGTCAAGAGATTGAAATTTTTTCCAAAAGCAGTGGGATTCCGCATGCTTATCTTAGGTTCCATTTCTCCCTCAAAAAATTGGAACCAGAATACCCTTGATTCAATGTCCTCATTCTTAGGAGGTGCATGTTGAGGAGTTTAGGAGTAAAAATCACACTAAGAATCAAGACATTAACAAATGTCAAGGTTGGGGGAAGAACATATGGATGCTCATTGTGTTTTTTTAACTTTTTGAAAGTTGAGAGTTCTCACAATAAAAAGTGCGACTAAAAAAGAATACCTCATTCTACCACAGAGTACAGACAAGTTGGTAAATCTGCCTAGCATTTTAAGGATTCTGGGTCTAGGGATTTCCCTCAACTAGCAAACAGTCTGTTCTAACTAAGAGTCCCAGCTCCGTCACCCCAGAGCTATGGGGCCTCAGACAGGATACTCAAGCCACCTGAGCACTGGTTTCCACATCTGTCTGATGGATGCAGTAATAAGACCTGCCAACCTCCCGGGGCTCTTGGGAAGATGAAATGACAGAATTCACATTTAAAGCCCTTGATGCGTGGCCTGACACACACTAGGGCTTAGGTAGTGGTACTACTATCCTTAAGCTTTAAGCTGAAATATTATATTTCTGAGTCCCATTCTCCACCTTTCTGCCCAGCCTCCGTGATCCATGTCACAGACTCAGGGCAGCATCCCGACGGCTTTGCTGGTGCCTCACCCTTCAGTGAGGGCTGAGTTATGAGGTTCAGCAGCAGCCTGCGTTGGCAAATAAACTCTGTCTGTCCAATCTGATAGATCGCAAAGACCACTCAGATGATACCGGTGAGCAGATTTTGAATATTTAGATGAGGTGTCGATGTCTTCAGTGGTGTAATCATTTGATTTAAATTTTAAAAAATGCAAATAAGGTGTGAAAATGACACTGTTCTTTTGATTGCGTCAGCAGAACCACTATCCTTTTTATAATTTATTGTTTCTAAACAAGTGAAACTTATTTCGATGTGACAACAAGTCATCATAAATGTGACATGATTGATTTGAAGATGGCCAGAAAAGCTCAAAAGTCATCTTTTTCCTGGCACATTCTGGTTTTCTCGTGGACCCACTGCGCCTATAAAATGACATTACACCGAATCGGGAGGCATCTGCATGTAAAACAGAACATTTAAGACCACGCGCTCAACTAACAAAAAATAAACTTAAACGTTCTGGGTTGAAGCCACGTGTCTTTGTTTCATGTTTGAGAATGGGAATGCACATACATGTGTACATACAGCTAAAGTACTAAGCAAAGTGAAGTGAGTGATTTAGTACATATATATTTTCTTGCTCACAAAATTATCAATTTACTATCAATATCAAATATTAGCAAGTCGCTGGAAAAATAAGCATTCCAATAATCTTTTGGTTGGGGCATTAATAAGAAAATTTTGATAGGCAATTTAAGAATGTGAATCAAAAAACACAAAAGGCTTTCATACCTGCAACATTGATTCTATGGCTAAAACATTAATAAGCATAAATCTACAGTGACTTTCATCAAATCATTCTTTATAATAAGGAAAAATATGAAACTTTGAGAAAGCCCAAAACATTGAATTACAATACATCACAAGGTGGAATATTACTTAACCATGGACATGATATTGTAGAAGATTCATGTATACATATATCCTAAGTAAAAATGCACTGAAATTACACACAGCAAAACCATGAATATTCAATGCAAATATATATGTACACAACAGTATAACCAAATATACTTATATGTGTAAATATTGCTTCATTTAGTTGAAATATACCACAGGTACACGTATCACAATGATAACAGTGCACATACTAATACTTGTATGAATGTGATACTCCAAAGAAAACACAATTCAAGCAACAAAGGTAACTAAATAATAAAACTGGCAAACTAAAACCACTTTGATGCAGCTATACATGGCTTCCAGGCTTCCAGTAGTTTTGTGAATCTCTTTTTTAAAATAGATTTTTAAGAAATAACAGTTTCAGATTTACAGAAAAATTGGGAGAATTGGACAGAATTCCCATATAGCTCACATCCAGTTTCCCCTGTTGTTAACATTTCACACTTTATGGTACATTCGTTCCAGTTAATAAATCAATATTGATATATTATTATTATCTGGAGTCTATACTTTATTCAGACTGCTTTAGTGGTTACCTAATGTCCTTTTTCTCTTCCGGGACCCCATCAAAGACCCCATATCACATTTAGTCCTCACGTCTCCTCAGGCTCCTCTTGGCTGCGGCAATTTCTCAGACTTCCCATGTTTTTGATGACCTTGATAGTTTCGAGGCCTTCACACTTGTTAATGGCCTCATTTGCCAGACTTCCTATTTCTAACCACTTAATACTGGAAGCTTCCAACACTGTTGAAATGCTTTGAATAGTCTTTGCAAGAGACTTGTATGGTAATGTCAGAGCAATTGTGATTGACTAGTAGTTATACTTTAAAATTGTGTTTGTGTTGAATAATAGATTAGAGCATTTGTATACAAAATTGCTTTCTGGTAATTAGATATTTTGAAATGTGTTGTATAACCCCAAATTTCATTTTACTTAAAATTACAGTTCACTACAATTATAAACATAACCCATTTACATTGGATCAGTCTGATAGCTATTATGCATTATGGGCATAATTATATCTACCCCATATTCATGCCTTTCTCACTCTGTAAAAAAAAATATTGCCAGAAAACTAGGGTGGAGGGAAATTTTTAGAGGGGAGAGCTGATGGGATGGCGTCACATCCTTTTGTCTCCTTGCTTCCAAGTCACAAAATCCCAAACTCCAAAAGCCTGTGTCATGGGTCTTTTTCCCTAAACCAAGCTCTCAAGGCTTTGAGAGTCCATGGACCTGCTTCTTTCATTATTTAAAAATATGTCCTAAGCCGGGCGCAGTCACTCACGCCTGTAATCCCAGCACTTTGGGAGGCCAAGGCGGATGGATCACCCGAGGCCAAGAATTTGAGACCAGCCTGGCCAACATGGTGAAACTCTGTCTGTACTAAAAATACAAAAATTAGCTGGTCATGGTGGCACTCACTTGTGGTCCCAGCTACTCGGGATGCTGAAACAAGAGAATCACTTGAACGCAGGAGGCAAAGGTTGCAGTGAGCCAAGATCACGCCACTGCACGCCAGCCTGGGCAACAGAGTGAGACTCAGTCTCAAAAAAATAAAAAGTAAAAATTAATAAAAATATATCCTGAGCAGCTTCTCTGTACCAAGTACTTGGCATGAGCAGAACAAACTTTTGTTCCTGCCCTCGTGGATCAATCTAGACAGGGAGATAGACTTCGAGTGAATAACCTGCTAAAGACTTGGCCAGCACGATACAGGAGTCCCATAGGTTGGGAGAGTCCCAAGCCTCACTGTGATCTCACTTTTCGTCCCTTCTCCCTAACCTGACTGTCACTGTGTACCAGTCTATGTGCTTGCTGAACCTCTCGGCATTCTGCATGTGACACATCTCAGCCTGCCAGACTGATCCAATGTAAATGGATCATCTCAGCCTGCCCAGCCATGGCTCAGCCCCTCCACGTCCCTGTTGCTGCGAGCTCTGACTTGTCTGAGACTCCTCATCTCTGACAGTTTCCCATTTTGTTGACGGGGCCATGCTGTCTGGCTTGTGATGAGAACTGCATGGCATTAATGGCAGCTCAGACATCACAGAAGAAAAGCTGTTGCAGACACAGCTATCAAAACTATCCAAACTAAAACACTGAGGGAAAGACTGAAAAAAATTAATGGAGGATCAGTGAACTGTAGGGAAATATCAAATGGCCTAATATGTGAATAATGGGAGTCCCTGAGGAAGCACAGAAAGTGGAGGAGATAGAAAAAATATTTGAAGAAATAATGGCCCCAATTTTCCTTAACTTCAGACAAAGTAGATTCCAGAGCAAAGAGCATTACCAGAGATAAAGAGGGTCATTTCATAACAAAAAAGAGGTCAATTCAACAAGAATACATAACAATGCTAAACGCTTGGTGCACCTAATAAGAGAGCTTCAAAATATATGAAGCAAAACCTGATAGAACTGCATGGAGAAATAGACAAATCCATAGTTTTTGTCAGAAATTTCAGCACTCCTGTTCAATAATTGCTGGAACAAGTAGACAGGAAATCCGAAACGTATTTTTGTGTTAATATAGTCAATTCAGCTTTCTTTTGATCAGTGTAAATATATCTTTCACCATCCTATTACTTTCAACCTACTTGTATAGTTATATTTAAAATGGATTTCTTGTAGGCAGCATGTGATTGAGTCTACTATTAATCAAACTGGCACAATTTACAATTTTAGAACACTCCACCCAACATTAGCAAAATATACATTCTTATCAAGTACACACAGACTACTTACCAAAATTAACCAAATTCTGAGCTATAAAATATGTCTTAATACATTTAAAGGGATTCAATATATATAAAGTATGTTATCTGACAGTAATGGAATTAAATTAGAAATCTATAAAAGAAAGACATCAAGTATATCTTCAAATATTTGAAACTAAATAACATACTTTAAAATAACCCATGGGTTGAAGAATAAAACAAAAGAGAAATGAGAAAATATTTTTAACATACTAAAACCACACTAATATGTCTGAAAATATAGCATAATAAAATTTGTGGGATGCAACTAATGCAATACTTAAAGGTAAATTTATAGTAATAAATTTACATCTTAGAAAATAAAAACAATTACAAATCTATGACTTCAGCTTCCACTCTAAGAAAATTTTAGATGTAGAGCAGCTCAAACTCCAAGTATGCAGAAGAAAAGAAATAATAAAGATCATAATGGAAACCGATGAAATACAAAACAGAAACTCTAAAGAGAAAATCAATGAACCGAAAAGCTGGTTCTTTGAGAAAATGAATAAAATTGATAAAACTTTAGCCAGGCTGATGAGAAAAAAAGAGAGCAGATACAAATAACCAATATCAGAATTAAAATAGATGACACCACAACAGATTTTAGATTTTACACGTTAAAAAACATAAAAACCTTATGCCAGTAAATGCAACAGAGCAGGTGAAATTGACAAATTTCTTGAAAGACACAAAAACTACCAAAGCTCGTCCCAAAAGAAATCAAATTTGCAGTCTTGTTGGTTTCGTGACTATATATACAATGTCGAGACATATCAAATTGTGTACTTTAAATATGTGCAGTTTATTGCATCTCAATTATGCGTCAATAAAGCCATTAAAAATATATCACCTACATTTATACTCAGTAATCCCTTTCCTGGGAAGCTATGCTTTAAAAATTACACCACCTGTACATAAGGATCATGTAAAGGGATATTACCGCCATGTTTATCCTAATGCTAACAAATGAGTGGTTGAATATGTTCTGGCACATACCTACCTTGGAACATTATTCAGCTCTTTAAAAAGATTGAGCTCTTGTCCAGCAGCTGACAGGAAGGGATCCACTGGATGTGCTGTGAAGGGAGGAAGCTAAGACACAGAGCAATGCGTGTGTGAGATGAAGCTAATCCAATGGCCACAGTGAGTGAGAGCAGGGCAGTCACACCTCCTTTGTTACCAGAGAGGGCAGCTCCAGAGGAACCCTGTTTGAGCCTCTGAGCTAAGATGGTTCCTGTAACCAGAACTGAGACTTGGTGTCCAGAAATGTTCTCCCATCAGCCTCCAAAAAGGGGCATCCAGCAGAGACTACTGGTCTTGCAGTTGAGAACTAACCAATCTGGACTCAGTTGTTTTCAACCACCTGGGACTGAACGAGTTTAAATTCTTCATTTACATGAACAGATTTGGTTGAGGCTGGCGTGGAAACTTTTCCTACTTAAACCAGACCCACACTTTGTTCTCCAGAGTCCTTTCCATTTACACTGGAAGCTGTGTCTCCCAATCTTCAGATTCTTTTTCTTTTTTTAAAGAAAATAAAGTTCTCCTTTGTTTTTCCTTTGCAGAACTGACGTCTTTTTTAAATACATGTGTATTTGTCCACTTTCATGTGGCTATCAAGTTACTACCTGAGACTAGGTAATTTATAAAGAAAGGGGGTTTAACTGACTCAGTTCCACATGGCTGGGGAGGCCTCAGGAAACTTACAATCATGGTGAAAGGCAAAGGGGAAACAGGCACCTTCTTCACAATGCAGCAGGAGAGAGAGCACAGAAGGGGAACTGCCAAACACTTTTAAAACCAATAGCTCTCATGAGAACTCCCCCATGATCCAATCACCTCCCACCAGGTCCCTCCCTCACGCATGGGGATTTCAATTTGAGATGAGATTTGGGTGGTGACACAGATCCAAACCATATAAACATATAGTCTATTTCCACTTTTGTAAACTGATGACCAAATTTCTGTCACATGAATATTCTGTCTATGCATACACATGTATATATACATATATGCTATACAGATATATATATAGATATATATATAGATATATAGATATATATATATATATATACGTATGTATATGGTATTGTTAATATTGGTTTAAAGTCAGGGAAATACGGAAAGAAGAAGAATAGTAGAGGTAAGCAAAAATAAAGGTTACAGTTTTAAAAAGAGGCTTAACCTAGTTTGGATACTAATTCAAATAAACTAAAAAATATGTGAGGTAAGAAGGGGAATTTAAATGACTGCATATTTTGTAATATTAGGGAGCTAGTGGTGTTTTTTAAACTATGAAAAAATGGTATTACAGTTTTGTTTTTCAATGTTATCTTTTAGAGAGGGATACTGAAATACACATTTATGAGATGATATAATTCTGGAATACAGCCTTGGGATTTGGAAAGAGTGGGAAGGAGTATAGAGGAAGCGAGCTTGAGAATAAGTCAATAATCACTGGGTAATGGGTTTAGGGGGCATGTCTAATTATATATGTTGAATTGTTTTTCAGTAAAATTATTGAAAACTATGGTTTCTGGTCTCACGTAAGGAGACTGGAAGTTGTCACTCCTGGCCTCACAACAAGAAAAAAGATGAACAAATTCTTGTTAAATCCATCAGAGAACTGATTCCCAGGGCAAACTGCTGTCCCCTAAATTGGAGGGACAGATGAGTGGATACAGAGAATCACAGCTTACGGGAGCAGAAGCCACCATGGGAACCCACCCTGGAGTAAGAAAACCTAAATTGTAACTGAGGAATTGCTGGACAAGCTCAGAAACTCCAGGGAGACCCAGTTGTAGGGGGAACCCCACACTTGCATGAGTTTTACTCCCAGGAGCTCTACTAGATTCTTATAGTGTAGATCAGAGAAAAATCACACTTCTGGCAGAGGTAAGAGGGAACTAACCATTTGGAAATATGCCCAGAGTGTTCTGTTCTCAGTAGCAAAAGACTGCCCCCAAGCAAAACTATTTTACTAACCACTTCGGATTTTGCCACAGTGTAACCTGCCTGGGCAAGAGAAATGCCCAACTCCAGCCCCCTCTACCCTTCCTGCCTAAGGGGGAAAAAAACAAAACAAAACAAAACAAAATGAGAAGCTGTGTGAAGGTCTCAGCCCAGGGATACAGACCCACTAGAGGAAGGAGACCAAATCAGAGGACCAGAGAATGCTTCCCTTCCCCATACCTGACCATCTCCCCAGCAGACTCCTGTGTCATAACAGGAATGCAGCGGAAAGAATGGCACCTCTCAACCTGCTTTAAGAAGAAATCTCTAGCAAGTCCCAAAGACGACGGGGAGCCAGGAGCTGGGACACCCAAAGAGAGTAGCTCCTGACACATTCCAGTGACAGCAGACACAGCCCAGCTCCTAGCCAGATAAACATATAACCTTTCCTGGAAGGCCTCTGCACCTCTGTTCCTTTTACCCATCACCTCACATCACATATAGCTTCCAATCAAAACATTGAAAACTAACTAAACAAAAGCAGAAAGGAGTGCAAGAAAAAGCCACGCATGCACATACAATCAGACCCTTCCCTTGGCTTATTGTTTCCTCTGCTCCTACTCTGGTCCCAGACATTGCCATCTCAGCTTGGTCATTTTCCAATTCTAATTTCAGCCCTCTTCTATGGGAGTATCCTCTCCTCTTTTCCATCCTGGCCCTGCGGGTTAGGAAATCCAAACATGACTCTCCCCTCAACCTTGTACTCATTGGCTCCAAAAGTTTAGCTCATGCTATTCCGTCTTCTGGGGGTACCATTTGAATCTACTTTACCAAATCTAACCAACCCTTGAGGACTCAGCTGCTTCAGCACAGACCTGCACATCCTCTACCGGTGTCTCCATTCGGAGCCAGTGCTGAGGAAGCCAGGACAGAGGTTATCCTTCCTTCCATAAGTGGGATTCAGCATGAAGGCAAGACTGTCATGGGAAGAGGAGTGGGGGTGCATATCCAGGCTCCTGGCTCTTCCACACACTCACCTGACGTGACTTGGGCAAGCCACTTGTTCCTTTTGAGTCTTACTTACTTCAAAATGAAAGGAATATCTCCCCTGCATCACAACTTTAGGTTTCTGGGCAAGATCTTCTGTGAGGAAGTTACAAACTTGCAGGTAGCTTTATTCACATAGAGAGTGGTTATTAAGAAATCTTGTATTATTTCATTTTCCTTGTATTAGTCTTTTCTGTCAACTAGTTTGCAAGTTCTTTTTGGGCAGGATCTCTGCTGTAACCCTCTTTGTATGTGCTGATTGTCCAGTAACATGCATGTAATAAGCACACTGTGAATAATTTTCTGAGCCAATCACTGCTTTTGTGGCTCATAAGGGTATATTTCCGCAGGCTGAGACCATTGCATATCATCCCTTCCCCATCTTCAGCAGAGATATCTGTTATTGAGCATTACAGATTAAAATCTCTGCAAACAAAATACAAATCTATAATTGAGTTAATGTTTCATTATTTTACATTGTTTCATTTTAAAAGCAAAGCAATATGAAGTGGCTTTTTAAATTTTATAAAGCAAAATGTGAATAGTCTTTTCTCATCGATAATGGCATCACATTCTCTTTATCACTTGATATCAGGCATATTACTGCTAAAATGGTGGTGATCATATAATGAATTCTGACAGCATGAGTTCAGCAGATTTCACAGAGGCCCATAGCTAGCAACTAATCCCAATTTCAAAAGGTACAGATAGCCATAGGAGATGAGAGCCTAATCAGATTTTCGTAAAATGACTGTTTGAAGAAGGTAGACTGTACATTTCATATTAACCTGTCTCAAAGTATTAAAAACAGCCATGATTTTTATTTCCAACCTTTACCTTTATGACCCATGTGTCATTGGCCTTACCAATCCAAATTTCAGCTCCAACTCCTCAGCTTACTGGCATAAAATTCCCCTTTAAGATTCATATCTTGAAGAGGACAAATTAATTGTGGTATATTTACATAATGAAGTGCTACTCAGCAGTAAAAAGTAATGATCTTTTAATACATGGAATAACATGGGTGAATCTCAAAAATATGTTGCCAAAAAGAAGCAAGGCACAAAATGGTGCTTACTGTATGATTCTATTTATATGAATTTCAAAAACAGGCAAACCTAAGCTATGGTGGGAAAAGCCAGAATTGTGGTCTCCTGAAAGGTGGGGAGGAAGGCGGTGACTTGATAAGAAAGAGCACAGGGAAATTTTCTAGAGAATGGATCAGAGATGTCTGATATATTGAGCTGGGTGGAGGGCATAATGGGCGCATATGTGTAAAACTGTAACCAGTGCACACTTAAAAAGTAGACATGTTTCTATATGTAAATTATACCCCATAAAGTCCCATTTAAAAAGAAGTATTTCTGCTTCTGAAAAGATGAAGTAGACATACTTTCTCCTATTCTTTTCATAATGTACAACTAAATACCCAGAACATTACACATACATAACAAAAATTTTAAAACTCTAAAATGTGAAGAAAAGAAGGCGGAACAGTGGGAACCCTGAGACCAAGTGAGGCAGGAGATCAGTGGGACTTGTTTTTCAAGCACTGGCCATGACCTGGGTTGTGACCCAGTTAATGGGAGCAGGATCTGGTGGAAACAGGGTACAGGGAGAAAGTTGGCAGAAACCAGCCAATGACTACAAAAGTCACCTCTAGCTGCCCTCACTGCTCGTTAACATAAAGACACTCCCACCAGCACCATGACAGTTTACAAATGCCATGGCAATGCACCTTGGCAATGACCTGAAAGTTACCTTATATGGTTCTAGAAACTCCCTTATCCAGAAAGATTTAAATAACCCTCCACTTAATTAGCATGTAATTAAAAATGGATATAAATATGGCTTCCAACAGCCCATAGACTCTGGGTACTCTGGGTACAGAATGCCTATGGGTTAGCCCTGCTCTGCAAGGAGCAGCACCTCTGCCAGGCACTGCCCCTTCAATAAACTTGCTTTCTCTCACCACCAGCTCACCCTTAAATTCTTTTTAATTCTTTCTTGTGCAAAGCCAAGAACCCTCCCAGGCTAAGCCCCAATTTGTGGGCTAACCTGCCTTGCATCACAAGCAACAACACAGTGGAGGGTTCTTGGGGTTTTCTTTTTGCCTCATATATCCCAAGCTTGGAGCTGAAAAAGCTGGCAACCTGGATGGCCCACACATTGCTGGTAGGAATACCAAATGGCACAGGCACTCTAGAACACACTTCAGTGGCTTCTTAAAATATAAACATGCAAATCCCACATGACCCAGCAGTGCACTTCTGGGCAATTATCTCAGAGAGATGAAGATTTATGTTCACACAAACACCTGTACACGCATGTTTCATAGCCGCTCCATTTGCAGTAACCGAAATGGGAAACAACTTAGATGTCCTTCCACAGTGGATGGTTAAACACACTGGAGTGCATTTGTATCATGGACTACTACTTGGCAAAATAAGAACTATCTGTGCAGCAACCTGGGTTAATCTCCAGAGAATTAGGCTGAGTGAAAAAAAAAAAGCCATCCCAAAAAGTTTACATGCTGCATAAATCCCTTTCTAGAACATTCTTGAAATAACACAATGATAGAAATGGAGAACAGCTTAGTGGTTGCCAGGGGTTAAGGATAAAGCAAGGGCAGGAGGGGGCTGGGTGTGGCTATGAGAGGCAGCAGGAGAGATCCTAGTAGAGACAGAGCCTTTGAATCATCACTGTGTTGATGTCAGTATCCTGGCTGTAATTGTTGTATTAATTAATTGTTAACAGTTTTAAAAGATGCTGCCATTGAAGGGATATAAAAGGCACATAGGTTCCTTCTGAATTATTTCTTATAACTGTGTATGAAGCTACAATGATCTCAAAACAAAAAGTTTAGTTAAGATAGCTTTAAAATTATAGCAGAGGAGGATTTGACTGGAAAGGGGCCTGAAGGAGCTTTCTGGGGTGATGGTAACCTTTTATACTTTGATAGGGACTTGGGTTACACAGGTGTGTGCAGTTGTCAAAAATCAGCAAATGGCCACTTAGCCTTTGTGCACATTGTCTGTAAATTTTACACTAAAAACTAAATAAAGTCCAGGCACGGTGGCTCACACCTTGTAATCCCAACACTTTGGGAGGCCGAGATGGGCGGATCACCTGAGGTCAGGAGTTCGAGACCAGTCTGGTCAACATGCTGAAACCCCGTCTCTACTAAAAATACAAAAATTAGCTGGGCGTGGTGGCGCACATCTGTAATCCCAGCCACTTGGGAGGCTGAGGCAGGAGAATTGCTGGAACCCAGGAGGTGGAGGTTGCAGTGAGCCACGATTGCAGCACTGCACTCCAACCTGGGTAACAGGGCAAAACTCCTCTGTCTCAAAAAAAAAAAAAAAAAAAAATTAAGTAAAAGACCCCTCACCCCCAACCTAGATATAGTGGAAAAAATATCATTCATCTTGATCCTCTAGGGAGCTTATGGAGGGGCAGCAGCTTTGCTTTCCCAGTTCCTCCAGTTCTAAACTGAACCCTTGCTGAATTTCTCACATGGTGAACCCTGGGTGGTTCCTTTTCTCCACTGCTCAGCTGGACTCTGTCCTTCCACATGGCTGTGTGTGACTGACCTACCACCCACCAACTTAAAACTGGACACTGGGTATCCCTGTCCTTAAATGTCCCTCAGCCATTGTTGACCCCTGGGAACCTCCACTAGTGGCTTCTACTTGGGCTCTGGTCTTGCATTAAATTTCTGAGCCACTTTAATTCCAGCCCCTCCCTGCCTCATCTTTTGACATCCTCCCTGGCTCCCTGACCCTCCACCCCAACACAATTCTTTTCTTTTTTTTTTTTTTTTTTTTGAGACGGAGTCTTGCTCTGCCGCCCAGGCTGGAGTGCAGTGGCACAATCTTGGCTCACTGCAAGCTCCGCCTCCCGGGTTCATGCCATTCTCCTGCCTCAGCCTCCCGCGTAGCTGGGACCACAGGTGCCCGCCACCACGCCCGGCTAATTTTTTGTATTTTTAGTAGAGACAGGGTTTCACCGTGTTAGCCGGGATGGTCTCGGTCTCCTGACCTCATGATCCGCCCGACTCGGCCTCCCAAAGTGCTGGGATTACAGGCATGAGCCACCGCACCCGGCCCACAATTCTTACAACAATCTTTCTCTGTGTCTCTTCCCCAGCCTAGCCTCACTTGTTATCAGAGCAGCAAGAGAACATGGAAGCTTGCTAAGAGGGCTCCTTCCTGAGTGGCCCAGACATCACCCTCCTTGCTCATAGAAGTCATCAAGGAAGCACTGGAATGGTCTTTCCTACTCATCCCCAAGTCCCCCAGCTACCACCCCTAGCTACCACCCCTAGTTCAGGCCAGCCTTGGACTAGGGTGTCTGTGTGCTAAGTGTTGCTCTAAGGACCACCTTGACATTCTCTTCCCAGGATCTCAGGCCTGCTGCTTTTGGTAGAAGAAGCCTTCAGCAGGCCGGGGTGGAATGGAAGTTATCTTTAAAAACAACAAAGTTTACTCTCTGCAAAATTGCGTGTGGTGTTAGGTAGAATAATGGCCTGTAAAAATGTTCATGCCCTAACCACCAGATCCGGTGAATGTGTCATGCTACCTGGCAAGAAAGACTTAAGGTTGCAGAAGGAATTAAGCTTATGAATTGGTTGACCCCAACGTGGAGAGAGTACCTTGAATTATCCAGGTGCACCCAGTGTAATCAGAAGTGTTCTTAAAAGTGAAAGAGGGAGCCAGAAAAAGACAGTAAAGTGGAGAGGTGATATGGAATGAGAGAGGGGCAGAGAGAGACGATGTTACTAGCTTTGAAGGTAGAGGAAAGGGCCATGAGCCAAGCAATGTGGGCAGCCCCCAGAAACAGAAAGGGCAGGTGAAGGAATTCTCCTGCAGAGCCTCCAGACCCGAACCCAGACCTGCTTGCACCTTGATTTTAGCCCACGAGACCAATGTCAAGCTTCTTTTTTTCAGCTTTATTGAATTATAATTAACAAATACAATTGCATATATTTAAAGTGTACAATGTGATGATTTGACATACGCGTACATTGTGAAATGACTACCACAATCAAGTTCATTAACACAGCCATCACCTCACATAGTTACCTTTTGCTGACAGGAGTGAACCCTTGAGGTCTACTCTCTTAGCAAATTATAAGTACACAATACAGCGTTGTTAACTACAGTCTCCGGACTGTGTGAGAACTCCAGAACTTGCTGATCTTATACCTGAAACTCTGCACCTTGAACCAACATTTCCCACTTCCTCCATCCCACAACCACCCTTCTAGGCTGTTTTTCTATAGGTTTACCTCATTTATTTTAGGTTCCACATATACATGATAACATAAAGTATCTGTCTTTCTGTGTCTGGCTTATTTCACATAGCATAATGCATTCCAGGTCCATCCATGTTGCCACAAATGGCAGGATTTCCCAATGTTGAACTTCTATCCTATGGAACTGTAAAATAATAAATTTGTTTGTTTAAGCCACTAAGTTGTGTTAATTCATTACAGCAGCAAGGGGAAAGGAATACATTTTGAATACAGGTACTGTGATAAGTAAGTGGGAGGACCAAGGAGAATAAATTATGCCCAAAGGCTTTGCAATAGATTGGTTTACCCTAATGCTGTTGTAATAAAACTTACTAGTCATAGCTGTCTCTGATGCAGATCAACCTTGCCAGGGTTTTAATGAATTTTTTTGAAGAAAGTCAGTACATTCCAGTGAAGTCCATTTTACCCTGACCAGCTGTTTCTATATTGAAAGAAAAATAATAAGTATGAAGACAGGAAAAAAAGAAAATCATTATTAGGGTGGTTGTTTTGTAGGCAGTTTTGATTTGGACTACTGACTTCTGAGATTTCTAAGCTGAGAGGGATAGTAGCTGGAAGAAACTTTGCAACTAAAATTCTACAAGTTTATGTTTTTTCTTAAACTTTTAAAGTGTTCTCCTGTACACTTCTTTTTTGACAGCAAGTTTTTGAATGACTTGTCTTTTCCAACTTGGTTTTCATAAAACCCATAACTAATTCTGCATTTACATTTCAACAGTTTGCAACATGATAATAAAAACTTTAAGGAACTGGCATAAACCAACTTGGGAGCAGACATAACTGATCCTTGGTGAGCTGACAGTTCAGCTGGTGGAGGAAGAATGTTCTGGAACCTGTCATCTGTGGGGAGAAGGATTCAGGAAGCATGGCTGTCTGCATGTTGCTATGAACTTACGTTGCCTGCAAGGGCCCCCTCAGGCCATGGGAAGGGTCTACAAATGTGTTCACCACATGAAACTTGCCTGAGTCAAATATGCTCCAATCAGCTTAGACCACTGTTGATTTCTACTCCAGTTTCTTCTCACTCTGGGTGATGTGGAGTGGCTGATAGCAATTTTGGGGTTGGCTCAAGGAAGCTGAGCTGGAGATACATTTAGCTTGGGTTTGGTGGGACACATGATTTGCAATGGCTTTCATGTGTAAAAATATTATTATAGCCACAGTTTTAAGCCAGCAACACACACTGTTAGATCCGTAACCAGGTTTGAAGTTATCATATGCTAAAGATAACACTACTACACTATAAGGCCTTTCCTATGCTGCTAGTGTGCCAGGAACTGTGAGGGGTCTGAGGCTTTACTTTACTTGTAAGATCACAAATGAGCCTCCCAGTTTCATGGATGTTGGTAGAAGACATGAGACTCCTGGGCCAGAGACAAAGGACTTCAGTAGTCATGGCAGAGCAGGCAGCATGAACTCCTGTTCCTATCAGTTCCTTTTGTTCCCTAGGGTTCATAGGGGTGACACAGAGTGGCCCTAGTGGATGCCATGCAGAGAGCGAGTCTGCATCACATCTGAGGATCACCAAGTTTAGGAGATGCACCCCTTTTAAGAGACTATTAGCAAACTTTCCCAACCTTTACCTAGAAGAAACATTATCTTTACTATCCTGGTCAGGAAACAAATCTGCCCTCTGACCTGGAGGGAGATATGATCGCTGTCTTCCAAGGTCACTTGTTATGCTAACATTCTTGGAAAGATAATCCAGGGGGTAAAAAAGTCATCAGTTTCTTTGCTGAAAAGGTGTGCAGAAATATTAGAGATCCATGAAGAAATATCTCCAGTACAGTGCTATATCCACAGGCGTTGATTCCTTAACCTAAAGGCGGGAGAATCTCTCCTTAGCCTCTCACTAGCAGCTGACAGCCTTTCTCACCTCCCTAGCTGAGTCCAGCACACTTTTCTTTTCTTTTTTTCTTTTTCTTTTTTTTTTTTTTGAGACAGAGTCTCGCTCTGTCACCCAGGCTGGAGTGCAGTGGCACGATCTCGGCTCACTGCAAGCTCTGCCTCCTGGGTTCACGCCATTCTCCTGCCTCAGCCTCCTGAGTAGCTGGGACTATAGGCCAGCACACTTTTCTAATCTTATCCTGTCTCCTTCTACCTCCCTGCACATCAGTCATGTAAATTCACCTGTCCAAGCACATCTATATAGGTTCTTTTCAAATTTCCTGCAGATTTGTCATGGAATATTGACATCAAAGATAAGACAAAAAAAAAGCCACTACAATGTGAATATTGACAACAAACTGGTTAATGAAGGTCTTCAATTTAAAAAGAATATAAGATTAATCCCTGCAGAAGATAACCTCAAGTGCCCTGAAATTTTACAACTCATATGTGAAAGACTTCATAGAAGTTTTTCCAAATATGGCGATAATCCTAGACATTTCGTGAGTTTGAGAAGCTAAAAGGAACTTTCCTAAGTCACCAGTAATAAAAAATAAATTTTGGCCCACCATGGCAGAAGGAAGACCGGATTATCTGCCTAGTCTAGATAGAGCTGCTCAATCCAATATGGTGGCCACTAGCCACTTGTGACTACTGGGCATTCAAAATGTGGCCAGTGCACATTGAGAAGTGATGTGAGTGTAAAACGCACACCAGATTTCAAAGACTTACTAAAAAAAAAAGAATGTAACATTCCACATTGGCATATTTTATACTAATTATATGTTCATATTACAATATTTGGCTATATTAGGTTAATAAAGTATATAACTACAATTACTTTCATGTATTTCTGTTTTACTTTTTAAAATGTGTTCACTAGAAAATTTGAAATAATAAACGTGGCTCACATTACATTAATCCAGGCAGACAGTTCCTGCAAATTGATTATGAGATTATTTAGTGTATTGTTTCCAGCCTGCTTCTCATGAGGTTCCAAATGGCTGTAGGATGAGAGGAGAGTTGGGTGAAGAGAGGGGCAGGGGACAGAGAGGGTGGGGACAATAAGAAAAGAGGAGGCAGAGGACTGAGGAGGTCAGACAACTCTTGAGAGAGATGCCTGCTCTTTATTTTATGATCCCATTCCACACAGTATAAAGGCCTTTGTCTTCATCAGCACTGATGTTAAAGAAGAGGGAAGAATGAGTTAACAGAATTCGGTCTGTGCAAATGAGGCAAAAACAGATCACCTCTTGAAGGAAAAAAATGATATTATAAAAGAGGCTGAGCAAATTTGTGGGCAGGAGTAGTAATGAGGAAAGTCAGATACAGCCCATTTATGAGTTTAAGTTTATGCCACAGAAGGACACAATTAGAAATTTTTGAGTAATTGAATTTAAGGGCAACACAGAAAGCAGCAATGAAAAGAAAGCCAGGTGACACTGAATCGGAGACGTCCTGGGATGACAGGTTGCACACCCTGGCACGGGGGCTGCGCTCTGGTCCGTGGCAGTAGTAAGAAGCAAGCAAATAGCAAAAATAGAGGTAAAGGATGAGGTCAGGCATTCCTACCACGTGAGTTAATCTGGTGCTAGAGTGTACAGTGGTATATGTCTAGTGTAGTGTATAGCATGCTTTTAAAAGACTGAATGCAAGGAAGGAGGAATGATGGATAACTCTATGACAGGTAAATAAGTTCTCCAATTTGTAGAGGAGAGAGCTCAGGTGATCAAAGCTGATAATCAACTTCGTTATGCCGTTCAGTCACATAGAACACCTCAGCAGCACATCACTCAATTTCCCCGAGTGCAGTCATCATACCTGACCCTCGTAATGATTCCTGAGGCACTGAGTGCTCTTCTGGCTCCAAATGTGGGTTCTCCCCTGACTCCTTCTTTTCCTTTATCCCCAACACAGTCAGCCGTCGAATTCTAACTGTCCTTCCGTCTAAGTGTCCTCCAATCCACTTCCTCTCCACTGCCTTTTTCAGAACCCTGGACAGGGCCTCGTCCCCTGTTCAAGGGAGGATTGCGGTGAGGATTGAAGATGACCTGTCCCGCCCGTAGGCTGTAAGTGTGAAGTGCGGCCCACACGTGTGCAAGGCAGTCTGCAGATCTCAGATACAGAGCAACCCGGCTGCTCTGCCTGGGGTAACGGTTCTCCCCAAGGTGATGATACCCTGAGCCCTTGCTCAGGCTCCCATGGCCAGGGTAGGGGAGATCTGCTCTTCCTTGCATGCTGCCTTCACTTGGTGTGTGCTATGGCAAGGACGCTCAGGGCTTTATATGGTGCAGAGTTTGGGAGCAGCCCCTTTCAGTGTTGACCTACAGTCCCCTTTCTTCCTATATCTGGACCTGCATCAAGGTGCTGGGGCAGAGTGGAGAACAACCACTATCTTGCTGAGGATCCCCTGCACCTGTGACTGTGGCTTTGTAGCTAAGACCTGTTGATCATATCTTTGTCCTTCTTCACCCAGAATGGGGTCTCTCAGAAGAGCCTCTTCAGTCTCTGCAGAGTCTTGCAATTGCCCTTGTTTTTCCACCCACACTGAGACAGCCCTAGACCCTGACAGACGGTGACGTGGACATAACATTGGGATGAGCAATCGTCATCAGTACTGTTTTACTTCCTGGCTCAGAAACAACCAGGTACCTTCGATTCCCCCTGTCTGTTTACAGGATAATGCCCAAATTCCTGCCCTCCCCATTCTCTGTGTTCTCTGCAGCCTTAACTTTCAGTTTTTTCCTAGCACTAGAATCCACTTGAGCCATCATTCCTCCCGGGGTGGAGGACATCACTGGTTCATGTTTGAGTCCAGATGCTTTGTTTCCTGCTACTCCCTCCACCTCCATGAGGATTCTTCTCCTTCCAGTCCATCTGTCCATCAGTCCATCAATGATGACTGATAGGCAAAGGCTCAGCTCTTCAGGCACCAGCTCCTGTCGTCTTCCTCCAATCAGCCACCACCAGTCCCTGTGCCCAGGCTGGCTCCTGACTCTGGACACTCCTTTATGTAGCTGTTGCTGTTGGAACCATTCATGTCAGAGCCATGTGACCTTCCTCACTACTTCCCATCAGCATCTCACTTTCCCAGCTTGATGGTGATGACCTTGGCTTACTCTTCCTTTGCCTTTCTGGCTGAGTGAGATGCACCCTTGGCCTCCTTTAAAAACACAAATGAAATGGGTGCTGGTGTGCTTTCTAAATCACAAAAGAGGAATTCCAAAACATATTAAATTGCTTAATATTTTTTAATGTTTGTGTTTTCAGAAGTAGAAATCCCTGAGAGATATTTCATGTCATGAATATATTCAGTTTTAGTGTTGAAAGGCAGTCCTGAAGGAGCCCTCTCTGCAGCCATCGTTCCAATGGCTGCTCTTGCAGGTAAATGAAGGCCTTGGTTATTAATGTGTAGAACCAGTGGCGAGACCTGACAGAATTGAATAATTGAAAGGAGCAGAAATAGGCTGTACACGTATGAATATAACTATTAAAATGGCAATTTATGATGAGGAGGAGTCCCAACTCAAATTTGCTTAAGCAAAAAGCAGGATTTATTGGCCAATATAATTGGGAAGGATGGGCTGGAGAAGGTCTCAGGCACCATTGACCCAGAGGTTCAAATTGAGCCATCAGGTTCTGCTTTCTCTGTTCATCTCTCTTCATCTCCATGGGGCCTCTGTCCCTGTGTTGTTCTCACCTCTCAGGCTCCTCCAGGTGGTGGGGACATGGACACCAGCAGCTTTGGTCACATAGCCAGCCAGCTTCTCCCTGCCAATTTCCTATGGCACACCTTAGAGTGGGCTGCCTTGGCCATGTACCCAAACCTGGGCAGTCACTTTGCTGGCATTTGGAAACTAGGATTTACCAGACCTGCGTCTAACATCCACTCCATGGCAAGGCAGAGAGTAATCAGGCTGAGTGGGTGAGGGGCAGTTAGCATTGTTACCAGAAGAAGGAGCATGCACAACCCACGCCAAGCAAATAAAAACAACACGTTACCTCAGCATTTAAACATGCAATTGGCTCAATATCTTTGTCTGTCCAGTCATAAGCAAAGAAATGCCATATGGGGCAACATTAAAAGCTGTGCAATTAGGATGTGTCTGTTACATCCTCTTGCAAGTTCTCCAGATGCCACCTATTATCATTTAATATGACTTTGGTTTCCCCCATTCTGACCTACAGAAAAATCTTCAATTTCTTCCTTGTATACATCAGGTAGCCAAAAGCCCAGCAGTGAAGTTGGGAACCACAGCTGTGGGAATTGCTCCTTCTCCATTGCAGCAAGATTGCTTCCTGTTTGTCAAAACTACTTTTTGTGTGGAGCACCCTTCCCTGGGACTGTCTCCCTAAAACATGCAAAGATCTCAGGTCCTACAACTTTCCTTCTTTTCAGCTCAAACACAGAAAAGGATGAAGAAATAGAGTAAGGGGCCCCATCTAAAGAAGGCCATGGAAGGATCCCTGACCCATTCCTTACAAATGGGTCAGTTACTGGATCAACACCTTCCAAGGTGAGAATCCCACCAGAGCTTCCTCTTTACTCAGCATTAGGATGCCCACTTTGCTAAGATCCCTTCCAGATTTATCAGCTAATCTTCTTAAAAGGAAACAGGGTATCTCTCTCTCCCACCCATAACACACCCTCCTGAATTGCTTGAAATGGACTTTGCATCCGGTGGTTGTTTTGAAGCCTGTTCATATAGCAGATTTTTTTCAATCATACAATTGAATAATTGACAAAACCCAATTTCCCAGCTCCCATTCTAACTGAACAACACAGTGTTGTATCCAGACTCTATCTCCCTTCTCTTATGCCTTTTTCTTGTATAAAAATGTATCTGAAACACAGAATTTTGTCCTTTTGTAAAGAGGGAACCTTCTGCCCAGCAGATTAGGGAAATACATGGGCTGGTGTGAATCACTTAAATTCATATCTAAGTCCATCCAAAGTTTATCTGTGGAAAACACATAACTTAGTATCCCCAAAGCCCACTTCTGGTCTTGGGATAGAAGTATGGCTCAGGAATCCTCTTTACAACTTTGCTTCCTGTAACATGGACACGCTTTGATTGCTTAAGCAGTCTTATCAATAGAATTAACTATCATTATCACGGCCAGATGCGGTGGCTCACGCCTGTAATCTCAGCACTTTGGGAGGCCGAGGCAGGAGGATCACTTGAGGCCAGGAGTTCAAGAATTAACTATCATTATTGAGAACTTACTGTGGAACTGACTGTGTGCTAAGCAATTTTGTTTAAACATCATGACAGCCCCTAGGTTAGGTATTAGCATCTTCATCTTATATATGAAGGCAGCGTGGTGTGCAATCATGGAGAACTGTGCCCTGGATGGGCCAGCTGGAGATGGAGCCCCAGTACCAGAACTCACGTGCCCTGAGTACTGCTCCATCCAGGGAATTGTGACTTGGATACAGACAAAGCCTTGTTTAGTGATGTTTTGTTTTTAATTATCTTCTGTTCATTTAACAGTCTTCAAAATGTCACTCAGTCTTCATTTTATTTTACTGATAATGCAGGCACTTCATCTAGAGGCAAAATAGAATATGGTATCTAATACCATCTCATGCCAGTTAGAATGACAATCATTAAAAAGTTAGGAAAAAACAGATGTTGGCGAGGCTGTGGAGAAATAGGAATGCTTTTACACTGTTGGTGGGAATGTAAATTAGTTCAACCATTGTGGAAGACAGTGTGGCGATTACTCAAAGATCTAGAA
This sequence comes from Homo sapiens, assembly GCF_000001405.40. Taxonomy (NCBI): domain Eukaryota; kingdom Metazoa; phylum Chordata; class Mammalia; order Primates; family Hominidae; genus Homo; species Homo sapiens. Next base: position 127,596,988 of record NC_000010.11, on the reverse strand, counting down.
CTAGAAATACCATTTGACCCAGCAATCCCATTACTGGGCATATACCCAAAGTATTATAAATCATTCTACTATAAAGACCCATGCACATGTATGTTTATTGCAGCACTATTTACAATAGCAAAGACTTGGAACCAACTCAAATGACCATCAATGATAGACTGAATAAATAAAATGTGGCACATATACATCATGGAATACTATGTAGCCATAAAAAAGAATGAGTTCATGTCCTTTGCAGAGACATGGATGAAGCTGGAAACCATCCTTCTCAGCAAACTAACACAGGAAGAGAAAACCAAACATCGCATGTTCTCACTCATAAGTGGGAGTTAAACAATGAGAACGCATGGACACAGGGAGGGGAACATCACACGCTGGGGCCTGTTGGGGGGTTGGGGGCAAGAGGAGGGAGAGCATTAGGACAAATACCGAATGCATATCAGGCTTAAAACCTAGATGATGGGTTGATAGGTGCAGCAAACCACCATGGCACATGTATACCTATATAACAAACCTGTATATTCTGCACATGTATCCCAGAACTTAAAATAAAATAAAAAAAGAAACAAAAACGGTGTCTAAAAAGAACACATAAAGATCTAACTCTGAAATAAAAATTGAGATGAAAGCTTAATTTTCTAATTCTCTTGCTCAGCTTGGTCTTCGGGAATGCAAGCCAGCTTTCCTGCTGTTCTAGAAGTTAACACAGATGCAGATTTTCCACAAGGGCGTGGTGGAGAAAGCACCATGTTATGGAGCCTTGCACCAAATAATCTCAGTGTTTCTAGTCTTGTGGCTAAAAACACACATACTTGCACACACACAGACAATAGATATGTTTTAACTGTTTGTTTATACTTATAACCAACAGTGTGATCCATTTTCATTTAGAAAATTCACTTTCCGTATGGCAGTGAGACAAAGGAAAACCTTTGGTATTTTAAGAATTGTCAATGATGTGCAATAAACAGATGCAGGGATGAAGTGATTCCACATGTCCGGCATGAAAGCAGCTTTATTGACTTTGAGAGAAAGAAAAATACATGAATGGATATGGAAATCATTCGTCACTCTTAAGGAGGTCTTACATTTTAAGCAATTATTAATTTTAGAATATTTCCCCTCCTACAATTTGAAGTACCACACAATTAGTGGTGGGTGCTTTTACTGAAGAGCTGTCCTGAAACAGTAGCTACCATTTTTTCTCTGATATAAGAGAGAACTAATTTAGTACAAAAGGGGCTTATGACAAAGAACCTAAAGTGGGTTCACTCCTTAAGTAACTAAAGAGACTGATAACCAATATGTATTTTTTAGCCTACACTGAAGAGCAAATATTTTATTTTTCCAAAAGTTATGTTTTTAAACTGCATCTATGTTAGGAATGTCCTTGCTTATAATGTTTACAATTAATTAATAAATAGTGAATCTGCTTTTTGATGAGCCAACCCCAGACTGTGCCCTCTGAAGACCCCAGGGGATGAGGCAGACTGAGACAGGAATGGGGTGCGGTGCAGAGAGAAAGGGGTGATGTGGAATTGAGGCTTGGCCCAGATCAGACACAAGAAATTCCTCTCCTTGCCAATTCTCTCTGGAATAAGATTTCCTGACAATCTTCACTCATCGAAGTTATTCTCAAAAATACATAGTCATAAGAAACCGCTTAAGGATATAATCATTTAATGTTTTTTATAAATATATTACCTTAAACGTATTTTAAGTTGTGAATTTTGGCTTTGATTCGTATATTATTATTTGATAATTAAACTATCAAATTAATTTCAATATAATCTTGAATGTTATTTATAATCTGTCTGGCTTCTTTCCATTTAGCAAAAGATGCATACATTTTTGTTTACTTTCAATTGATTTTATAAGAAAAGGCATGATTTGTTAAAGATAAATTTTTTATTTCAATACCTTTAGGGGTTCTGGGGGGTTTGGTTACATGGATGAATTGTATCATGGTGAAGTCTAAGCTCTTAGTGTCTGGGTCATGCAAATAGTGTACATTGTACCCAATCAGTAATTTCTCATCCTTCACCCCCTGCCCACCCTTCCCTTCTGAGTCTCCAGTGTTCATTATACCACTCTGTATGCCTTTGCATACCATAACTTAGCTCCCACTTATGAGATATGTGATACTTAGTTTTCCATTCCTGAGTTACTTCACTTAGGATAATGGCCTCCAATTCCATCTAAGTTGCTGCAAAAGACCTTATAGTGCTAATTTTTGTGGTTCAGTAGTATTCTGTGAGACATTATATATATATATATCACATTTTCTTTATCCACTCATCAATTTATGGGCGCTTAGGTGATTCCATATCTTTGCAATTGTGAACTGTGCTGTGATGAACATGCACAAGGAGATTTCTCTTTGATATAGTGATTTTTTTAATTTATTTTGAGTAGATACCAGTAGGGGATTGATGAATGGAATGGTAGATCTACTTTTAGTTCTTGTCAAAGGTAAATGTTAAAGTTACATGTGGTAGAATGTTTCGACTGGGGACCAAAAACTGTACATTGAAACATAGGGTGATTGTTACATACATGTTATGCTGCACTCCTTTTAGGTGACCAGGTGTTCTGAACTTCCACCTGGAATGGGAAGTGGAAGTGCCCACACACACCTCCTCCCATACTCCATAGTCTTTGTCAGCTGAGGCTCTACTTTCTATCCCAAGCTTTCAACTCCAGTGAAAATCTTTGTACCAGGCATTCTCCACTTTGTACCAGGTATTCACTTTGCATGCTTCACACGTTAGCCTGAATATTCCCCTAATTTGGAGAAGAGAAAATTTAATTTCCATAACTTTGATAAAAACAAAGATGCTAAAATTTAGTTTTAAAAATGCTTTGTTTAAAAGGGGTCCAAAAAATATTTTTAAGTCTAACAAACATATGCTTACTTAACACCCACCTTTTGCAAAGCATTCACCCTGTCCATTTCCTCTCTCCATGCTCTTTTATCAAACAAACAATTTCCAAGGCCAGAGACAGCCTATGAGAAGAATATCTTATTTTGGCTTTAATTCTTCGAGTTTTCCTTCGCAAGACCATTTATTTTGAAAAAGGAGGGAAGAAACCGAAGCTGCCTATTTATTTTCACTTGAGTTTCTTTTTATTTATACTAACATTGTAAAAATTTGATATTGCAAAGTTTGGTTAGAGTTTGCTCCACAAATTTCTACTGAAGGTTCAGAGCTGTAAATCTCAGAGAAGTGCAACATGTCTAGGAATTGCTCACATATCCTTCATTTGTGCCCTGCAAGTATCACCACAGGCAGTGAGAAAGGTGTTGTGGTTAACGACGCAGGAAGCATTTTCAATCAGCCTTTACATTGAATTTGCCTCACACACGGGACACTAGATTCATCATCTAACTAATAAGGCCAGGAAAGAAATGTCATTTGCTTCAGGATAACCTCCAAATTTCAGCTTGCTTTCCTCTGTAAAATAATAAGAATTAAAATAGCCATTGCCAGCATTTTTCTGAAAACAAGTTAGGAGTCTGAGAAGTCAAAATAAAATCTTTTTGTTTTATCTGATTATTTAAAAATAAGAAATGCCTTTATAATGAAATCTGCAGAATACGGGAAATACTGGTTCACAGACACATTTTCAATGCAAAAACACGTTTAAGCTTGAGCTTTTTCAAGTATCAGAATTGATCATTGAAGGGTCCTCTTTTAATTGATTACTTACCTGGGTCTTTTGTTGTTGTTGTTGTTGGGGTTTTTTTGTTGTTTTTTGTTTGTGTGTTTGTTTTTCCTAAGCATAGGTCCTTCAACACTTCTTTGGAACCAGTTTTTTCCTTGGGCTATTTAAAACCAATTTTGCTATGCAGTGAGAGATTCATTCTGTCTTTTGATGGTATCATCTGTCCATCCATCCATCCACCCACCCATCCATTTATTTATTAGAAATTAGTTTAGTGGCTTCTTTATGCCTCTGTGATTTCTACGCCAGACACTGTAATAAGTCTAGAAATCCAGGGATGATACAGAACTTAGAGTCTCACTGGGGGAACTCTGTCTGCACACCCTGGGCTTTATAAGACCGCCAGGGCCACGTGCCCACTAGGAGAATTAGACATCTATCTAATGAAAATGGCTTGTGGAGAACAGGGCAATTTAGACTCTTTCCTGGTGTCGCACGGGGAAGGGCTGTCTCCACTTCACAATGATTAGACACCTACCTCCTCTAGACCTGTCAGCAGCAGGAGCAGCAGCAGCAACAGACAGTGATTGCTTCCAGACTTAACCCCAAACCTCACTTGCTTCTGTGCCCGCTTGCAAAGCCCTCTTGACCAACGGTGGGAGGTTCGAGAATGTGCCATTTCTGGATTGTAATGGACAATATTACAATCCCCTCCAGCCACTGAGTTTCTCTGATGTCCCAATGGCTTGTTTAATAGAATTGAATCTGGCAAAGTAAAGAAAAGATTCACATTTATTTTTAGAATTTAACTTAGTGTTTTATCTGCAGGCAGGCTCTATCTGACTAACAGAGCAACTAATTGAAAGGAAATCTTCCTTCTCACAAAGTTACCTCACAGGAGTTCAAGAAAACATGAAGATCAAAATTACTGTGAAGACGTTTTATCCCAAGTGATTTAGTAACACAAACTAGCTTCCAAAACATATCCTGGATCTCTATCAATTAATATTTCCTTAAATAATCTGTGAAACTGCCCAGTTACCACATCCTCACCAGCACTTGATATTCTCTCTCCCTCCCCTTTTTAATTTGGTCAATCAAATAGGGACAGAAATGTGTGCCCATTAATGTCTTATATAGAATTTCCTAATTATGAAGATCCAATTTTTCATTGGTTTATTTCCCCTTTACCTTTTCTAAATAAATGAATTGTCTGTTAAATATTTATACGTATTTTTATATTGAGCTATTTGCCTTTTTTAATGTGGATAATTTTTTGTGATATATTTGCTAAATTTTAAAAAATTGAATTTAGTAAATAATTGACTGCATATTTCTCTTTCCTTTCTTTCTTTCCTTTTTCTTTTTGTAGTAGACTTTATTTTTTTAGAGTAGTTCTAGGTTCGCAAAAAAATTGAACAGAAGGAAGAGTTACCACTAATATGGTTAGGGTTTGTGTCCCCACCCAAATCTCATCTTGAATTGTAATCCCCATAGTCCCCACAATCCCACATGTCAAGGGAGAGACCAGGTGGAGGTAATTGAATTATGGCAGTGGTTCCCCTCATGCTGTTCTCGTGATAGCAAGTGAGTTCTCACGAGATCTGATGGTTTTATAGGGGGATTCCCCCCTTCACTTGGCACTTCTCCCTCCTGCCACCATGTGAAGAAGGTGTCTTGCTTCCCTTTTGTCTTCTGCCATATTTGTAAGTTTCCTGAGGTCTCCCCAGCCACGCTGAACTGTGAGCCAATTAAACCTCTTTCCTTTATAAATCACCCTGTCTCACGCAGTTCTTTACAGCAGTATGAAAATGAACTAATACAACTACATACTTCCATCCCCCGACAAATGCACAGCCCTCCCCATTATCAACATCCTCCACCAGGGTTTTATATTTGTTACAATGTATCAAGCTACATGGACACATCATTATGTGTCCACAGTTTACATTAGGGTTCACTCTTGGTGGTATACATTCTACTGGTTTTGACAGATATATAATGCCATGGATCCACCATTGTAGAATCATATAGATTGGTTTCACTGTCCTAAAAGTCCCCTGGGCTCCACCTATTCATCCTCCACTCCCCCTGGTCCCTGGCAACCACTAATCATTTTACTGTCTCCATAGTTTTGCCATTTCTAGAATGTAATATAGTTAGAATCATGTGGTATGTAGCTTTTTCAGGTTGCCTTCTTACTAAATTTTTCCACAAGCAAAATTCCTGGTCTCCTCCTCCTCCTTTCTTGCTTTGTCCATGGTCTTCCCCACCTTGAGAATGGCAATTCCATCTTCCCAATTGTTTATTGGAAAACATCCATATTTTAGCCATGAATAATATTTCTCGTAGCTTCTGTAAATTTACTCTGAAGAAAACATTTACTCATTATAAATAAAAACCAAAAACCCACACAAGCTGGGCTCATGTTGCAAGGTCACCACCATCTTCTACATCACCAAATCAGATACAGGGGAGTCCTTGTACCTCCCGAGAAAACTCAAGGCAGAAATCAGAATCACAACCAAACACTGCAGTTGGAGATCAGGAGGAAATGTAGCATCCTCCACGCCCACGCAAGACACAAACTTTGCGCTGTTGTTTAATTTCCACAGTTGCACACACCTTATCAGGAAGACCATTCACGTCTCCACGGATGAACCGCCTGTGCCTCATCTGAAGCCAGCACCACCGCCTGGTGCACTGCAGGCCTCCCTCACCACTCAGGAGGGGGTGCTCCACACCACACTCTCTCCCAGTTACCAGATCTCCTCATCCGCTGGGTTGTTCCATAAACACACAATCACCAAACACACTCTACTTTCTCTCACTAAGCAAACAAACAAGACAAGGCAAACAAACAAGAAATCCTTATTTTCTAATACCATCTGACAGCACTCCTTAAGTGACTTGGAGCCCCACTCCAGGAAACTAAGTGCCATAAAGGATCAAAGTGAGACCAGCCTCAGGCCATCTTCAAACCAACCCCAGTGAGGAGGGTTAAGACACAGCACATTTCTTTAGGAATTGAGCCAAGGGGAATATGTGCAACACAGTTTTGTGTTGGTTTCATAGTTTTAACAACAGAAATTTTAAGTCTCTTTCGCATACAAAGATGCTCTGGGAAGGTAGAACTTCTTTTTCCCTCTGGATTTGTCCTGAGGTGCCCAAATTATCTCAGAGGCTGTCTGAAAACCAAGTGGATTGGGAGCTGAGTCTCAGTGAGGAGGGAAACACGTTGCCTGCTTTCCACGGAGCTTTCAGTGAGGACTGAGAGCTCACTGAAGACTGTGGGACAGACTAGAGCGCTGCAGTGTGATAAATTCAAACACAGGAAAATCAAAGTGGATTCCGACAGTGTAATCATAATTAGTGATAAGTTCCTGGTTAATCATTATTCATGTCATGGGATGTTTTAAGTTCCCCCAAAACAGATGGGCAGAGCACAAAATTCTTTTATAAGAGTCCTTCAATTTTCTAAAGCGAGTCAAGTTTTCTGAGCTCTTTGCTGATTGGCATGGCCCAGTAACCCTTGACGCATATAAATTTGGAGAGAGAGCTTCTTGGCTGGTTGGCAGTGGTTAAAAAGGTACCCAACAGATGGCTCAATTGGTTCATTAGAAATAGATCGTGTTTGGAGAATCTCTTGCTGTATTTCAGTGGTTTACTGCTCTGAAATCGAGGGTGGGCGGTGGCTCCTAGTTGCTAAATCCGCTGTGACTGCTCAGAGCCTTAAAGGGGGCCCACAGAGAGCTGCACAGGATGAAGCCAGTGTGATCAGAATCAGCTTTTCTTTCTTTTTTATTTTTTATTTTTTATTTATTATTATTATACTTTAAGTTTTAGGGTACATGTGCACAATGTGCAGGTTAGTTACATATGTATACATGTGCCATGCTGGTGCGCTGCACCCACCAACTCGTCATCTAGCATTAGGTATATCTCCCAATGCTATCCCTCCCCCCTCCCCCCACCCCACAACAGTCCCCAGAGTGTGATGTTCCCCTTCCTGTGTCCATGTGTTCTCATTGTTCAGTTCCCACCTACGAGTGAGAATATGCGGTGTTTGGTTTTTTGTTCTTGCGATAGTTTACTGAGAACGATGATTTCCAATTTCATCCATGTCCCTACAAAGGACATGAACTCATCATTTTTTATGGCTGCATAGAATTCCATGGTGTATGTGTTAATCAGCTTTTCTTAACCCCTGCTCTTAGCATGTGCCTGACTCTCTAGTAGGTGCTCAGTTAGAGTTTAAAGCCAAACTCCTCCCCTGCTGATGATTCTTTTTTGTTAGGGTAGGGAGTCTCAGTTTTGTGATTTGGAAGGTGGGGTGCAGCAGGGCTCATGGAGAAAGTGGGATCAACCCCATGCACAGATGGTCCTGCCCTAAGACCCATGCCTTTGAACCTCTGCCCCTGCCTCCAGCTCCTAACTGAGCTTGGAGCTATCTGCTGTGAAAAGCACATTGCCCCTTGGTTCTAGCTCCCTAAGTGTGATCTGAAGTAGGAGCCCTCTGGCTTAGATCATCCAGAGGTTCATCAAAGTCTTTGGCCCACTGAATTGTCCCCATGAGTGTGTGACCTTTTTCTTTCAGTTAAGTGTGATCACTATTGGAGGGAGGCAAATGCGTGGATCAGGGTCCCATGTTGAACTGAAAGTGGAGGTTTAAGAAGCCATGAGATCGTCACTTATGGGCTGCTGTTGAATCAGAAAATGCTATTGGCTCTTGCCAATCAGTTCACCTTCTAGAAGAAGTTGTGTTCCATCAATGATTTGTTCATCAAAAAACATGACTTAGTTAAGGGTCAGCCACAAGGAGCCCCCTGACAACCTTAAAAAACTAAAAGGTGATGGGTTTAGGAGTTCCTTGTTCTTCACTTGCCGTTTTACACTTGGTCTTAGCCAAAAGGCCAATAAATGATATTATTTGCCATTTTAAGGTGTAAATTTTTAAGAATTTATTCCTTTTTCTGCTTTTAAAAAAACTGTCATTGGAAGTTTATTTTGAGGAAGTAAAAATATGTTCTCAGTGCAAAATCCTGAACTAGAAGCCATTTTTAAAGTGAATGCGTCACTTCCTGAGCCAGTGTTTGATTATAGAAAATAAAACTGGCCCACACAAGTCAGTTTAGCTTCCTGCCATTGTGCGTTGGCTCAAGATTTTGTTTATCAAAATGCAACTTTGTCTGGTTCCAGCTGCAATGAATTCTCATGACAAAAAGGACAGTAAATCAGGCTTTTGCTGAGTTAGTACCATTCTTCATTTTCCCAATTAAACCATTATAATTTTTAAAATTATGTTTTCAGTTGAGAACTTGAAACAGATTACTTTTAAAAGGGAAGTTAGAAGCCTAAGCTTGAAATGAGTGAAAATATGCCAGGTAATGAAGACATTTGGAGCTTCCTGGAGTTGCTGAGGATTAAGACAGACATGCCTTTGTCTGTGCAGTTCTGACACTGAAGCTGACGTTGCAGAAGGCACTTCAAACACAGCCAAAAGCAGCAGCAGCCACCGATCCAGAATGCATAGGTGTTCTTAGAATGTTATTTCAGAGATGAATTTTTATCACTGTGTCAATGCAAATAAGCTCAAATATTATTGTCATCTGTTCAAAAAAACTGAGCAATAAATTATACAAAACCAAGATCATGATGTAGTGTTTGAAAAACAAACCTGCTGGCTTTAAAGAAAATCTAAGAATTTTTTTTGAGGTCAGAAAAAAATTCTTTATTTTATTTTTAATTTTTGTGGGTACATAGTAGGTCTATGTATTTATGAGTAAGAATGTTTTTTTTGAATCCAGAAAAAGTGGTGTTTTGACTAGAAACAATAAATGAAAACTACAAGTAAATAAAACCTAAAATAAGAAGTTGCTTGACTCTTCCGTCAAGCTCAGTTTCAGAAATGTCTTATGGTGAAATTCACATTATGAGAGAGAAGTTGATGACAACCTTCCATGTCAGTATGATTGATTCTAGTTTGGAACAAATATAAGTAGTCCCACTGGAAAACATAGCCTTCTCAAATGGCATGGTAAAAATGCATTTTATTCAGATTGAGTTGCCTTTTGCTTAAATAAATGGTTAAGATATTGAGTTTAATTCAATGCTTTAACCTTGCAGTTGGTTGATCACAAACATGTTAATGATAAGACCATCATATTGATCTGTGTTTACAATGTTTATAATGATGATGTCTGTAAACACTAATTACAATGCAAAGCACCTGATGGTTAGATAATAACACAGAAATTTTAAATGTGTGAGTGTTTTTAGTTATGGCAGGATTGACTAGGGAAGACACGTGCATTCAGAGGCACTGATGTGCTTAAAATTATGACACTTTTTGTTCCTGAGAAACATCCCCTGAGATGATGTTTGTGGAAGTTGTTTATCAGGAAGTGATCCCAGGAAAAACTGGTAGAGGAATGGGGAAGTGGTACCAGGAAGGAAAGGAAGCCAAGAAAAGGCAATGCCAGTCTGAGGCTTGAGCAGTGAAACTTTGGTTTAAACCCACACCCCCACCTCCATCCCAGGACACTGTAGAGATATGTAACTCACATGTCAGAAATATTCCAGTTAGTGTAAAGAGAATGGAGGCATTTACACTATTGGTTAAGGGCGGATCCTGAGGGCATGTAAATTCCCAGACACTTGTCTTCTCTCCTGTATATAAACAAGGTGCTACAGCAGCCTGAGGCAATCTTTCAACAAAGAGACATAGGTGCTTCCTTTCAGGAGTGAAAGCAGGTATGCATGAAAATTGTTAGGAGCAGTGGCTGTGGGTGATGCTGATGCAGCTGCTCCAACCCATTGCACACTCTAAGCATATTAAGCACACCTCACCTGCAAGACCTTTGTCTGTTGATTTCTGTGTGTTTATGGCAGAGTCTGCTAGTTGCATAGCCAACATCTCTTCTGCCCATTTTCCTCACTAATAGAATCCTGATGGCACCTTAGGCACAGACAGCCCAGATAAAATATCCACATTGCCAGAGTCCCTTGCAGCTAGAAATGGCTGATGTGATGCACCTTCACCTCTCTGCCTTCCCTTTTTTTCCCTCCTTTTCCCTCCTGCTTGGTATGGAGGTCATGTTGTGACAAGAGATGGCAAGCATGACAATGAGGTCTGCCATGAGCACAGTGGAAAGCAAAAACAGAAGAATGGAGAGAGCCTGGTTCCTGGAGTCCCCTGCATCAGCCCTAGATGGCCAACTCCTTGTGCTGTGGGTTAAATACATCTCGAACTAAGCTATGTTAGTCAGTTTCTTTTATTTCAGGCTGAAATTACTCCTAACCAATGCTGCATTAAATGGAGGTGGTAAAAAAAAATACACTTAATAAAATAGGTGGTAGGTTTTATTTATTTTTGGTCAATTTTTAATAAAATGGGAAGTGGCCTTGAATGTTTGTCCTGCTCTGTAGATATTAGCTGACTTGGACTGGTCAGTGTTTTCCAATTCATGGTTGGATTGTGTTTTTTTTTCAAGGAGGAAAAATAATAGGCACCACTTGGATAAGGGAAATGAATTCATTGTTCATCCTAACAATAAAGAATGGCTCACAGATTTGGTTTATTTTAACAGATGTTTAACATTCTTAATCAACAATTGCAAGGCGAAATGGAATATGTTTATTGCAGATGACAAGATTGCTGAAATGAAGATGAGCTTGGGAACCGGATGAAGACAATTTGTCATGGGGACGATTAATCACTGGGGACTCTCACTCATTTACATGTGATGAGATTTACTGCATTGGCAGCAAAATAAAGTAAATCATCAATCGTCTTTCCTCACCAAGAAATAGTCTTGCTGGCAGTGTGAAGGACTGACCAGGAGTTCTCTCCCATGTCTCTTGAGGTCTGCAGATTCCCTATTATGTGGCTTGTAGCAGGTGTGGTTGCCAGTCTTCCCCACCCCAGGCCCTGAGCTCCAGGAGAATGAGGTGTGGCTCTCTTATTTCCTGTTTTATCCCTTTCCTTAGCCATGTCATGGGCTTGTAAATATTATGGAATGGATGAACACAGAGAGGGTGACAGACCTCTTCAGTCTGCCATACATACAAACACTTGGCCCCCACTCAGAAGATGCAGTCATTGAGATCCGCACGTGTGGAAGCCGGGACACTTTGCACTGTGCAGCATCTTGGGCAGCATTGCAGTTCCCTCTCATGGGCAATCACACTCACATGGGTGGTAGAAAAGTAAAAAATACTGATGCCAGCCTGGATTTCTGAAATACTGAGCTAAGAAGTCAGGGAAGAGAAGGGACCAGGTTATAGAATCTCATAGATAGCTTCTTCCAGTTCAGCCTAGGCTGGGTGCAGCGGCTCACACCTGTAATCCCAACACTTTGGGAGGCCAAGGTGGGCATAGCTTGAGCCCAGGAGTTCAAGACCAGCCTGGGCAACATGGCAAAACCCCGTCTCTACAAAAAAAATCCAATTGAGCCTAGGTTTTTGAAATTGGTAGACTCACTGCTACAGCATTTCATCTGCTAAACAATGAAGCATAAAGGAAACCTTTGGTTCCTATTTTTCTTTATGGTATATTTAAAGTATTATTTTTCATGTTAAAGGAAGCCTAAACACCAAATTAGAATATAGGATTCACTGCTATTGGGTGGCAATAGGAAATTGGTGGGAGAAAACAAAACCAAAACTGGAAAAAACATTTTAAAAACTGGAAAAAAATCAAAAGGAGTTAAAAATGTTTCCATCCAATTATCCCTTGTGGTGGAGGGAATGAACTGGTATTTCCTAAGGTGTGTGGTGAAATGCAAAGAGGTCCTGTGGGTATAAAATTTTCCTTAAAGTCTAACAGTTCTTCTGGAAAATGAGTACTTTCTATACATTAACTTTCTTTTCATCTATAAAAACCAGAAGAGTAGCATAAATATTTTGGAAGGGTCAAGAAATATATAAAGGCTTATTAATTTTTGTTATATAACATTAAATTCTAGGTACTAAAGGACTGGCAATTAAATACCCTTTTAATCCAAACTCTCATCAAGCAAATGGACAGCTAAGAATAGTGGATTATCTAGCTTTTAGTCTTGCATCTGTAGTCTTCATGAATTAGAATTGTCCATTTTCAGTGGTTTCACATGTAAGGTACCATGAAATCAAATAATTTTGAATCTACATCACTCCTTCTACAATCTTTGTTTTCATATTCTTTTGTTTATAAAGCAGAGTAGTTCCATGGAGAGAGAATATTCTTTTCAAAAAACAGTTCTGGAATAATTTGACATATATATGCAAAGCAATAAACATTGACTCATACTTCACACCATATACAAAAAGAAGTCAAAGTGGCTAGTCTTAAATATAAAAACTAAAATTATAAAACTTCCAGTAGAGAACATAGGAGATTGGTGATTTGGAATTAGGCAAAGATTTCTTGGATACAACCGAAAGTATGACCAATAAAGAAAAAACTGGGAATCAGAATTGGAGTTCATCAAAATGAAAACCTTCTGCTCTTTGAAAGACACCATTAAGGAAATGAAAAGACAAGTCACAGACAGGGAAGACATATTTGCAAAACATATAATGGGTAAAGAACTAATAACCAGAAAATATAAAGTACTCTCAAAGTTCAGTAATTAGAAAACAAACGTCTCCCCTGCCCTGAACAAATGTTTTGACCATGCAAAACATTTTACCAAAGAAATACACGGATGGCAAATTAGAATGTGGAAAGATGGTCAGCATCAACTGCCAATTAGAATTACAACAAGTTCCATGACACCCTCTTAGAATAGCTTTAGAAAACCCAAACAATTTCAAATACTGGCTAGAATTCACAGCAAGTGGATTACTGGAGGAATGCAAAATGATGCAGCCACTTTGAAAAGCAGTTTGATAGTCTTTCATGAAACTAGACATATCTTCAGCATTATACCCAGAAATCCCAATCTTATGTATTTACCTAAAAGAAATGTAGTGCATAAAAACCTGCACACAAATGTTTATAGCAGCTTTATTCATCATCACCAAAAACTGAAAGCAATTCCACTGTCTATCAGCTGGCAAATGGATGGACAAATTTTGTTAGAGCATGAAATGTTACTCAGAAATTAAAAGGAACGAACCACTGAAACATGCAACAATGTAGATAACTCTTAAAAGCATTATGCAAATTGAAAGAAGTCAAACTCAACAGTTAGACTCATCATCATACTGTACAATTCCATTTATATGACATTCTGGAAAAAGGGAAACATTACAAATAGAAACCAGACCCATGTTTCCCAGGGGTGAGAAGGGGAAAGCAACATTACTGATTATGAAAGGGCTAGAGTGAACATTTTGGTGTGATGGAAAAATTCTATACCTTGAAACTACCACCAAAGTAGTTGTATCACTATATAAGCTTGTCAAAATTCATAGAATTAAACATCTAAAAAGACGGAATTTTATTCAGTGCAAATTCTACCTCAACAAATTTGTGGGGGTGGGGGTAACCAAGTGCAATGTGGAAGCAAAACAATCGGATCCCAAGCCAAACAAATGAATAAACAAAACAACATTTCAAAACCCAACAGCTATAAAGGACATTATTGGAACAGGTAGGAAAAAAATCAAAGTGACCTATATATGGGTTAATATTAGGGAACACATGTTAAATTTCTTCAGGATGATATAGGTAGCATGAACATCTAAGAGAATGTCCTTTCTTTGGAGATGGAGTTGAAGGCTGAAGAGTTTAGGAATGAGCGAAATATTGTGGTGTTTGCAAGTTATTTTCTAAAGGTTCAAGTCATTCAGGGAAGTGTGTGTGTGTGTGTGTGTGTGTGTGTGGGGGGGGAGAGAGAGAGAGAGAGAGAGAGAGAGAGAAGAGAAGGAGTGAGAAAAATGTGCCCATTTGGTGAATCTAAATGAAATTTTCATTATACTATTCTTTCTACTTTTCTGTAGGTTTGAAACTTTTCAAATAAAAAGTTGGCAGAAAAATGTGTTAATTCTTTTTCATCGAACAGTGAGCTTTGAAGAAGTTTGTCCTAATAAAATAATTGAAGGTATACACAAAGATGTGGGGAAAATATGCTCAACACTATAAAATTTATAAAGCTAACAAATTAGAAAGTACCAAAATGCCCAACAACATATGGCACCTAACTCAATCAATTTCTATTGAACAAATGAGCATTTGCATTAAAGGATAATGGGTAAATAAATTATAGCATAGTCATATAATGGAGTATTATGCAGACATTAACTATGGTATAGTAATAGAATATTATGCAGATATTAAACATGTTTTGCTAAATATTTAATGACATGGGGAATGCTTATGCTATGTTAAGTGAAAAAAAATCAAAATGAAAAACCTGTACGTATGAAGTTACTTTCTAAAAACTTTTATTTATTTATTTATTTATTTTTGAGACGGAGTCTGGCTCTGTCGCCCAGGCTGGAGTGCAGTGGCGCAATCTCAGCTCACTGCAAGCTCCGCCTCCCGGGTTCACGCCCCTCTCTTGCCTCAGCCTCCCGAGTAGCTGGGACCACAGGCGCCCACCACCGCGCCCGGCTAATTTTTTGTGTTTTTAGTAGAGACGGGGTTTCATCATGTTAGCCAGGATGGTCTCGATCTCCTGACCTCTGGATCTGCCCGCCTCGGCCTCCCAAAGTGCTGGGATTACAGGCGTGAGCCACCGTGCCAGCCCTCTAAAAACGTATTTTTTAATACATGGAGAGAAAATCTAGGAGAAAATCCACTAAAAAGTTAAAAGAGGTTGTCTCTGGTGATGGGATTTATTTTTTGTTTATACTTTGCTCTATTTCCCAATTTTCTATGCTGAGTATATTTTTTTATTTTACTTTTGCCACATCAACATGTGAAAATGCTTTTGAGTTTAGCAATGCAGTGCATTAGAAAGGAAACAGTGTATATAGAAGAATTTCTGAAAACAAGTCTCTGTAAGTAAGACGACAACATGGGTGAGACCATAGGGACATTCTACGAGTTCAACAAATCCTCGATGGATTCATTGATTCACAGTTATTTACCTTATTATGTCAAAACCTCTGGCTTACACTGAGTTGTTCTCTTCCTCTTCATTAAGAAGACATTTTCAAATATGCTTTAATAAAATGATAGCATTTTCTAATTGGGTATTACCCTTAGAATTTAAAAACATAGTAAAATTAAATCTTCAAAGCAGATGAAATAGAAAAAAAAAATCGTTGCCCCGTTTTCCAGCGTTTTCTTGGCGGCCCCTTGCGTCTCCAGACAGGCTCTGCTGCAGGGTGTGTTGGGGTGGGGAACCCTGGGCGCCTGGTTCTCGGTCTCTGCAGATCAAGACTAGGTCATCCAGTGGAGCCCCGTGGGTCTCAGATTTCAGAAAAGTCCTTTTGCTCGGCTGAGGTCATTTCACCGCCCGGAAGGGAGGGCTGTGCAGGGACCCCGGCCACAGGACGCACAGTGAGAGGATGCTTCGGCTTTTCTCAGGCTTGGAGCCCGAAAGCCGAGGTCATGAGATGCTGCAGCGAGGCCAAGAGCATCCAATTTGGGGAAACTGCTCTTCAGGGAAGTGTTTGGGTGTGTTTGCTTTGGGAGATTCCTCTTAATGGAGGATTTGATGACTCGAGTAGAGAAGCTGCAGTAGTCAGGCTGATGCTGAGCAGCGTTAAGGAGGTCAATGTCACACGTCTGGGAGAATCCACAGGGAGAGCCAGGGGCCTGTGGCCGGGGAAGACCTGGGATGCCAGCGGGGTAGCTGGGAGGGTCGAGTAACTGAGGGCGTCTCTTGCTAAAACCAGTACCATGAATCCTATGAGGTCTGGATATTATTAAAGTGTCAGGCTGACATGGTGTTAAGAGAAAAGGGTGGCAAAAATCCCAGTAGGCAAGCAAGAATGTTTCAAGCAAATTGTCCTTTAAAAAACTTACCAAGCCATATTTTATTTTTTAACGACAATTTTTTTTCTTTATTATGTCTTCTTGAACATTGATTGTTATTGTGTACAGACAGGTCTTTCACATATTTCACAGAGTAATTTCATATTGAATGGTATTGAGTTTTTTCTTTTTTTAATTTTTAATTTTTGTGGGTACCTTGTGGTGCATATATTTATGGGGTACATGAGATGTCTGGATGCAGGCATGCAATGTGAAATAAGCACGTCATGGAGAATGGGGTATCCGTCCCCTCGGGCATTTATCCTTTGAGTTACAAACAACCCAATTACACTCTTTCAGCTATTTTAAAATATACAATTATTATTGACTACACTCACCCCACTGTGCCATCAAAATGCATATTTTTGAATGGACTTTTTTAATACAAATATTTCTCTATGCTTTATTTCTCAGGATCATCTGAAAGCCTATGGGAAACTCTTACCAGTCCACACGTTTGCTTTGCACCTTATTTGAACATTAACTGCTGCAGAATTCCAGTGGTGCCAGGCATTTCGAATATCCTAAACTGGACACTTGCCCTGAAATAATGTAATTGTGCTGCATAAATACTTTTATGCCTGTGAACTCAACTGAGTTAAATATTAACTGTAAAGAGTCCTACAAAATCTTGTAGTTAATAAATGATGTTACAGCTTAATGTTGGTGCTTAGGAACCTTTGAGAGCTTTTTATCTTCATATTTTAAATTCTTAATGATCCCTCCCCCTTTCTTATTAATGCCATTTTGATAAATGAATATTTTTATTCAGGGAGTCCTTACCATTTTCCTCATTCGTTGGAAGAAAAGGGACTCTAGTGAAAGTGAATGCCGCCTCTCTCTCTTTCTCTTTCTCTCCACTCTGCCACTGCCTCTATCTGACTGTGTTCCATTGAAACAACTGGAATCAAATTTTAGCAGGAAAATTCACTTGATATGACCACGCAGCTACACGCTTCCCCGTACCAAGCTCTTACTGTAGTGAGCACCCTGTGTGTGGATGAGTGTGTACCACACAGCCACACACAGTCGTGGTTGGGGGAACCTCAGAATGTGAGAACAGCTAAGGTCCTCAAGAGATCATTCTAGCCCAAAGCCCTCATTTTCCATGTGAGATAACTGAGGTTCAGAGAAGACAAGTGAGATGGCCAAGGTCTCCAGCAGGCCTGGGGTCACTGTGCAGACTCCGTGCCCTTCTGTTGCACTGTGTGGTGTGGAAGGAGCAGGAACACGTCAGTTTGAATATCAGCCCATTTCCCAACCCCACAGTGGTGCTGGGGTCACCTACCCCCAGGCTGGAGGTGAGTGAGGTAATCTTCCTTACAAGGCTTTCGATGTGCCTCAGTGAAAGCAGATTCCTGGAACTTCGGTGCGGTTACCCGGCCCTGGCCTTCAGGGCCCATCCCGCTGGTACTGGGGTGAGGTGGAGGGGACCCAGTGGGTGGGAGGCAGTAGGCGCTGCCAGTCTCTTGGTGCCTGTTCCTCGGCACAAGTACCACACCATGCTCTGTTAAAAGGAACTTCATAGTGGAATAAGTGTGCGGGCCACAACACATTGTTCAGCTTTGTGTAATTCGGCAGATCTTGGAATGATTGGACCCCACCCACCAACATCCTGCTGAATGAGCATAGTCAGTAACAGCTCAGGAATTGCTACTCCAGACATGGGTGACTAAAAATAAAACCAAACTTCAAGGAAACAAAGCCAAGACTATTCCGTGGCTAGATTCTCGAATGTGGGTCACCTCTCCCTATTCCACTGTCTTCATGGCTGAGAGGGGCTGCTGGCCCAGTTCATGCTCCTTTGACCCCAAGCCCATAGTGATCTCCACCCCAAGATCTGTTCTTGGTTCTTCTTTGAACCTGACTTCACCTGGGGCACCACATTCAGTGGGTACTTTCTGGGACGTTTCCCACGCCCACCCCTGGAGACCTCACCTGCTGACCTTGAAGGTACAGCTCAGACCTCTTGAGGCAGCGCCTGGAACTGAGCCTGGCGTAAACATCATGATTGTGCTCCCCATGAACAAGAGCTCCTCTCACAGCTCCCTCCCTCCTCAGTGAGGGATGCTTCCCAGCAAAGTGACAGGCACACCAGCTTGGCTCCTGCCACACTTGACCTGGATGAATGCATGTCAGTGTCCAGACAATGGTTCAGATTTTACAAAATCTGATCAGGTGGAAGCCCTGAGTTCATTTTATGTTCGTCCGATGTAGCTGTTTTGATTCTTCCCTTTTCTTTTTCTGTTTTATTTTTTTTTCTTTGTGCCTTAACACTTCAAGACAGCTTAGGTCACTTAAAGTTCTAAAGTCAACATAAGTCCTCTGGAGCATATCCAGTACAAAAGCAGAGAGAGAGCTGGACTCCTTTTCAATAAGGACCAAAGGACTTACCCACCCAGCATGCGGGTATCTTTAGGCTGCTAAAAGGTATTTTCTGTGGTCATCGACTCTATAAGCTGGGCTCTTCCTACTTTTATAAAAACAAGGACAACTGTCCCATTAGCTTAATGAACTGGGCTGTGTGATTCACTAGACTGAAATTGTGAAATTCAACACATCCCCCTGGAAACCATCGGTGTGCCCTCTAAAGCGCTGCCCACTGTTGCTTAGGGA
Organism: Homo sapiens; assembly: GCF_000001405.40. NCBI lineage: Eukaryota > Metazoa > Chordata > Mammalia > Primates > Hominidae > Homo > Homo sapiens. Next base: position 127,577,796 of record NC_000010.11, on the reverse strand, counting down.
ATGGCAAGCATATGCTTTTTTCAGGTCATCTTTACTCTGTTAACGACTGAAGAATGACAAGCAGTTATGAGGTGCTATTAATTTTTATGAAAAGAGAAAACAATTACTTTTAATAGAAATTGGGATCCCTTTTTAAATGAAGAAAAAAAGACTGCTTATTCTAGTCAATAAAAAAGTAGACGAAACCATTTATTAACCAGTTGGTGGCAGTGTTTTCATTAAGAAAAGATATTATGCACACTTTACTTCTGATTCATTTTATCAAATGTTTAAGAGGATGGACTTTAGGTATTTCTCACTAATATGCTTAAAATTCCAGCAATATTTGCAACTTCCAACAGGATTTGGAATTCCAATGGGAAACAGAGTTTTTAAGAGTTCCTGAGTAAGTTTCTACCTCCAGGAAATTACATAAAGTACATGATGCGAAATTTCAATCTTTGTTATATTTTCTATTGCTAGCCTCTTTGCTAAGGTTTATAGAAATGGTAAACAGCACTGCTTGGCTGGGAACACGCTTCTGTTGATTGGTTTACAAGTTGACTTGAGCTATACGGATAAGATGCGCTTTTAACAGGTTAACAGTTCCTCTTTCCTGTGTTCTATCAAAGAGGAGAAAGGAAGTCATATTCAGCTCTCTTCTCTAAAATTATCCAACGAGTGCTTTTCTCACTCACTCCCTGCAGACAAGGAAGTCTGCCTGCAGGGAAGGGAGTCATACGTCACAGACAAGCAGAGCACCCCGAGGTTTATTTCTGTAACAGAGTCACGTGACAACATCCTTGCCAACATGTAAATTCCATTACGCCAAAAGAGATTGCCAATCAGGTGTGGGAATAACGTTGTCCTCCTACTGAAAGGCACCAAAAATATCCACAGCCTTGACCTCTCCATCTGGGAATATGATTTTACTCCTTCTCCAAGGGACTGAACCCTCCCACTCATGTGCTGCTGGCACCATCTGGACTGTCTCCATCTGGGAATTGGATCCTAAGCCCACACAGATGTACTCAAAGCCAATGTCTCTACCCAGTAGATACTCTGACCTCTTGGCCCAGGGGGAGACACAGAGCAGCACAAAGTAATTTGTCAGAGTCTGTATTTTTCCCTCCTCATCCAGAACCTGTGCCTTCTTACTCTCCCTGGGATTTGAATTGTGTTATTTTGTGTTCAGAGTTTTATTTCCAAGGGTATGTTGTTCTAACTGGCATTGCATTTGGGATGATCTTTACCAATTAGTATGGCAAAACTCCCTTGCCCTTCCCTGCTGCCTCCAAGATGCACAGCCCTCCAGGCCCATACAGATGAAGGATTGGGGTCACCTAACTGAGGGCTGCACAGCAAATTTACAGGAAAATGAAACTGGCAGCCTTGGATGCAGTTTTCAGTTCATGAAAACTATTGTATGTGAATGAAATGCACATTGTTGATTTAATCAAGTGGGAATGCATAGCCTGCCCTAAGAACAGGAGCAGTCTGGCCAAGGGAAATGGGCCTTGAACACTTTTTTATCAGGTGATTACTCCAATCGTCACATTGGCCAGCCTCCTAGAAGCTTGCAAAGATGACTAACTAAGCCTAATGTGTATAAGACAAGCTGTCACAAAGGGCTTTGTGGCAAGGCCTTCTGAGAGATCTAAGCATCCAGTATCCTCCACCACCCACACAAGGCCACCCGAAGTTTCCAATGCCCTTGGCTGGGACTTTTGCCAATGACCTGGGACACTCATGTCTTTACGGATGCTGGTGCCTGGAAGACACTTAGCATTTGACCTGCAAGTGGGGTAATTGAGTCTTAGCTTCAAACCGTTGAGCAGCAGGTCAGGGGGGCATTGCAGGGCAGAGTAGCTGTTTTTTCAAAAGCTTGAAAGACTGTCAAGCTTCAAAGAAAGGGGTTAATGTCAATGAATGGCCAATTCCCACTCAGTATAAGGAACAATTCCAACTGCTCCTGATAGTACACAAGTGAGAACATTCATAAATGTGGTACCAGAATGATTCAGGTTCAAATCTTCACTTTCCTACTTCCCAGCTGGATGACCTTGAGGTTATTTAACCCCTCTGGTCATCTCTTTCACCTGCTCATTCTGTTCCTCAGAATTGTTATGGTGGTCAAGTTCAAATGCATGTGATGGGTCCCAATTTGAACTGTAAATATTGTCACCTGAAGTGGGCATCATTTTTAAGAAGCAGAGCCAGTGGTTACCAAGGTTATTAGCAAGGGAATTCATAGGGTAATAATAGTTTCATTCATTATTCATTGAACTGTATTGTTCATTTACATGATTTCAGATAATCCTCTCAAGAACCTCTGAAAGAATGTTGGAATTCTCATAGGTAAGGAAAGTGGGGCTTAGAGATGTGAAGTAAATTGCCCAGATGACTGGCATCCCTGAAACTGGAACCCACATCTATGGGGGCTCTTATCTTCTCTGGGTCCCCCATACACCCCGCTTAGTCAAGGGAAAAGGTTATTCCCAGTGATTCCAATAGGGTTCACTGCAATGCAGAATAGAAAGAAAATGGAAGAGAAGTGTGCACATCTTCCTATAAGTCTCCACCCACTGAAATCTGGTCACACCAGGAGATCAGCAGTAGTTTAAAGGTTGTTTGCCTCTTACTCTTTGACAGAGCTGCCCTGCTCCTTTCTGTACATAGCAGCTAAACCTGTAAGTGTATAATGCTTGAGAAGATCAAAGGGTTGTCTTCTAAAATACGCTCTAAATAGCTATTAAATTCTACTTTAATCTGAAGTATAAATTCTACAAACACAGCTGTGATCTCCCAAGTGTATCATGAATGTCTGAACAGCTGGGCAAAAGCTGCACTGGTGTAAATGGACTTGTCTCAGACATGTCTGTCACAGCCCAGCATGAATTGGAAAAATTTTCCTGTGATATTCCTTTGGTTTGTTAATAAATGATTACAGGCAGACTGAGAGTGATCTAAACCCTACAATTAGTGTTGTGAAGACAGGAGAAAATGTGCCTATGTACACATTGCAGATCAAATTGTGCACTCTGAAAACCCTGCTGCCTAAAGTTCAGAATCCTATACATGATCAAGACCAGGTATCAATCAGCCAAAACATCATCTGCTCAGAAAAAAGAATCTGTGCACCCTCTTTTTCCTTCTCTTGTGTTTCATTCTTTCCATTTCTCCCACTTCTCCCTTCCTGTCTTCCACCCTTCATCCCCTCGTCCTTTTCCTCTGCTTGTCAGTTAGTTTTTAGTTTTATCAAACTTACACATGTATATAAGTTAAAGAGCCAATTAATCATACACATTTCCTTACTCCTCCTTCCCCTTCCCAGAAGCAATCACTTTCAACACCTTCAGCTGATTATTTTATCACCTCCATATCTCCAAAAATATGCCTGTATTCCTTCTTTATTTTTCTGTTTCAGACATTATAGGGTTAAGTCATCATTTTCGTGAGATCAACAGTTGTTTACATATTGTGACTTTGTAACATCAGACACAGGGACACCATATAGTAAGCTAAGAGTACTCGTCTTTTCCTGCACAACTTTTGCTTTCTCTGGAGTTAATACATTTATCTCTTTAATTTGATGAATTGTCTATGTACTCATCCTTAATCCAACAACAAAAGCTTCATTAGTGGAATAATCTCCTCTTAAGACATGCAGACACATCTGGATCTTTGTCTGTTTAGTCTTCCTGAAGAAACCTCTCTCAGAGCTTTCCAAGCCACTCCAGTCTGAATCAGTCAACCTGTAAGCTTGGGGCAAAGCTGTCCCCTAGAATCACCCTTCAGAATTATTTGCAGGGTTCCTCCATTTATCTTTTGTCTTCATCACACGCTCTTTTATTCCTATGTCACTTTCTTGATCTATACTCCATTTTGGTGTGAAGCACATCCATCTACAGACTCCTGAGAAAAGGTGCATGAGAAGTGCATCTTTGAGACAGTGCTTGCCTGAAAATATCTTTATTTCACTCCCACAATTTCCTTCAGAATTACAAAGATCTCATGCAATTGGCTCTCAGCTATACATGAGTGTTATTGAGAAGACGGAAGCCTTTCTGATTCTGGATCTGCATGTGACTTTTTTTTTTAACTTACAGAAGCTTATAGATAGGGTCTTCTTTTTCTTCCTGAATGTTCTGAAATTTTATGATACATGAATAGATTTGGTGAGGCCTATTTTCAACTATTATGTTACATGTTTGGCAAGCTCTTTTAAACTAGAGACTGATGTTCTTCCATTATTGGAAATTTTCTTGCATTATTTCATTGATTATTTCTTTCCATGTGTTCTCTCTTTTTGGAACCACTATTTCCATATTATTTAAATGTTGAACCTCCTAGACTTGTCCACTAATTATTTTCTTCTATTTTGTATTTTTTAAATCTTTTGTTCTGCTCTCTGGAAGACTCCCTTGACTTATGTTTCAAACTTTCTAATGACTTGTGATCTCTATTGTGATGTTTTTTATTCCCAATAATGTTTTGTTGTTGTTGCTGTTCTTTGAATATTCCTTTTCTATAGTGTCCAGTTCTTATTTCATGGTTTCATTATATCCTCTTATCCGTGTAAGGATATTACTGATAGTTTTTTGATGTTGCTTTGGTCCAGTTTGGTTTTGATGTTGTCGTATTCCTCTTCCTGTATAGTTCTATTTCCTAAAAGTTGCTTTTTTTAAATGTGTAAATGTTCTATCTTCCATGCTAGAGGCTTTCCTCAGATGTCCCTTAATATTTGTTTGTCTTCTCCTATTAAGTAGAATGCACTGCAGAGCTGGCCATGAGCTCTAAACACATTAGGTGGAGGTTTTCTTCTATGTGCCTCATTGCTAAGTGGGATGGATGACTGATCAGCTGGGGAACCTCCAGTGTTAGCATCTTTGTGTCTTTCCTTCGGGTGGCCAAATAACCAAGGCAAGAATCTCCAAATCTTATGACTGGAGGGTGAAGTGCCAGCCTTGTGGGAACTGAGTGAAGATAGAGGGTTGAAAGAGATTCTCAGCACCCAGGATGTCCATATTCACCTGACCTCTAAGTTCTCAGTAGAGTATCTCTGCATTCAATTATACCTAGTTCCTCCAGTCCAGAAACCCTCTTTTTTATTATTGACAAAGAATAAACTTCCAGTCTTGTATCATGCAATGGGCACAGGGGAAAGTAGTCACCTAGAACGAAGGAGGGAATCTGGGGTCTGATTGCTTCTTAAACCAACTTCTGAAAATACTCCTTATTTTAGTCATCCACTTTAACCCTACTTCCAGAGGTATCCAATGCCACTAAATATTAAGTCTTTTGAGGTATAAATCATCTTTTTTTTTTTTTTTGAAATGGAGTCTCTCTCTGTCACCCAAGCTGGAGTGCAGTGGTGCAATCTTGGTTCACTGCAACATCTGCCTCCTGGGTTCAAGAAATTCTTGTGCCTCAGCCTCCTGAGTAACTAGGATTACAGGCAGGTGCCACAACTCCCAGCTAATTTTTGTATTTTTGGAAGAGACGGGTTTTGCCATGTTGGCCAGGCTGGTCTTGAACTCCCGGCCTCAAGTGATCCACCTACCTTGGCCTCCCAAAATACTGGGATTACAGGCATGAACCACCATGTCTGGCCAAATCATCTTAATTCTCAGTTTTTTCCATTGCCAGTTTAGGATTAAGTTTTCCAGGATCTGATAGGTAATTTACCCCTTTTCTATCTTTTTTGTTCCTTTCAAAATTTTATTGCTGTTGTTTCCTGCCTCATTCTCCTTATCCTTTAGGTTTATTCTTGTTTTAAACATCCTTTTATTATTATTTTAGTGGAGCTTCTGGAGGCTATAAACATAGATGTATATGTTCTATCTTCCACCTTTAGTGGAAAGTCAGCCAAGATTTCCCTTTAACAGTTGAAGTCATGAGAAATCATTTGTTTATATCTACCTCTAATATGTATTAATGTTTAAACTCATTTTCTCTTGTCCCATTTTCCATGATGATGAAAGACAGCTAATCAATGATTTCCTTATGCACATTTTCAAGTACTCCATTAAGGCACCATTAAACATAAATAGAAGTGACTCCTCTTTTTCATTAAGAATCATCTTAACTTTTAATTTGTGCTTAAGTGCAGTTTACAATCCATTGTGATTCCTTAGATATTTTTTAGTTCTACTTATTCCTAGTTAGTCACTTCTTAAAGCAAGGTTTAAGTAAGTAAATAATTTATTCGTTTAATCAGTAAGTATTTATTATTTTCCAGTCACTGTGTTAAGTACAGAAATAGCAACAGGGAATTAGACAAATATGTCTTGTGCACAGGGACCTTATTTCCTGTTCTAGTGGAGCTTAAATTCTAGTAGTCATTCTCTAAACTGATTATTAAAATTTGGCATAGCATATGTTTTTCTGACTGGCTATTTCTTTAGTGTTTGCTGTCACTTTGAACTCTTTTTTGAAGTTCTCTTATGCAGTGTAAGGATCCCATTAACATGTCAAAAAATTCTCACAGAGAAAAGTAATTGTTTTGGATGTCATTATTTGGGGGGAAGATTAGATTTTGGTTTCCATCAGTTTGGTATGAAAACTTCACTGGTCCTCTTGGCACATTAGTTATATTTACATTAATATGGAAATTCCACTTCACAAAGCTTATTTCCCAAGTTCTAATAGTTACATAATAGAAGAAGCATCTCCTTATATTATTTTATCATCTTTAATTACAGTTTTCAAAAAACATTTTATGTAATGTATTTATATTGGCTTGCCACTAAAAACTATGTTAAGACATTTATGTATTTATAGGAACCATGTTTGGGACATGGTTATTATAAGGACATATAATAAAAATTGAGAATACAGTGTATGAAAAAATCCATTGCAAGTGCTATATTTTGCATTTTGCTATATTTTTGCAGGCTAGAAAACTGGCATAAAACTTGCACCTAGCAAGAAATATGTGAACCATATTGAAATTTAGAAATAAATGTGTCCTTATGAGGTTTTGGTGGATATATTTAGCTGTAACATTGCCCCAGGATTTCCTAATCGCCCCATGGAAGTGACTACCCATGCCTAATGTGCCTAATGTTCTGCATGGCCTGGAATCCAGGTACAGCCATATTCCCTGAAGCAAGCAATGCTGGGTGCTGCCTCCTCTCCCTGAAAATATGCTTTTTTTAAGGAAAGATGGCCCACCCAGGGGTCATTGTGAAGGTGATACCCACCATCTCCTGTCACTCAGGCCACCTGTCCTATTCCAAAAAGCTAAGGGAAGGTGGTTAGACATCAAGAATGATCAATCCTGAAGACCCAGTCCAGTCCACATGACATTCTAGCAACAGGCAGACGTATTTATCTTTCCTACCGATTCTTCCTGGTGTTTAAATGTTTTATAGACTCTCTGGAAGACACAGAGAAAGCCTGTCTTTGAAGAGAAGTCCAGTGGACACTTCACCCTCAGTGGACTTCCATGGGATTGTCTTCCATGAATGGCTCCCTCCTGAGGCTGATCCTCCACATCATGGTTCTGTGGTTGTGATTCATAAATGAGATTCATATGTAATGAGACTTAGCATGCCATACACTGTGTTCACACAGAAGGGTCTTTCCTGGCCACAGTTGATTGAGCCAGGAGAGAGTGCCCGCCTGGAGCCTGGCCAGTCAGAATCCTTCCACCAGAGTTTCCCAAATACCAGGGACTCAGAGCACAGGTTTCCTTCTCAGGGAGTTTCCTTCTCCCTGAGCCGCTGAAGCTGTTAGATGAGCACAAGGTATCCCCAGGTCCAGCTACACGAAGGAAGCTGTTCTGTTGAGTGGGAGAAGAGAGAAGCCAACAGAGAGAGAATGGAGGAGAACTTTCCAGACAGAGTCTGGCTGAAGCTGGGCCTGAGATCAGTGGCTTCTGAGGCCCGACCACACTCCTTCCTCCATGTCTGAGAACATGCTCTGTGTTTCAGAAACTCCATTGAACTTGGCTCTCGCCACCTGCCATTGAAGGAGTCTTGACCGATAGCCCACCCCAGCCCAACACATGCTGTTTGGTCTTCCTTAGAACCAGATGTTGCTTATTTCCTGTGGTTCTTCCTCAAGCACATTGAGCCAAAAGCTTCTCAAAAACTGTTCTGTTTCCAGAGTTCACATCAAGTGATATTTCAAATTAGAATAAAGAAGGGGAGACAAAAGAAAAAGAGAGAGTCTACTGGGATCAAAGTTGCTTTGAAATACACAGGAAACATCTCTCTGAGCCAGCAACAATGAGAGTCCAACTGGCATGTGTGGTCAAGCCACCCTCGGAGGGGATGCTTCTCCCTCTGCTTGTAAGAGAGTCCCTTTTTGGAGCATGGAGCCAAATGAGGGTGAGTTGTCACATTTCTTTCTTTATTGGTTCACTTACTCAGCTCATGCACTATTTTAATATGCCTCCTACTCAGCGCCAACTGCTGACGGACAGGGATTCATCTTCTTCTTCTCCCCCATCTCCTCCTTCTTCTTTGAATACTGTGATATAGAGTAGAGGAGGCGCACAACAGATCCTTGTACATGAGTAGATCAACTGTCTTCCTTCATCAAGGAACTGGTTACCATGCAACAAGCCAAATGTATCTCTTGATGCTCCCTAATGAAAAACCTTTATGCCTATATCTGAGGAACAAGAATTATGATGTCTTGATGTTTCTCCTGCACCAAATCCCCAAACCTACCCCAAACCAGCTTGAGAGGGCTGTGGCTACAATTTCACAAAGGTTGGAATTATGGATTGTGTGCTCACAAAGAAGTGTTATGAGTGTCAACAAGACTTGGGGTTAATAATAGTGCAATATGCTTACTTTTTTAGTGTAAATATTTTCTGCAAACTTGAGCACCATTCTAAAATTAAACGTGGAAAAAGAAACGTGCACATAACTTAAGCAAAGAAAATTTAGCTGAAAGTAAACAGACATCCCACACAACCACTCTACTATAAGAATTCTAAAACCTTATGATTTTTAAAAATATGTAGTTTAAATCTTACAATTGCTTTCCTTCCTTCCAGCAACTGAATATCTTACTATAGATGAGAGGAGGAAAGTGGGAATGGAATAGATTTTTCTAATCTATTAAAAAAATTTTTAGCATACCTTGTTCCAACATCTGTCTCAGACCATTTCACCAAGTAGAAAGACTTTCTTTTCTCTCATTAAACCAAATTATATTTTGAAAATTTAAAAGCTTTTAACAGTGTTTTCTTCATGAAAATACACAGATGGAGGGGTCTCATAATGGCAAGTGATTTTCCAAGCCAGGGCTATTTAAAATATATAATCATCAAATAAAGTCATCAGATTTGCACCTGGGAGTAGCTGCTTCCAGTAAAATATGCTCCTTGACTGTCTGGGGTCCTAATGAAAAGTCCTGGATTTTCTCTTGGGCTATGCAGTATTAGAGCCTGGTGCAAAGCAGAATGAGAGAAAAATACAGAGGTGACTACAGTCAGCAAGTAAGGCCAATTTCCAATTTCCATCATTTAGGATTATAACTACAAAATGGTAAATATCCAAATGAGTCCCTAATTTGTTAGTGGAGTGTTTATAGAGCTACTGAGTCATTCAACTGGAATTACGTAAGACACCATTTGAGAATTATATTTCTTGTCATATTTTATGTTGACTCCTGTGTGTGATGTTGGGAGTGTGAAACACAGAGCACAAGCCAAGCATGGTGGCTCATGCCTGTAATCCTAGCACTTTGGGAGGCTGAAGTGGGCAGATCACTTGAGGCCAGGAGTTCAAGACCAGCCTGGCCAACATAGCAAAACCCTGTCCCCACTAAAAATACAAAAAAAAAAAATTAGTGGGGTGCGGTGGTGTACACCTGTAATCCCAGCTACTCGGGAGGCTGAGGCACGAGAATTGCTTGAGCCCAGGAGGTGGGGATTACAGTGAGCCGAGATTGCACCACTGCACTCCAACCCGGCCAACAGAGCAAGACCCTGTCTCAAGAAAAAGAAAAAGAAAGTAAGAAACACAAAGCATACCTCTATATCACAAGCAGACAGGCAAGGTCATGGCCATGGAGTCAAGACACTAAACTGTTGGATCTCAGGAAGGTCAATAACTAGAGTCCCCAAAAGAGAGACCTAACATGGTTTCCAGGACTGTGATGCTGCTGCTGCTGCTGCTACTGCTGATGGTGATTCAGGGGATGGGGGGAGTGCTATGCCAAGAATAATGCTAAAAGTAGCAATTTTTTCAGTACTTACTGAGTATCAGGCTCCGTACTGAGTACTGTATGTGTATTACCTCGTTTAATCTTTACAAAACCCTGTAAAACCGTTATTGTTATTCAGGACATTTTACAGAGTAAGGACATAATTCCTAGATAAGTAAGTAACTTGCCTAAGGCAACCAGCTAGTGAATGGTGAGCTGGGAGTACTCCTAGGTCTATAATGCCAGTGCCCATGACCCTGATGGGGATTGGATAGCAACCAATGCATTCCAGTCCCACCTGATTTTGCTCATTGATCTGAGGCCAGGAGCCCAGGGAGATCTGCCTACCCACCCTTGATTTGCAATGTGGCTGTGTCTGTTTCTTAAGTAAAGTGCAGTTGTACTTTAACTGGAATCTTGCAAATATCTGTTCTTCCGACCTGATACAATTTGCTGCTTCTGAAATGGTAAACTTAAGCAGAGCTTGGAAATAGGATAATGAGTTAAACCTTCCAAAAGTTATTATAAAAAAATTGAATGTAGCGTTTAAAATTAATTATTTTGAGGAGTTACTAGTGAAAGCATAATATCAATGGTAACACTGGTCCTTTGCAAAATTCTTTCATAATTTGGAACTTCTGGGATCGTGGACAAGACAGTTCATATTCTCAGTGGTAAGTTTATGCATGATCTTTTTGAAATATAACATATCATCTGTAAGTCAGAAAACAGAGAAGTTCTTATCCCGAGAACCTACAGAGCATGGATTAATAATTAAGAGTATGTCCCTGGTTTATTTCTATGGAGCTCAGTTTTATCAACTGTAAAAACTGAAATTACAGCATCTTCTTTCCCTACATCACAGAATTATAAGGATCAATTCAGATATCGATGTGAAAGCTTTTTGAGATATAAAAAGAAAAAAGCCTTATCCAAATGGAAGTGATTTTTTTCATGGTTATCACCACAAAATAAAACAAAAGAATTTTTAAAGCCTCATTCAACTCCTACTCCTGTCCTCTGGTATATCATCTTTTTTCGTGCTTATTGGCAGGATTTTATAACCAAAGATGCCACTGCCTTTATTCACCCTCCCTGCTCCCAATTTATGTGAGAGAGCTAGTCAGTACACATTTCGGATGGAGGGTAATTCAGAACCTTCTCATACCCACATGCCCCGGAAGCTAAGGAAAGGAAGTCTCCCACATAACAAGAGGGCAAATTTATACTAATTGTGCTTGTTGAAAGTTTTATGTAATACTTCCCGTAAAATAACACTCTAAGGCAGGTGCGTTGGGCAACTGAAATGCTGTGGCCAAATTATTAGAGAACATTAAAGTTGTTTAGTAGAAACCAAGACATTGGAGAAAGCACACTGACATCTGACTTCAATGGAAAGAAAGAACAATAAGGCTCCTGCTTAAGCATCCAAGCAGCCAAGGTGAACAGTGTACTGTAGAAGCATTCGTTAGCAAACTGCAGAAAACTCCACTCAAAGCTGTTTAAATAAGAAGAGAATTTATTGGATCACATCAAGTGAAGGGCTAGGGTGGATATGGCTTCCGGCATGATGGACTCCAGAGCCCCAGAATTTGTCTCCAGGGACTTGTGTCTCCCCGAATATCTGTATCCCGCAATACTATTGAAAGTTTTCCCTTGCTGTGGAAAAATGGCTACCAACAGCCCCAAGACCATGGAAGAAAGGAGTTTTCCTTCTAGGCGGATTCAGCAAAAGTCTGGGCTCCACGTGATCATCCCTGCACCCATCCCTGTAGAAGGGAGCTTAGTAGGCTGACCAGCTGCACCTTGGTCACATGGCCACCCCTGGAATTGAGGCCAAGCCCAGAGAAACCACAGGGCCAAGAGTACAGGAATGTGGGTCCTTGACGTGCAATCTTTTATTACCAGAAGGGGGAATGGATACTAGGTGGTGACAAACAGCTAGCATCTACTGTGCAAACCTGGAGAAAGCATAAGGACATCACGACCAGCTCACTTCATGACACCTCCTTCTTAACTTCCACAAATGAAGTCTAAATCCTGGACTTTGTGATTAAATATCAGGCCTGTTCCTGTCCTTAATGGAGAACCCATCTCATCAGCTGTGTCCCCACCCATATCCCCAGCATCGTCCAGTGTCTTCTCTTGAAAACCAGAGGAAACCTGCAATTAAAAGAATTTTTAAAACTTTTAAAAAATCCACAGAGATGCACCCTCTCCCTTTGGACAGTATTTTATATTATTAAAAGAGATGCTCCACTCACTATCCTGGCCTGAGGTGCTTGCCTTTGAATTTGTGTTCACTCAATATCTGCAGCAATGCAGAGGACACAGAGTGACTGCTTGGCCTACACTGGTGGTCAGAAGGGCTTGGTTCTTCCGGGAACCAAGAAAGAGTCCACACCAAAGCTTTGTTCCTCTCTTGAGTGCTGAGAAGCAAAATTCTAGCAGTTCTTTTCTGTGTCTGGTAATCAGCAATGCACTGCACCCTGCTACCCAATCGAGATGAATGCTGGGGACAGGGAGGAAAGTCGGGCATTTTTATCTGGTTTTTAAACCTTCCTTTTGGCAGATGAAGAGCTGAGATTGCAGCCCCATTGTTTCAATCCTGGACAACCAGCAGCCCATAGTGAAAGTACAGTTTGTGTCTCCAAAACGATACAATATGGGGTAGGGAGAAAATAGAGCCAAGAAACTCAAAGCTAGAGGAAAATTAATTTAAGCTCGGTGTTTCACAGATGAGGAAATTGAGCATAAATTGTGCAATGACTTGGGCAAAGTTCTGCAGCTAATCAGATGAATAAACAAGGCTAAAAGGTCTATTTGGGAAGGCATAATAAGCGCTTATACATAGAAAGCCCTCAATATGTGAAAACAGGATTTGGAGGCAAGTACAGCTGGGTTGAAGTCTCCTCTGTGTTTTAGCTGTGTGGCTTGGGCAATTTAATGGACTTCTCTATGCTTAAATGAGATAACACTACCTGTGTCATACTATTGTCGTAAGGATTCAGAATGCTTACCAAAATACTTGCCATTAGTAAGCACTCAAAAGTGCATGATTATTCTGGAATTTTACTTTTAGAAAGGAGGAAAAGAAGGAAAGAAGGGAGAAAGGAAGACACAAAGTGGTCACTTTAGAAAATCAAATAAATCAGAGAATTTCTTCACATACTTAGAAAGTAAAACGAACAAAAGATAAAAGCCTAAAGAAGATAATAGAATAAGATTAAAATAGACCTGGCAGGCCTAAGTAAAGATAACCAAGAGAAAAACAGCGCCTTTGCAGAAATCCCAAATGTTTTAGAAGCTGCAGTTACCAGAAGCGACACTGCAGAAACCAATTGAATAACATTCAGGACAAGACTGAAAAGTCACAGATAACATAGAGGCAGAAGACAAAGAAACAAAAAAATGACAGAGAAAATTACTGTTCGGGGGCCGGACATTTAAGCCTCCCAAACTGTCTGGGCTGCACACCTCTGGGCCCCCTGGGGAGACTCAGCAGGGAGGCTGCGCTGCCCCCTAGTGGAGACAGCCTGCATCAGGGGCTGCAGCCACACACACGGTACAACCAACACACACACCTGGCACCAGGTCAGGGCCTCAGGCATTTCTCCTAATACCACAAGCTTAGGTTTACATCTGCATCCAACCCCCTTCTCCTCCCATGACCTCCAGACTCACATGAAGAATCATGGCTGGGGCTAGGACTATGACTGTCCAGCAGCTGCCAGAGGGCCCAGGTAACACATCCCAGTATGAAGGAGTAGGTGGTGAACCCTGTGGCAAACTTGGATGGAAAGGAGCAAGCAGACAAATGTGACCAAAGACTTGGTGACAGATGATTTGTATCTCCACCCGCTGCCTGGTGAACTGTTCCAGGACACAGTGGTTCCTGAAGCCGCGGAACACCAGCTGTCTTCTATGGATGTGAGACCAGCTCAGGAATGCACCTTGCTTTTGCTTTGCCTCTTCCTTTGCTTCTCTCACTGCCGTTGTTCTTTCATCCTTGTTGTCCTGGGATTGGATTCCAAAGGGTCGCCATGAAGTTTTGCTCATATTCTGTTTTGGGGTTAATTCAGACTTAGATAATGATCAAAATGTGATGACAATGGAGATGATATTGGGTCCTATGAATTAGAGAATACAATAGAATGGAGAATGGGCCAATGGAACTAATAATAAAAATGCAAGAGAAAAGGACTTTCAAGAAATGTACCATGGCCTAGAATAGTATTAGGGAACAATAAATACTGGGATTAATCCTGGTAAGATTACTAAACTTCAAAACAACTAAAAGAAACATATAAATATTCAATAAGAAGAAACAGGTGGCTCATAAGCAAAAATAAAAAATAAAAGATTGGGTAGAATGTCTCCTCAACAACATAGGATTGCAGGATAAAACGGAGCAATAAAATGTCTATAATATTTTGACAGAAAAAAATGCAAGTCTGAAGATTGTATACTCAAGAAACTGTTATTTACATGAGAAGTCTGCAGAAGGACACTCAAAATATGCAAAAGGGATTAATATTTGAAATGCACTTGATATAATCTCACCCAATAAGTGATACTGTCCTGAAACAGAGATTTAAATAAAACCTTAAAACCTTTTATTATCTTGAAATAGGAACATATTTTATTTCCCATGACCCAATAGCCAGAAACTGTAAAGGAGAAAAAAGAAAGATATTTGCAAGGCAAACACAAACAATGCAAAATATAATTACAAATGTGACAAAAATGCTAATATCCAATTACATAAGGAAGTTTTAACATCAGTAAGAAAAGAAGCCCAACTGAAAAATGGACCAAATACATGAAAAAGCAATTTATAAAATAATTCCAAGTGTGCGTGTGTGTGTGTACAAATATTTGTTCTTACTCATAATGAAAAAGTACATATTCAAACAAGAATGTGATATTGCTTTTTACTTAACATATTGGCAAAATTGAAAAGGATAGACAATGTTCAGTGTTCCTATAGTGATATGACTGTTCTGGGGGGTAAGTTATAGTAAGTGTTGAGATTGTAAATGTGTATAATTGTTGACTGGCTTTCCCACTTCTAGCATTCTATCATTATAAAAGAAGAAGATAGATGTGTAGTAGTATACACTGTAGCAATCTTCCCATTAGCATAGTGCTGTGAATGATCTAAATGTCCATTAATAGATGATAGCTTAATTAAGTATGATATATCCATTCAACTGAATATCATACAGATGTTCAGCACAATGCGGTATTTCAGCATTCTTCGACCTGGAAAGATATCCATCAATATTTTGGATTTCAGAATGAGAATTTTATAATCACTTTTATTTATAAAAAAAAGTATGTGTGTGTGCACACACGCATAGTCCCACCCATATCACACAGGTATCTGAACGCATGAGGGTCGTTCTCTATGGGAAGAGAGATAAGGGTTACATTTTTACTTCTTTGTCCTTTCTTAGTGTAAATTTTCTAACTGTACAACTTTTAAATTTACAGTAAGAGTCATTAATACAACTGCCTTTATTTAAGAAAAAAACTACTTAATCTTTTTATGAAAAAAGATTGTGACTTTCACTGGGGAGTTCCTGTGACGTTGGTCTTGCTGTGTGCCACTTTTACCATATTAGTGTTCCAGAAATAAAGAGCACCCAAATTAGGACAAACAGAGGCTATATATTTAGAACTTCCGTGGCAAGGGTCGGGCATCATCACTTGCATTTGGCAGAGACCTGAAGGCACGCGAGGAGCTGGAAAGTTTCATAGTGAAAAAAGGAATGGCTTCCAGTGTGATATGCTGGCAGGGTGTTGGTGTGGGGAAACTGGAGGTGGAGTCATGTAAAGTAAGACGTCGTATGTGATTGGTTGGAGAACATATTTGGCTTTTTCTGCTGGTTCTGAGTTGGAAGTTGGGGGCGGTGGGTGGGAATTAGGAATGCTGGCAGTCATTGACCATGTCCTGGCTGTTCTGAGCCCATTACTGCAGCGATTGGCTTCCTGAACTGGCTGCTGCAGGCTTGCGGGTGTGCATCATTGTACATGGTCTGACCATTGCCCGTTTGTATATTCATCTCTCAATGCACTGCAATTAATTTACATTATTGGCCACATCATTTCTAAAAAATACAGAATTCTTCCCTTGGGACTCAGCCATACCAGCATCTATATTAGCTTAGCAATATACTCAGAATAATATCTAATCCATATTTCCATTATCAGCAAGTATTATCTGCCTCTATTCTTTACTGATTTAGTTTATAAATATGAGTTATATAGCCAACTTTCGATTCAGCATTAAACTGGAATGTTCATAACACCCCTGCTGTGGCTGGCTGCCATTTATGGAGCACTCACGTGGGATCAAGCACTGGGTTGAGTGCATAGCATGTACTATTTATCTTATCTCTCACTACAGTCCCACTGGGATGTCACTGAGTTCCATTTTACAGATGAGGAAACTGAGGCTTGGAGAGGTCCAGGAACATGGCCACAGTCATGGACCTTGTTAAGTGGAATGCCATTTTAGCTCGGCTATGTCTGACTGTAAAGCCGGAGCTTATAAATCCCAGGAAATGTGAGACCGCGTAAAATGATTTGACCACACATCCGACATCCGGCCTGGGTTACCAAATCCCAGAGAAGCCTGGGAGAGAATGCAATGCACCAGCTCTGAGCTGCAGACCTTTCTTCTTAAAGACTGTAAAGGAATCTTAACCCATAATTCTTTTATATACCTGGAGAGTTTCCATCATGGTTGCAGGAAGCAGGATTCTAGCTAGTGTCATCCTTTGGCAGTGACCGTAATTCACTTTGATAATTACTAACCTGCTTGCCCAAGGATGCACGGAGTCCCATCGTGGACAGGGGAACAAGAGTTACAAACCCCCCGCAGGCTGTCTTCTCCAGTAAAACTTTTAGTGCATTTACTGTTGTAGATGGCAAGACACCACAGATCCATTCTTTACAGAAGAGTTACCTTACCACGTTATATCAGTGTTTACCAAGTGCGTGGGCAGCTTCTTTATAATTTCATAATTTTCTATTTGAACTGGATCCAGTCATTTTCTAATTGCTCCTTTGTTCTTTCCCATGGGAATACATTTCACCATGTGAAATATATCTTGAAAATTTCTAAGACATCTTCGTTTCCCCTCACTGTGTCCTTTTTGCCATTTCTATTTACTTACTCTCCACCCTGTCTCTCCTGTAATCAAATGCAGCCAACTTTTCTTCACCAGCCTGTGCCATTCAAAAATGTTGGGACACTCAAGTAAGATAAAGGCTTCAGACACTGGGCTGGGGACATGTTCATA
This sequence comes from Homo sapiens, assembly GCF_000001405.40. Classification (NCBI taxonomy): domain Eukaryota; kingdom Metazoa; phylum Chordata; class Mammalia; order Primates; family Hominidae; genus Homo; species Homo sapiens. The sequence continues at coordinate 127,560,340 of NC_000010.11, read as the reverse complement.
TACTGGAGTCAGACTGCCTGGGTTCCCAACTTGGCTTTACTGCTCACAAGCTACATGACCCTGGGCAGAGAACTTAATCTCTTTGCACCTAATGGCTTATCTGTGAAATGGGGCTAACAAGAGTATCTACCTAACAGGTATTTTGTTGTATTTTTAGAGTTGTTATGGAAATTGAATGAAACCTTATGTAAACTCTTCAGCCAGTGACTGGCACATAGTAGGACTCCAATAACTCAATTATTTATATGTGTTTAGGCCCTAAAAGAATCTAAGTCTGAGCCTCAAGGTTGTTCCACAGCACGCAGAGACACAGACAAACCCTACGAAGGAGAAGCTTGCTTTCATGTGTGATATGGCTTGGCCGTGTCCCCACCCAAATCTCATCTTGAATTGTAGTTCCCATAATCCCCATGTGTTGTGGGAGGGACCTGGTGGAGATAATTGAATCATGGGGACAGTTTTTCCCATCCTGTTCTCACGATAGTGAGTTAGTTCTCACGAGATCTGACGGTTTCATAAGGGTCTTCCCCCTTCACTGTGCATTCATTCTCCTTCCTGCTGCCCTGTGAAGAAGGACATGTTTGCTTCCCCTTCTGCCATAATTGTAAGTTTCCTAAGGCCCCCCCAACTATGCTGAACTGTGAGTCAATTAACACTCTTACCTTTATGAATTACTCAAACTCTGGTATGTCTTTATTAGCAGTGTAATAACAGGCTAATATAATGCATATACTTGTGGTTTAACACTTCACAGGTTCTTTTTTGCAGACGTTACTCACATACTACTCAAATTTGGTATGGATCTCACTTCTTAGGGCTCTGTTCCAGCATGGGATGGTCCTCTCCCATAGCTGAGGTGGCCATTCATAATGTCAGTGCTGGACAGACTCCACAGTGCCCCCTCCATGGTCCCTATGTCCCTGCGTTCATTCTCTTGTATAAGCCCCTCCTCTTGAGTGTGGGCAGGACTAGTGACTTGATTTTAGCCATTAGAATACAGCAAAGGTGATGAGATGTCACATTCATGATGATGTTACCTAAGATTGCAGCATCCATTTTGCTAGAAGATTCTCCCCCATGGTGGTATTGATGAAGCTGGCAGCCACGGTGGGTACCTATGTGGCAAAGAACTGATGGCAGCCTCTAGGAACCAAGGTGACCTTCTGCCAACAGCCAGCAAAAAAACTGAGGTACTCAGGCTTTAAGCCACAGAGAAATGAGTGCTGCCAACGATCACATGAGTTTGGAAGCAAAATTTCCCCCCAACTGAGGCTTGAGATTATACTGTGAGTAGTTGGACATCACAGATCACAGGGCACCAGCTTTGAAGCCAGGCAGACCTGCCACTTACCAGATATGTGACCACAAGAAAATCACTGCATCTCTGTAAGCTTTGGTTTCCTTGTCTGCACACAGGACTAAGAACATCCTAGTGCCCCTCACATGGCTGTGGAGGGGCAAATGAGACACTATGTGGAAAGCACTTGGTAGAAACTTCAGAACTGTCAAGTAGAAGCTAGGTGAACATTGAAGAGCAGCCTGTTTGTACCCACATGTTGAGCCTCACTTATCTCCTTAGGTTAGATTCCTTGGCAAAGTTTCTCCATAGAGGGCATTAGCTGGATTTAAAACTTGATAGGCAGATGTCAGCCAGGTAGGTGCCAACCAGAGGCTCAGACACACTCTAAACAATGCACAGTGCAAGATGGAACTCACAGGCGCAAAGCCCAGTAGGTGGAACGATCCTGCAGGACTCGGTCTTGGTCTTTGCTATTCTGGAGAGAGATATTTATGCTGCATGGGCTGCATCTGTGGCTCCATCATGGTTTGCGCTCCAGGAGAGGCATCTTGCCTTTCATCTCCCTTTGTGTAAGGCAAGCATGAGAATGACCTTGCAAGCTGGGGACAAACACTGAGCTGGTGGAGTCAACTGCTCAGAAAAGCTGCACACTTGGCTTGGGGGAAGGTGACACTGGGGGAAGCTGACAGGGTGCACAGCCCACATGAAGAGGAGAAGCACAGGTGAGAGTCCATCCCAGACAGCCCCGAGAGAGCCATCACGGTCAACCAAAAGACCATCTTTACCCCATAAAGGAGAAGTCAAGACAAAATCTTCCACCAACAGAGAAGCCTGCCTATTTCCTCACCATGTGAGTGTGTCTGAATATTAACAACGAGGAGTTCAGGAGGGAAAGAGTGGAGAGGAGGCTCCTGGATGCTCACTGTTATTTTCAGATGGGACAAAAGGAGAAATGAGAATATTGAGTGTAGGAACAGGCCTTTAATATCAAATTGCCATATTCTCAGCCTTACTGCATGTGGGAGATGAAATCTAATTGTTTTCAGATTTTCCTTCCTTAAAATGTTGATCTTTTACTGCAAGTACTCAAAGATGAATGGGAATGAATGTTTGGGGTAGAAATTTTATAGTAGACCTCTTTGTTTTTTTTTAAGGATTTAGCATTAGAAATAAATAGCCAACAGAAAAAAATGAGAGGAGCACCCTAAAAAGTCAGGTACAAGAGTAGAGATCTTAAATATTTTATTTTTTTGCTTGAGCTTTAACCCACAGACTTTCCATCCATACTCATGTGTATTAGTCAGAGTTCTCTAGAGGAACAGAACTAATATATATATATATACATGAATTTATTAAGTATTAACTCACAGGATAACAAGGTCCCACAACAGGCTGTCTGCAAGCTAAGGAGCAAACAGAGCCAGTCCAAGTCCCAAAACTGAAAAGTCTGATGTTCAAGGGCAGGAAGCATCCAGCACAGGGGAAAGATGCAGGCTGGGAGGCCAGGCCAGTCTGTCCTTCACATTTTTCTCCCTGTTTTATATTCTAGTCGTGCTGGCATCTGACTAGATGGTGCCCACCCAGGTTAAGGGTGGGTCTGCCTTTCCCAGCCCACCGACTAAAATGTTAATCTCCTTTGGCAGCACCCTCACAGACACACCCAGGGTCAATACTTTGTATCCTTCAATCCAATCAAGTTGACACTCAGTATTAACCATCACAACATGCATCCCTCCAAAAAATAATGGGGGATATTTCTATGATAATCTCAGTAGATATTTGTGAGAACAAAACGTTCCTCATTCGCACATGAAAAATAATCCAGGGGCATGACATTCTAGCCTCAAAACCATTTTCAGACGATGGGCCAGGAATCTGCTCTACTGTCCCAAATCCCCTCAGCACCTTGGAGAGCAGCCGCGTTCCTGTCCCAGGGTCCTGATCCAATCCAGGGCTTCACATCGCCGCTTAATTACTTCTCAGGGCAGAATCGCAAAGCAGGCAAGCAAGGAGAGAATTCGTGTTGCTGGATGTCATTCACACCACGAATCACTCCTACTTTTATTAAAACCTGCTAGGTGTGTATTTTCGTTTTCACTCTTAGGAATTTATGAAAACCAAAAATACATTTGATATGTCATTTCTTTGCTTAAAAACCCTCCAGTGGTTTCCTCTTTCACTCAGAGGAAAAACAAAAGTCCTGCAAGGCCACACAGAAGCCCTCCTACCTGTAAGGTGCCATCTCTCTCCACCCTCACCCTGCTCACTCCAAGCCAGGAAACTGGGATTCTCGCAATTCTCAGCGATCCCTTACCTGAGCGCTGAATCAGAAATCGCATCCCCATCTCCACCTCACAATACTGCAGCTCCCCCTTCCTTGCTGTTTCTCCTTATCACCATCTGAAATACTATGTACACCCACACATATATATATACACACATATATAGGATTATATATTAAATATATATTCTTATTTTCTCTAACTCCATCATGCCATCCCACCCCAATAATTGGGCTCTATTTTCTTCACTGCTGTATTCCCAGTACCGAGAACACAGAAGGTGCTCAATATTTGTCAAACAAATAAATTAATTAGTAAATGAACAATCTTCAGATGTAAGTAATACAGGCCCCATTTTAAGGGTGATTAAGCTTGGGGCTCAAAAGGATTCTAGAAGCTAGAGCAAGGTGGCACCACTGAGTGAACAAGGACCCCAGGATTCAAGTACAGTTCATGTGGCCCAGTGCCTTTGGTATCTGGCCTCCTAAGCTTCCTTTTGCACTCCTCTCCTCCACACCAGCATTCTCTCTCTCCAGGTATCCATGGCCCTCATGAGTTCTTTTCTTTCCTCTCCAATAAAATCTCTCCAGATAGAATATGAAGATCAATCACATTCAGATAGAGTTGGCCAAAATTGACTAAAAGATTATTCATCCCTTGGGATGCTTGCAGTCCAAGGGCTTCCAAAGCTTTGCCCGATGCATCCAAATCTAAAGGTGAAATTCAGGCCCCCAGCAGCACCCCTGGTGTTGGACGGTAGAGGGTCACCAGGGCCCTCTCTCATCACTGCCCCCGTCACCCCAAGCCACTTTCCTACTTGCCAATGCAGGCTTGAGAGCAGGCCTTGCTTTTAAATGCTTTATTCCTAAAACTTTAGCAAGAGGCGCAATTTTTCTTCAGAAAGAAAATACTCCTTCCTACCAGCTTTTCATCGGCTATGATTTTTGGAGTGCAAATAGTTTTTCATAGGCCTTTTCCCCCCTGACGTTAAAATGATATTTTAGCTCTAGAAGTGGGAAGTGAATTTTTCCAATTATGTTTTTGGTGTTTTATTATTCCAGCCAATCCATATAAATGCAAATAATAGAAAATTAGGAAGATTCTCCTGAAATAGCAATCTTTTCTGTACACAAGATGCCCCATTTACACCACACTTAACCATGAGCTTATTAATGAAGTAACTTGTTTTCTACTCCGCAGGAGTAAATAACGCCTATCAGCCTATCTAATTAGCTTCCCTGCCAATAACGTTAGGCAGATAAGAAATGCCAACTTCCCTGACAAGCTTCTGTCAGATTTTCCACATTTTATTGGAATTACTTTGCATGTTACCCTTGAAACCTCACGGAGCTGCAGAGCCCTTTGCCGCATTTGCAGATGCTCCAAGAGAACTCCAGTTTCAGGGCCGAGGGTAAGGAGAGTGGTGCTGCCACTGGCTGATGGCTTAGATTCTTAAAGCCACCTCATAGGAACAAAGGCAGAGGCCATAGCGGCAGAAAACCGAGGGACACAGGATTGCCTGAGTACTTCACTGCATCTGTGTCCACATACATATAGAGAAGTGGGAAACGGAATGATTGTTTGGGGTTAAAAAAGAATTAAAGGTACATCCACTTCAAAGGGTTTTGCTTGTTTCTGATTTCAAATATTTCTTTAAAATCTCAATGACTTCAGCCACTTGTGTGGCCATCAAGCAGGAAGTAACTGGATGTCATTAATGGATAAGGGAAATGCCTTCAGATCCTACTCCAACACCTGGAGCACTGCTGGGCTGATCTCTCATTTCAACACCTGCACAGAAGTCTCCCACCTGCCCCACTCCACACACCCTGGGAACAGAGACAGGGGCCACGGTGCTGCTGAAGGGATGGCAGTGGGCTGGTATGACCTATTATGTGGCTGCTGGTGGGGGAAGATGCCAGGGCCACTGCTAATGTGACCATGATCGAGAAAGGACCAGGCCCATGAGCAGACGAGGGAGCAGCAAAGGAGCAGGTGGAGGACGCCCATCCTGAGCTAGCTCTTCCTCTCCCAGTGAAGCCCGCGCCCTGCATCCCCACCTGCTTGTCCTCGCAGATGCCCAAAGGCCATGTTTGCATCAAGACTCAAGCCCATGACTTTGAAACTAGAAAATCAGCCCATAGCTGCCCCTTCTGTTGTGTGTTCCTGTGAGTGTGTGTGTCTTTAGGGGAACACTGATGTGAAGGAGGTGATCTTAGAAAGAAAATATGAATTTGTTTAAGCAGACTTTCTAAAAAGTATTGAAGGGTATATCTGGCTTTTCTATACATGGAATATCTGCTGAAAGAAGGACCAGACCGGAAGGCCACGTGTGTCCTTTTGGATCCAGGGAACAGTGAGGGTGCAGTGGGTGATGCAGCAGAATGAGCAATGTCCTCCTCTTCTTGCTCTCTCATACCCCTTCTTAGGGGGCTGCCCTGCCACAGCTCATGCTGCAGTCACACACACATGACCCTGTCTGCATCTCTGGCTTCTGCAGAGAGAACCAGCAGTGGATACCTGACCCCAAAGGGAAAACAAAATGCTGGCCCACGGGAGGTGCTGGACCTGATGTTGTGAGGCCCTATAGAGCAACACAAAGCCCCAGGCAGATGGAAGTTATTGGAGAGCAGAAACAAAGGTCTTGCAGACCATCCGGTTTGCAGGGAAGAAAACGTAGCTAGAAGGGCGCAAAGGACCCCGGAGGGCAGGGATGCTGCCTGATGGCTTCTACTTCTACCAAGCTCCTCTGTGCTTCCCAAAATGTGTTTCCCTGAAGTTCCCTGATCCTTAAAATAAATGCTGCTTCCCATAACTTGTATTTGCATGATCTATGTTACTTCATCCCCCAATACTTAGGATGAATCTGTGTAACAAGAGCAGAATAAGCATACACCACAACCATGAAACCACTTGTTTTCATAGAAGTCAGCAACAAATCACAGAAGACCTTTAGGGGCCTCTGTTTCTTTCGGTGGGCACTTGGCACATCACCAACAATATGGCATGTGTAAAGACTGCTTTGTGTAGAAACCGATTTGTTTGTGTGAACCTAGCTGATTACTGTGAGACCAGCTCACCATGAGTACTGTTTTCTGATGTGTTTCTATCTGAAGCTGATGACTAAGGACAGGTCATCCTAAGGCTTCCGCTGCCCCCAGTCTAGGAGCTGTGTGTGGCTTACAGCGAACACCCTTAGTGTGCTGCAGAATCCAATATGCGTGAACAGATTTATTAACATTATGCATTTGAAATAACACGTCAACCAATGTCGCATTATCCTTTTAAAAAAGGAGTGTCAGGAGTTTCAGTGCAAAGAGTGGGCAGTCTTTCCTGGAAGGATGGGGGAAAGGAGAGGGCATTAATCAGCATAGTTTGGGGAACAGGTTTCCAAATGGCTGCCCTGACAACACAGGGCACTCTCAGTCTCTCTGTTGTTGTTGTTACTGGCAGCATTTCTGTGCTTAAAGATTTTAAAAGGCAACAAATTTCCAAGACAAGACAACAAAACAACACCCTATAGCTAAGTATATTTGGAATAGGAAAAGGGAGACAAGAATTACATCTAGAGTGCTCCAGGGATGTTTGTTCTTGGTATCAATTAATTAATCAATTGATACAGCTGTACCATTCACCTTAATTTTGGTTAACTTCACAAGCCCCTTAGAAACAGAAATAGCACATCCCCCCACCCCAAGAATTGAGCCTGTTAAGTCATTTGAGAAAACGGTATTAAAAAGAAAAACAAATATCACAGTATTCGTGTTATGATATTACAGGCAGGAAAAAAAAAATCATACTATCGTGATGACTGTCAACATGCTCATGCTTTCTGGCCAAGTTAAAAGCAAAGCAAAAGTGTCCATCCCATTCAGGAAAAAGTTACTAATGGACCACATAAATTGTTTTTTCTCTCACAAGTGGAAGTTTGAGACAGGTTTGAGACATGTTTACATTTTTTTTCTTTTTTTACTCAATTTACTCTGTACCAGTCAGGAGAGGAAAGATATTTGAGAATAGAGAGCATGCCAACACTCAATGATAAAGAGACGATGGACTTTGAGTACGTCAGTCACACTCTACAGTTAGATTAATTCCCCGAGTCCTTTGCACACTTAGTCATGATTTTGCTCTTTGAAAGGAAGTTTTTTTCATCCCTGTGCCAACTCCATTGCGAAAGGACCTTTTCACAAACATCTTCTCCAAAATTGGCTTTAGAAAAGCTAGTTCTTTGCTCCTGTCCAATCTGGTTGGGCAGCTGTTCAGCAGAATGAGAAAGTAATCAGATTTTCCAGACACCTGGCAATTCAGATGGGTGAGGAGAAAGAGAATACAGCCTTAGGGTTAAAAGTATATTTCAACAGTAACAATTTTCAAAATCGTATGGCGATAAATCCAATATATCAATCATCTTAAAGGCAGAAGTTTTGCTAAAACACAATATCTACTTTATCTAGATACAAAATATTATTTGGGGTGATCTACCCACTTGTCTAATTTTTACACTACTTATATACTTGCTGCTATTCCGTATTTACATCATGCACTACACATAAGTTATCTTGTTGCTGTTATTTTAAAAAGAATATTTCAAGCAGCACTAATTAGCCCTGGGAATTGTTTTTGAAATTCACTTAGAAAAACAACCCATAAGGATCAGACTCTAGGTGTCAATCAGAACCACTTTTCTCCTGGGGCCTGTCCTGGGCCATTTGCCAAGTTTCCCCATAAGGATGTCTTGATACTTGAACAATGGCATCTTCAACTTCTGACTTTAGTTCAGGTCCTCATCACTGGCTCGAGGCTGGATAATGTAGGAGAGTGTAGGGTGCTTAGTGGTGGAAGAAACAGATCTGCAATCTTAGAGTTCAAACTGGCCTTCAGGAACCTGAAGTTCAACCCCATATTTTGCAGATAAAAAAACTAAGTACAAGACCAAAGGTGCATGCCCCATGTGACAGGGCTGGAGATTCCAAGAGGCAGCTCTGACCCAGGGCTTGGGTACGAATCATCAACACTTGTTGTGTTTTCCCTCTTGCATGGTTTCAGAGGAATTATAACACACTGATAAGATGCTAATACAAATTTCACCAATAATGCAAAGCACAGATTTACCCATGATCTGTGTGCTGCTTGCATTATGGGCATCATCTTGTCCTACTCCTAAACAAAACTCTGTGAAGTAGATACTATTATTTTCAAGGCATCTGACTCTAAGTTTAGGTTTCTCAACTATACTAGAACTACAAGAGGAAAAGGAAACTGAGTGCTTTTATTATCAATAAAGAGACATACTACAAGGTAAAACTCATACTTTTTTTTCTATCTTGGTGCAGGAAAACAAGTGTGGTCTCAGGTTACTGTATGGAAGTCGAAACGGGGCCAGAGTGCATAAAGCGTTCCCTGTAATTCTTCACCCACGCGTGGGTGGTTTACTGAAGATTCAGTGCAACCCAGACAAATCATTCCCACTGGCCTCTGGGGAAAAAAAATGGGCTTTTTCCCCCCTTTTTCATCTCAGAGAGTTTGGTCAGAGAGTTTCAGAAATATTGGTCATGAGAAAACCAATCAAACACTCTTAGTCGGACATCCACTATGTATTTTTCCGTGTGCTAACAGAGGAAATCTAAACATGATAGAGAGAACGCCTTCTATTTAAAATCCCCAGCAGGGAAGGGCCTCTGAGTCATTGCAGGAAGGGAAGCAAGCCAGTTCTTTCCAGAAATACTCATGATGCCACCTTTATACTGCAAAAGGAATGTATCAGTTCTGGTTATGAGATTCCTGAAACATCCCTAAAAAGACACTGATGCACTTTGCTGATCGTCGAAGGCAGCCCTTGCCAGGGCAGACTCATTAACATAATAAGATTGTATATTTGCCTGGTTAATGGACTCAGTGAAGTTCGCAACAAATATTATAAAAGCCTATGTGTCGTCTGCCTGCATAATCATTCACCCTAAGCAATCAAATTGGCATGAATAGCATCCACACTCTTACTACGGAACTAGGTAATAACAAGAACAAAACTGTCACGTGCAAAAATAGAAATAAGGAAAATGCAGTGAAAGGAGAAACATTTCATTTATGGACAAGGAAGTCTCATAAGTATTTTAGAACAAAGTACATTCTTAATTTCTTTTAAAAAAGCTACAGAGAAGAGCCTGTTATTCAACAGAAATGTCATGAGTAAACCTTTGGGGAAAGAACAGAAAGTAATTAGGAAGACACTTGAGAAAATATACCAGTATATGGATTGTGACTCATCAGCTTGATCAATGTGGTGTCTTATAGAATTGATGACTAAATTAGTGTTGAATGCTCATAGGAGGAAACCAAAAAAAAGAAGCTATATTAAATAAACAAGAAATAGAAAAATGACAGATGCAAAGATTAGTGAAAAGGCCAATAATATAAATAACTAGATCATTATGTTCAGACATATATTTATCACTTAGGATTTATGCGACATCCCTTTATCCTAAAAGTAGTTTCATAAATCACATTGATTTCAGTCATTATAATGTGACAGGTTACGTTTTAGTGAAAAAAAGTTCAAGTTCAAAATGCCGTCAATGACAAAAGATATTTTAAAATTATAAACAAAATATTGACATAAAGGCAACTGAAATATTATGTAGAAATAATATTAAATATTCCAAAGAAAGATATTTATTTTCTGAATGTCTTGAACAGTTCAATGAACGTAGGAGTTCAATCAATATTCTCTAATAAATATATGAATTAATATTTTATGTGATATTTTATTTAGAGCTAACGTTTTATCTATATTCTGCATCTGAAAAAATTAAACTGTTTTTGAAAAATGACCACTTTATTTTTAATATAGTTTCCATGGTTAAGTGTTCACTTTGATTATGAATGAATGCATGTGGAATAAATAAATTGCCATTGGCAAAAAAATTACTTTAGATTGAGATGAATATTTCCCTTTGCAGGAGCCAACCCTAAATAATTCAAAACAAATTTGAATATAGTCCAGTGTTACTTGTCACACTAATATTTTCTTTTACTAATGTCATCAATCTGCTGACTTTTTCCCATTGAGAACTCTAATAATAAAGGAAATTACTTTTCTGTCACATATTCCTTGAAAGTATTTGGAATTTACATAATTTACCATTCTAGTCATCTATTTAAATATCCACAACGGAGGCAAATCCTTACCTTAGAAGATGGAACTGGATAACACCAAAACACATGCATTGTGGACAGCGACAGAACTAGGATGAGATTGAGTTTTACTGAGCTGCAAAGTAGAAAAAAAGTACAATCAAGATTTAGTCTCAAGTAGGCAAGAATAAGTAAAACAGCATATGAAAATGCAACATTTTTCTTTGCAGAAAAACGTAGCCTTTTACCTAATCATTTTGGACTTCCCAAAATCTGTAAAGATAGGTGGTTTTATTGCCAAATTTCTCACACTTACTCTCAGACCCTCATTGGGTGGCCCTTTTATACCAGAAAAGTTCGGGAGTAAAAATGTCATCTCATCCCTCCTATATGACTAATTGTTCTGTCTGTGGCCTTTTGTTCTTGTTAAGAAGAAAAGGACATAACATATGGGCATTGTCATTGAGCTGCCAATGATCGACTTCATTTAAAGTTTGCCATTAAGAATGTCCTTCAAAACCATTGTCTTCGAGACTGAATCATTGTGGCATGGGTGGCCAGAGGTCTCAAAAGGAAACAAAAGGTTTTTTTAGCTTAGAATTTAAACCTTTAAGAAGGATGACATTCTTTCCTTGAATGTCCCAGACATTATGTTTCAGAAACTAACACAAAAGAAATACTTACAGGAATAAAGAACATCTACCCAGCTGGGCACGGTGGCTCACACCTGTAATCCTAGCACTTTGGGAGGCCGAGGCAGGTGGATCACCTGAGGTCAGGAGTTTGAGACCAGCCTGGCCAACATGGTGAAACCCTATCTCCACTAAACATACAAAAATTAGCCAGGCGTGGTAGTGCACACCTGTAATCCAGCTACTTGGGAGGCTGAGGCAGGAGGCAGGAGAATCGCTGGAACCCGGGAGGCAGAGGTGGCAGTGAGCCGAGATTGCCCCACTGCACTCCAGCCTGGGTGACAGAGCCAGACTCTGACTCAAAACAAAACAAAACAAAACAAAAACAAACAAAAAAACACATTTACCCAAACAACTCATGCAGATTATTTACATTTTCTACCTTAGATTTCTTTCCTTTAGGACTTCAGCAGTTAAAGCAGGAAAATAAATGTCACACCTTTTCCGCTAGTCATCGAAATAAAGGAAGGACACTGTGTATCCCCTGTCCATGCCATGTACTCCCAAAAGTCCCACGGGCTCCCAAAGTCCCAGGCCCACAGTTCTGGGAGAGCCTGCTTTTCATGGCTTCCTTTTTCTCCCCAGGGTATGGAATTTCTTCAGGCAGCCTTTGCTGTCCTTGCACTTCAATGGGCATCTGCATTAATAAATGGATTCAGGAGCTCTAAGTATGAACAGATGTTGCTGAGGCTTACAATGGAGAAAAACACCAAGGGAGGTGCTTTCTGCTTGGATAACTAGTGTTTCTGAGATGATGCCAACAGTTTTTGAATACAAAGCAACCAAGGATAATCCGTGCCTCCTCGAGATCAGCACCTTTTGGAGGACAAAGCTGCCCTGTGTCTGGGACAGTTGCTGCCAATTTGTTGGCACTGCATTTCTTTCTTTGGGGAACTGCCATTTGCATGATTTTTATGTAGCTGTCAATCATACAGTCACAGTTTGCCATCACAAGGAAAAGCAGATGACCTGGACTCTCAAGAGAACCAAGCTCACAAGATTAGAGCCAAGTTGAGGGGCTGAGGAAGTGATCCAAACTACTTTGATCAGTGTTCTTATGGGACATAGTGTGGATATTAGGAGACAAAGGGCCTAAGAGCACAAAGGGACTGAACACACATATTTACTTTTGGTTGTTTTAGCTAAA